>NC_000002.12:114156284-114459314 GCF_000001405.40 Homo sapiens
GCTCATGTATCCCAGAACTTAAAATAAAATAAAATATTTTTAAAAAGTATTCAATAAACGTGAGCTGTTACATTTTTGGTTAACCATCTTCTTTTTCTAGATTCTGACAATTCTGGTCCAGCTGTGGTGAGGAGAAGGCATTAAGTGAGACCAGAGGACAATCTGAGCAGCACAGGCCCTGCTGCACTTTCACTCTCTGCTTTCCTTTGGCCACAGCTGGGCTTCTGTGTGTCCTGTACTTCCTCTTCCCCAGGATGAGCTGTCTCCAAGATCCTTGGACAAAGACCATGCCTGGGAGCAGGGGCTGCAGATCCCCTGACGGGACTGGGCCTCCGCTGTTCTGAGGCCTCCTGCTACAAGTGGGAAGACAATGGACAGGGAGTTCTGAGTTTGAGATTTTTGTTTTGGGTCTACACTGATTAAGTTGGGCAAACCATTTTTTTGAGCCTTAGTTTTTCAACTTATAAAATAAGTATGTAGGAACTAAACATTTATTAAGCTCTTTTATCTTTAAGACAATTATAATCCTTGTTGTTATGGGAACCACTGGGCATGGATTCCATTTCCTGGTTTCCCTGTGGACTGTTGTTGCAATGTCTTCTCTTTGAAATGGCTCCTGGAGGTGAGTAGACCCCGGGGGCCGGGCATTCGTCACTCTGCTCCGGCTCACTCCTCCCTCTGAAGTTCCCCTAATCCCCAGCACATCATCAGAAGAATTGCTCTATGCATACATTTATGATCTATGAATCATGAACCCAGCAGCAATAACTGAAGACAACCCAAGAAGTTTTTATTAAGTGAGGAATAAAAAGTAATTTGGTGCAAAGCACTTTTTCTCCTGCTCCAATATTTCTCAGCCTCTGTCAGTTCCACTGGGCAAATAACGCATGCTGGCTCCTGCCTGCAGCCCACTGGCCTTAGTGCCTTCGCTTTGTCATGGCCACTGAAAACCAGCCACTGGCGGCTCCTCATTGTGCCTCAATTGTTACTGTGCCAGGAATAAATAATGTACAAGTAGAATGTTTTTTCTCCTCCAAATGGTCACAAATGGCCTGCCACAGTATAATAATGTATGTGAGCTTTCCCATAATGGACAAAAATAGGTGGCTTGAATTTTGCAATCAATACTTTGTTAGCTTGTGGCATTCTACTCTGTTAGAACTCTTTTTCCAGAGGACATTCTCTTCCTCTCAGAATAAATGCTTTACTTCTCCTTTCCTACCCAGAGCTCATCCATAGGTTCTCTGACAACTCTGGCCTTCTTAGACTACACCTAAATTCAATTACTCTGAATGTTATACAATTTTATACTGCAATCTATTCTTTCAGTCATACATTACTTTTTCCCTAAGCTTGACTGTCAATTCTCTGAGTAGGAATTATGTCTTCTACCTCTTGGTACTGGGTAGATGGTTGACAGCCAATAACTTCCCAGCTTACAGATAAAGTTTTGCATTCATAGTTATGGGTAAGGGGATAGGAGACGAAGATGGTGTGTTGGTTAGTTTTTGCTATGTAACCAACAAACTCAGAATCTCAGTAGCTTATGCCAGTAGGCATTTACTTCCCTCTCATAGGTCTAGAAGTAGGCTAAGGTTTGGCTGATCTCTGTTGGGTTTGGCTGGGCCAGGCTGGGTTCCAGATCACTGGCTGGGTTGAGGTCTTCTCTACATGTCTTCATTCTGGGGCTCAGTCTGAAGGGGACAAAACTGGTCATCCACTAATATTCCTTGGGTGGGAGGGGGGGAGGTGGAAATCATTGTACTTATACATTATCCTTCATCCATAAATATTCCATGGTTTAAAGCAAGTCATGTGGTTCAGATGAGATGAATGAGGCAGGGAAATTACTCCACTCACTGCGGGAAGCACTGCAAAATTCCCTATCAACAGGAAGTAAAGAGCTGGGGACAAAAATCAAACCACCACGGATGGCTAAGCCATTATCCTTTCAAGTGGACAAGACCCTGGAAGATTACCCACTCTAGGGCCCTGCCTCCTGGTGTACAGAACCTAAAACCTGCTGCTGCAAGGATGGTGCAAGGGCCAGCAGCACTGACATCACTGGGAAGCTTGTTAGAATGCAGAATCTCAGGCTCCATCTGAGACTTGCTGAATCAGAATAGTCTTTTTAATAAAATCTTCAAGTGATTTATATGCACATTGAAATTTGAAATTGTCTAAAATAGCATTTAAAAAATTTGTTCCATGAGACTAATGGGTACTTTATGGGGAAAAATGCTTCTAAGGTTAAGTAAATTAGGGGTACTTAAGAACTTCTCAAAGCTTTCAACATGCTAATATACACTGCAGATCTCTGGACAGGAGGCTGCATTCATTTCCTATGGCTGCCATAACAAGTGATCACCAACTGATTTGCTTAAACCAACATACATTTGTTCTCTCACAGTTCAAGAGGCCAGAAGTGTACCAATTTCTGGTGGCTGCTGATAATTCTTAGTGTTGTTTGGCTTGTAGCTGCATCACTCCAATCTTTTCCTCTATCACTACATGCCCTTTGTCCCTGTGTGTATATCTGGGTGCCCTCTCCTCCTCTTATCTGAATGCCAGTTGTTGGATTTAGGGCTCACTGCAATCCGGAATGACCTCACCTTAATTACATATATCTGCAAAGACCTTTCTTTCTTTCTTTCATTTATTCATTTATTTATTTATTTAGAGATGGAGTCTCGCTCTGTTGCCCAGGCTGGAGTGCAGTGGTGTGGTCTTGGCTCACTGCAACCTCCGCCTCCCAGATTCAAGTGATTCTCCTGCCTCAGCCTCCCTAGTAGCCAGGATTACAGGCGCCCACCACCACATCTGGCGAATTTTTTCGTATTTTTAGTAGAGATGTGGTTTCACTTTGTTGGCCCAGCTGGTCTCGAACACCTGACCTTCAGCGATCCGCCTGCCTCGGCCTCCCAAAGTGCTGGGATTACAGGTGTGAGCCACCGCGCCCGGCCTAAGACCTTATTTTCAAATGAGAACACATTCTGAGGTTCCGGGTAGACGTGAATTTTGGGGTGACACTATTCAACTCACTGCAGAGGTGGGTGGTTGGATATGGAATGCAGCATTCCTCTAACATAATTGTTCAGGGAGCCCTTTCTTCACAGAAAAGCTCATGGCACAGACTTGGAGAAATGAGAAAAAAACTATCGTAGATATAGGGTTGTTGATTTTCTTCTGAGAGTTCTTTAAGAGTGAAACGCTACAGGCTTAGTTTGTAGCTAATTCTAAAGTGATCCCAGGTCTCACCTGTGTTTATTTATCAGGTGGAAAACTTGTAGTCTAAGGCTAAATATGGCACTCAGATATATTTTATTTGACTATCTCTTAAGATTGTATTGAAAAGTAGCTTTATTCTCAGATGAGGTTTTGATATGATTATGTATTTAGGATGACTGATATTTAAAAGAAGCTAAAAAGTTACTAGTTCCTTTTTTTCATGAAAATCTTAATACTGGGAATTTACAATTAACTCACTTGTTAGTCTCTGATGGTATCTACTGTGAATCAAATTGACGGGATTAGAGAAGGGCAAGTTTGAACATTTAGTTTCTATTTTTTTAAACAAAATAGATAATAGGTTTCCAAATCAGAGGGCCAATTTTTCTGGAGCACTAAGATACAGTGCTGAGGCTTCCTGAACCATTTTTCTTGAATTATATGCTGTCTTGGAAATATAAGTTTTATTCCACTTAGCCGTCACTAACCATATGTACATTTTTTATTTGTAATAAAAAATTAATTGGTATGATCAGAAATTCACATGTAGTTGTGAGCAATAATACCGAGGGATCTCATGTATCCTTTAATCAGTTTCCCCTAAATGTAACAGTTCACAAAAAACTATATTACAATATCACAACCAAGACATTGACCTTGATACAACCTACAATCTTATTCAGGTTTTCAATGTTACTTGTACTCATTTGTGTATGCATGTATTTAGCCCTACAGAATTTTATCACATGGATGGATTTGTATATCTACCACCACAGTCAAAGTACAGAACAGCTCTATCACCAAAAGGAATCCTCATAATGCCCTTTTTGTATGTGCTTTTGAATTTAAATTTACCCAGCAAAATTTCCTGAGTCATCTATGCTCATGGAACCCTGGAAATTATTCCACTTGGAATGTACAACCTCCCTCATGAATTGGCCAGCTGGGAGTGCCAGTCAGCAGTTGTGCAACATTACAAAGTCAAACTGGACAGCACTGGAGGCAAACACAACCCATGCCCTTGGCCTCCTTAGCTTCAGGCACTAACTAACTGAGCTAACTGGCCAGAGATAAGGACTTCATTTCAAATAACAAATTAACAGTTTCCCATAACTCCATTAATGCATGGTTGTGATCCCACGAAATTGCATCTCTGACAAACTGGCTGCACTAAAATTTACTCTATGTAAAATGATTGTGCTAATTACTTTCTCTTTATGCTTTTATAATCGGCTGCCTGGCAATAACATTTGCAATGTAGTCATGCACTAATGAGAAAAGCCATCCAATCTGATACTGCAGGTCATTAGTAAATGGCTTTAGGGGTCAAAGGGTAATTTCCCCCTTTGGTGCAGTTGGAGATACTGATGGAGCAAATGTCTTTTCTTTTCTTTCTTTTCTTTTTTTTGAAGCCCCAGGTGCTAACCAAATCTGGAGATTGATAGAAAGATTAATAGGTTTCTTCTAGCTGTTCTCCACATCCCATTCCATTCTTCCTCTTTCTCCCTCTTCTCTCCCCTCCTTCTCTCTCTTTCCCTCTCTCTCTGTGTCACACACACACACACACACACACGAGCCCAGTGCTTACTTGCTATTTTAGGGACTGTTTATTTTGCACTCATGCTTCTCAATAGGAATGGTATTTTCTATATAGTATTTCAATTTTGTTGGGGCATGTTTTTGGACTTCACAATAAAAATGAACCAGGGCCAAGAATATTAGACATCCAGCTATATAGAGAGCTGTGTTGCACACCAATGAATTGATCCCCATTCTGTGCATCTTTCAAAGGCTCCACCAATAGTATATATAGATTAAAAATATGGTTACAATAAACTCAACTTGGAACCTAACTTCATTACACTAACCAATATGAAGTATTTTTGCATGGTTTTATTCGACACTGACTTTTCCAGTAATGTAAGTGCTGTGTGTATTGAAAAAATGATTGTATTATATTTTGTTCTGGAATGTGAGTTGTCCAATGTTTTGGGCAACTCGCATCACCATAGCAATGGCCCTTGAGGATTGAAATTGCTAACATAGCACGTTTATGTCTTCAGCACTTGGAACTGTCACCAGCACGGTGACTCTGGGTAGAGGTGCTGATGGCTTCATTATATCCTCTACTGTAGTTGTGCTTGAGCAATGGCATTTTGAAACACATATGATCTTACTCAAAGTTACTTTTTCAATTAATTTTTTCCTAAAGGTGTAAGAAAGGTATGTAGGTAGGTTATGTTATCATTAAATTTTGCCTTGAGATAATAAAAGAAGTTTTATAAAGGATTTAATATTAAAGACGGTGCTGGGCTTTCTAGAGGCAAGAACTACTGCTTTAGAAGACCTACATAAATGTTAAAAAATAATAATAATGACAGACTTTGTCACCTGGGCTCCTCTAAGAGCTGCCAGACTTGCCTTCAACTTTAGTCTCATCTCTTTCCCAGCCCCTTACTCAGTTTCTGAGTGCTCTTTCTGAGATGCACATCTGATCCGAGCAGCACCTCCTTGCATCGTGGCCCTTCATCACCTTCAGGTATTCTTCATCTGCGGCCTTCACCTGGGTAGAATTGTATGGCAACACAACTGGGTTTCTTTGTAATTGTATGTTATATATGTATAAAAACATTTTTCTGAAAAGAGGTCCATAGGCTTCATCAGACTTCCAAAGGGGTCCATGGCAGGAAAAAGGGTAAGAATGTAGATCAAGTTCAGTCTTTTGTAAGGTGTAAACACCTTTAGTAAACTGGCCCTGCCCACCTGCTCAGCTTCGTCTATCACCCTTTTTCCTCCACCATTCACTTATTCCCCCTACCATACACACTGGAATAATATTCAGAGGTCCTGAGGAGACCGTGTTGTTAGCCTTGTACACCTGTTGTTGTAGCCTTTGGAATGCTCTCCTGATCGCCCTCGCCTGCCCCAGGTATCAGCCTGGGTGACAGCCTTCGGAGGAGACTCTCTCCACTCACTCTGCACTGGTGCAGATTTCAATCTGAGCTGTAACCATGGTGTTTTATGATCATCAATCTGGAGCTGTTTTCCCAATAGAACGTAAGCTCTTTGAGGTTAGAGTTCTTGTCTTCTGACCCCTGAATCCTCTGAGCCTAGCAAAATGCTTGGCATGTAGTAAATGCATAATAAATGGTGTCAAATGCTGGTATAAATGCATTCATTTAGGGTAAGGTGTTAGTGATGGCGTGCCACAGCTCCTTAGATATAAGGTGTGGCCAAAAACTACCAATAAAGGAAGGGAGTCTGAGACTAAAGCCTTCAGAATACAGGAAAGCAGCAGAAATGCCTTTGCTGCCTGGTAATGACAGGGTCATTCTGAAACCTAAACCTTAGGCTAGGGCATTTCTCTTTTCTAATATTCTGATATTTTATTCCTTCCCCTCCATCTTTTCCTCTTTGATTGACACTGTTATGTGTTACACTAGGGAAAGGTATAAGAGGAAGTGGGGAAGAAGTAGAGAATATGCAGAGTCACGACAAAGGTCATGTGGGACCTGTCTGTGTGATACCCAAATATTTAATTTTTCTAAATCTATGGGATCCACGGGGAAGGGCGGATTGTTGTTGGTAATCAGGAAAGGAGTTGGAGTTCACAGCTAGATTGATATGGGTGAAAACTAATGCAGTGTGTGGCAATACAAAATCTCAGAGGCTGAGGGAAACGGCGAGAGGAAATTCTAGGCATTTGCTAAAGCTAAAAAGAAGGCCTGGGCTTCCATTAAGTCTTGGAATTGAGGTTTGGGTCAATTGCAACCAGGTCTGAAAGGGGTATGGGACCCTGCCTGACATTGGGTTATACAATTAAAAAAACACATTTATAATAATATTTTTCAAATACACTGTCAGAGGTGAAAGACTGACGTGCCATTGGCACTTTTCCTTATACTTTCCTCAAAGTTTTTCACTGATCGTCTTTAGAGGAGAAACTCATCAAGACTATTCCCTCATTGTATTAGTCAGGGTAAGATGAAACTGTTCTCATAAAGAGATTCAATAATAATTCAGTGGCTTAAAAAACCATAGAAGTTGTCTACTGTATCTTGGAACAGTCCTGGGTGAATGTGCCAGGATGCTGGGCAGCTCTGTTCCAGAGATCATTCTGAGGAGTCCAGAAGCTTCTTTTCATCTGGTTTCTGTGACATCCCCTAGTTCAATGCTCCTCAAAATTTAGCTGCAGATCTATCATTTGTGGAACCTGTTAAATGCAGTTTCTGATTCTGGATGTTAGTTATTTGGCTGTTAGTTACGTGCTCCGTGGTGCAAGGGACACCTAGAAATGAAGAGCCTGTGTAGAAAGCCATGGTCCCAAGCTACAGACTGTGACTATGGGGGAGAGAAGGGGGGACATTGGTGGCAAACCCGCACATTCTGTTGCTCACTGTTTGCTGCATCCTTCTCTAGTAGCCAGTTCTGCAGAGACATTACATAGGACAACTAGCTGCCATTCTTTCACCTATGGTGTTATAATGTGTTGGTTGCTAATAATAGGTAGAATATGAGAAGATCCAAGTTTAAGAACACATTTAAATTTGTGTACGCAAACTCAAGTTTTTCCTTACAGTAATCTCCCTTGTACATGCTGATATGCCTCCTCGGGTAGAAGGAAAATGGGTGGAGTTAAAACTAGTGTGCCAATGTGGTGGGTAATTTCGTGTCAACTTGACTGGGCTAAGGGAAGCCCAGATAGCTGGAAAAACATTATTTCTGGGTGTTTCTGAGAGGGTGTTTTCTGGAAGAGATTAGTTAGCATTTTAATCAGTAGAGTGAGTGAAATGATCTAAGGCCCTTAGCAGTGTGGCATTATCCTTTGAGGGCCTGAATAAAGCACAAAGGTAGAGGCAGGGTGAATTCTCTTTCTTCTTGAGCTGGAACATCCATCTTCTCCTGTCCTTGGAGGTCCTGGTTCTTTGGCTTTCAGCTCCCACCTGGTTCTTAGATCTTTGGCCTTCAATTGAACTATATCCCAGCTTTCCTGGGTTTCCAGCTTGCAGAAGGCATATTATGGGACTTCTTAGCCTCCATAATTGTGTGTGCCAACTTCCACACTAAACCTCCTCGTATATATCTATTTATAATCTATTGCTTCTGTTTAACCCATAGAACCCTGACTAATATAGCCAGCAAAACCACCTACGAGCCTCACTCATTCCTGTGACAAATATTTAAAGAACAACTATTCAAAAATCACTGAACTTGGTGTTGGGGATGTAGCACAGAACAAGACAGTTGGAGAAGACTGCCTGAGTTCAAATTCCGTTCCCACTATTTGGCATTGAACAAATTAGTTGCCATCTCTGCTGCAGCTTTCTCATCTGTAAGATGGCATGATAATGATATCTCATAGGTTATGATGAGGATTCACTGAGATAGTGTATCAGTCCCGCTTATTATGTCTGCCTTCAAGAAAGTTACACTTTAACATTCCTCATTATGTGTGTCCCTGCAGAAAATTAACTGAGACTCACTGCTCCAGGGATTGTAGAGACCTGGACCCCAAAGTTATGTGCCCTCCTGAAAGCAAACAGTGGGGGTCAGCTGGCTCTGGCCTGGGGCTTGCTCCATTTTTCATCACTTCTGTGGAGGGAGGAATGGTTTCTTTAGTAGGAACAGAGGTTCCATTTTAATCACCAGCTTTCAGCTTTCTTTCTTTGATGAGGTATAAACATTTTGTCAACCTTTCCGCATCAGCTCAATTTTGTTTCTGATGTTGGAGATTACTCTGTCAACCATGGAGTGAACTTGCTAGTAGTTAGTGGCCCTTCATTTCTTGTATGTCCCCAAGAATTTCCTATTTACAGGAGTGAAGTGACCTTAACTTGCAGAGGTTTTCTTATTATCCATTTGAGCTCAAGGCTTCTCTATACCACCCTCTCTCACACTGCCACAACTCTTCTTTCGAATTCTGTTCTACACGTCCTTACATATCATGACCCCAGTGATATGGAATTCTTACTTGGACTAAGGCTGCAAAATAAGCCCCCAGTGTTATGGTAGGTGGATCCTAAATGGAATGCTTCAGTCATGTGTCAACTTTATGGCTCCTTGGTAATTTTCTGATTTTTTTTTCTTTCTTTCTTTGTTTTTACTTATTTAGAAAATAGAAGAAAAATGACAAGGAGGTTTAGAATATGTGTATGTGTTGGACACTGTCTTTTATGGATCATAGCCTCCTGCATCCATCTGATGGAATCCATGGTTCTCTTCCTTAGACATGTATACACATGCAGCAGCAGACATAACTTTACAGAAAGTTCCAGTTGTTTTAAAGATCTCTTTAAGTCCATGAACTCCAGGCCAAGAAAATATCAAAATGGGACATCCTTAGAAATGCAGAGTTAGTGGCAAGTAGGTGATATATTTCAGCTTATATGCCAAAGTTTTATTTCAAGCAAAACAAGTCAACATGGATTTTATTGAAGGACACTCAGCATTTATTTATTTCAGTCGTATTTTTAAGCAACCCTTCAAAACCCACTTTATTGATTGAGCCCCATTAAATAGGATTCTACCATTTAAGATCTCTTTTTACTTACTCAGGACTATAATGACTGAAGCCCATCAGCAGTGTTGTTACATGATAACATTGGCAGATCCATCAGGAAATGTATTACCAGCTCTCCTAACTGGCTCATTTTATTGAATCGTCTTGTTATGTTTCCTGAATCATATTCTCATCATCCAGGACTTTAATCAAGTGGCAAAAGTCATCTTCATGCATATGGTCACTCAGAGGTCTGTAAGCTTGTGCAATTAGATAACTTACGGAAATTTTGTTTTTGTGTATTTTTCTCTTCGCATTCGAAGAAGGTAGATAGTATTTTGACCTCCTATGCCTTAAGAACAGAGTAGACAGTGGAAGTTGCCTTTAGAATATTTTTCCTTGGGTTTTGCATTCTGAAAGCAGGAGAAAGAGATGTATGTTGTAGGTAGGGGAGGTGAGGCAGACTGGGAGAGATTTCACCAAGAACTAGGGAGGTCTGTATGGCCACAGACCACCTCCCTCTCAGCACCTGGAGAGAAGACAAGAGTTTGGATGACGAGGGGGTTGGAGAAAGGGGATGGCTGTTTCGTCCATCTCTTGTAAGGACAGGTTTAGGACCCCCAGACACCTGCCCTGGATGGAGCTGTACTTTAAGGCATTATGTACATATCAGCATTAACTCTTGGGAACCCAAACCAGAGGCCTTCCAGAAATGTTTTCCTCATGTCTGGGACATTCATAGGGATCTAGGGGAGAAGAGTATGAATAATGACCACAACTGAATTTCCTACCAGAACAGTCATGAAGGTCGGGTGGGATGTTAGAACCAGACTTACTGTAATTTCAAGAAAATAATGTTCTATGGCATATCCTGTACACTGGAGTTTGTGCAGTAAGGTTCACACACAGAGGGATGCAGATGCAAGTCTTGTCTTCATGGTGCTCATAGTGAGCTAGGACAAGTAAGATATAAATACAAACTGAGAAAGGCAGACATAAGAAATTATGGGAATTCAGGAGAAGGAAAAAAATATGTGGGGGAGATGAGGAAAAGTCCAATTGAAGAAGTGATTTTTGAGCACATTTTGAAAAAGTGGTACAATTTAGATATATGTAAATAAGAAAGAGATATTTCCAAGTACAGGGAGTTATGTGAGCAGAAGCATAAAAATGGGGCATTGTGACAAATAAGAGTAGCTCGGTTAAATTGTGGGTTGCAACAAAAAGATAGTGGGAATAATCTCTGAGAAGATAGGCTGGGATTATGCTGACAGTTTTTAGAGAAGACATGATGCTCCGATGGAAACATAGAGGGGGGATCCGTATCTTGCAGTCTATATGGACTTGGGTAAATTTCCTAATCTCTGAGTCTCAGTTTTTTTTAAACCTATGGAGTTGAGATAATAATACCTTGCAGGTTGTACTTAGAATTAAAATAATAATGATGACAACAATGATGATTGATGCCACTTATTGAGCATCAAGGAATCTGTGTCTGGCATGTACTGGTGTTCAATAAATGTGTCTGTTGTTGTTGTTATTATTATCACTCAGCTATTCAAAGCTCTGTACTAGAGTGTGAGGAATTTGTGGTACATACATTGTGAGTACTAGACATTGCTAGTATTTATCCAAATTTCTACTTCTTTCCTCCTGAGTACCTAACTCCTTGAGATTAGGCATGGGCCTGGGACTTGCACAGACCAATAAAATGTGGCTGGAAACAATGTGCTACTTCCTTACAGAAGCATTTAGGTGATGGCGTACAAGTCTCCATTCTTTCTTTCTCTGCTCTGGAAAGCCTTGAAGCATTGCTTTGAGATGAAGGTTCAGATGGTGTGGGAGCTTCTGGCAGCCTGAGTCCTTGAGTGATTATGATCAGCAGAGTCCCCGTCCCCTGCTAACTAGTGCAGACATGTAGTAGGAGAGAGATAGATAGAAACCTTTGTTCTTTAAGGTCATTGAGATTTGGGGGGATGTTTGTTACTATGACAAAACCTAGCTTGTCCTGACTGATGCATCTTTGATGCAGTTTGTCAATGCAGATACAGAGCATAGCCCTGTTTTGCTTAAAAGAAAGAGATAGTTGGCTTCTCTTTTTAGCTCAGTCCAGGTCAAGTATGACGAATCCCTAAGGCCCTTCACTGTCACACAGTCCTTGTACACTAAGCTTGTTTATCAAGCTCTTGTTTTCCTACTCCCAGAAATCTTAACTCTATGGTTCTCATTCTAATACATCAAGCCCATTCTTTAAGCAGTTCTCTTTTCAACCTAAAAACCCATTCATTTTATCTTCTTTTCTTTCTCCTTAGCTATAGCACTAATCTGTTTCCATTTTGTTTCTTATTTGTCAGTTAATTGGTCTGTTTACAGCAAAAACAATGGAATTTGAGTTTCTCGTCACTGGGAGGATTTCTATTAATCCAAACCAAAATGGTGATGACAAAAGCATTTATGGGATGTTCCCTATATAATAGGCATGTGCTAACTAAGCATTTGCCATGTATTAGCTTAGTTAACCTTGACAACACCCCGTGAAGTAGGTACAGCTATTTCTCCCTATTTCATAGATTTTAGAGAAACTGAGGCACAAAGCAGCTAACACAGGAAATGGTGGAGCCAGGACTCACATCTAGGGATTTGGACTCTGGAGCCCATATGCTTAAATGCTACATCATACTACCTCTTTGCAGGGTCCAGCTATTATTTTATCAAAAGAATATCTTTCTTTGTGCATTCCTGTCAAGATGTCTCACCAGGTATTGTTCAATAGGTTGGTTATCTCTTTTCTTGACTCTTTCCGTC
Source organism: Homo sapiens (assembly GCF_000001405.40). NCBI lineage: Eukaryota > Metazoa > Chordata > Mammalia > Primates > Hominidae > Homo > Homo sapiens. Next base: position 114,168,817 of record NC_000002.12, read on the forward strand.
TTTCTTTTCTTCCAAATATATTATTATGTTAAGCATCTTCCATGATTCATATATACTAAATTCTGTTTTTAAAGTCTCTAAGAAATTATAGTCTATTTGAAGCAATTTCTATTACATTTTATGAAATTATTACAGATTGAGTTTCAAGCAAACAGCTGAGTGCTAAATTACCTGGTACAGCCTAAGTCTGAATGAGCTGGGGAACAGGTGGTCAGTGTGGCTTGGATTAAATAGGGAATGCTTTGGAGATCTGAGCCTAGAAGGATGGGAAGGGATAGGATAGTAGAAGGGAGGAGTGATAGGCAGGAATTAAATTGAATCTGTGATTTACAAGTGGATAATCCGAGAAGTTTTTGCTGAGAAAACATGACAGTAGTTAACTATCTCGGCACGTAAATGTGCTTGTGAGAATGATTTCTTTGAAAATCCTTTTCACTGTATCTTAAAATAACAACAAGGCTTCCAAATTACAGATACAGAAATTACAGAAATAGAGCTCAGGAAGACAGATTTTTTATGGGAAAGTATTATTCACAGGGAGTTAAAAGCTTTTATGCTTTATAGAAGCTCTTAGGGTTGAAGCAAATCTAGTGTTCATTTATAGCCTAACTCATTTATGCATTGCTGGGGGATTTTGGAAATGCAACCTCAATTCTGCCCTTCCCTGAACTCAGAGAATGCCTCAGGCTGTATTTGTTCATAAAGGTGAATTTCTTTTTGAAAAGCGATTTGATTTAATTTTTGTTTTTCATGAAGCCTATTACTATGTGTGTAAAATTTTCAAGCATCCATGGCTCTGTTTTCTCCTTCTGTAATGAGGGAACAGTGCATTCATCTGTGCTTCTGAGTGCCTGATTCCCAGTCACAGTCATGCTTTCGGAAAGAAAAAGCAGTCACCCTTGGAACTAAAATCTCTTTTTTGAGTTTCATCAAGATCTGCCAACATTTACCAGAATCCAATTGTCTCGATAATCCCAGTGTATTTACTGAAGCACCAATGGGAATCCAGTAAACTACCTCTTTCAATGCTCTACTTTTATGGAGCTTAGAATTGTAAGAGGGTCTTGGAAACCATCTGATTCAACCACTTTATTTTAAAGGTGGGACTCCAAGATCTGGGAGAGGTGAGTCCCATTTGCCCACGGCTAGTAGTGATAGAGATGAGGAGTTGGTTCTCTAGTCACCAGCCCTGCCTTTCCCATGCTCTGTGCTGCCTTGGGTCTCCTGGTGAGATTGTGCTCTGAGAATTATGAATGGATTAATGCCTGGTTAATTGTTAAAGACTTCCAAGGAAGAGGTAACAGGGAGGAAGCAGATTTCATGATCAGGAGCAGATTACACAATCAGTATTAGTTTGATCCTTCCACAAATCCAGCCTTTTTTCCTCTTGATTGGGTCTCAGTGGTGACTCAGAGCTAGATTGTTAGGGGAATATAGTAACAGCTTGGTATAAAATGGTATATGAATCAGCAAGCACCTACTGAGTATGGACTCTGTTTCCAGCCCTCTGCTGGGTGTTGTGAGTCATGGTGAAGGATAAGCCATGGTCCTGACTCGGAAGGATAGGACAGTGTATTTTGGGGAGGCACAATTAAGCAATATCAAAGAAGAGCACATGTAATCAGAGTTTCAGTTATATGGTGTGTATGCTGTAGGAGTTCAGAGGGGAAGACTGATGTGGTTGGAACTGCGGGCAGCTTGGCAAATCTTCGTGGAAGAAATGGGGCTTGAGTGGCACCTATTGACAAATATCTAAAGACAGTAGTACTAGGATGCCCCCACCCACCCTAAGTCTTCTCTTTCCTGATTCTCTCATCCCTATGTCTACAACCTACCTATGTTCATGATTTCCCAGAACAGCTCTGGCTTCAACTAAGTTTCATTTTATTAAATTATGTAATTTATTGTGAAACCAAATGTGATTGTTTAAATTAATGTGACTGAAGACCTTTTATATACATTCAAAAGATTGAAAATCCCTTAGAACAAATAGGATACTTTCTTTTGTTTGAAGAATATGATGACAATACTCATTATCTGTCTTCACCTATTTCTAATTCTAATATATTGCATTTTTACAGTTTATAGTTTGCACTGTGATTTCTCAAAAAGTATTTTATTTGATCATAAAAGTAAACTGTAGAGAAAATAGGATATTGTTAATATTCCTGTTTTATAGATGAAAAGACTGAGATTCAATGAGGTTAAGGGCTTTGCCCAAAGGTGTATAGCTGAGTGAATGCAAAGGGATTTGAGTACAGACCCTCTGAGTTCCAGCCCAGGGTTTCTTTCCATGCCTCCACCCCCAAATTGCTTGGTTAATTGTTTTAATTGGCATTTTTATTCTGTGGTTCTTATTCTTTTATTTCCCTGAAGAATAAAGATAAAAATCAGCCAATATAGTACAGTCTTTGTAGCACTATCTGAAGTACATTTTTCAAAGTCTACAAGTGTCGATGAAACTTTTGGAATGACAAGAGCCCTGATATTTGGTTGGCTGTAGTCTACCAGAATTGATCCTTTTCTGTAACCTTCTTTTCAGTGATACCGAATCCAAGATGTTTTCCAATTGTGAATTTTCTGATTCTTTCCCATTTCATTATTTTTACCCAGGCTCCTAAGAAATTGGAAATCACTCATCACTTTTTGTATTCATGGCAGATGGTGGAACATTTTTATAGTTTTCCAAAAAATCACCAATGCTACATTCTGCAATGGTTGATATTACAGAAACGTGACATCTGAAGCTTTAAGAATTTGTAGCAATCCACCATGGCACACGTGTACCTGTGTAACAAACCTGCACTTCTGCACATGTGTCCTGGAACTTAAAGCATAAAAAAAAATCAAAAATTAACATCACAGAAGAGTTGTGTGCTTTTTCAGTGTTCCTCAACATATATGATCTCTGAAGGCAATTTTTTTCTCTTGTGACAAAGTCATGAAATAGCATGAAATAGATTTCTTGTTTATTTTTCATGGCCAGTTAAGTGTCATGTTTCAGCTTTTTTTGTAAAGCCCTAGACCAGGCATTTATGTGTATGCGTGTGTGTGTGTGTGTGTGTGTGTGTGTGTGTGTTAATGGGGACCAGAAGACAAACTGAAAACATGGTCACTATTCTTGAAGAGCACTCAGTCTATCTGGGGACACAGGATATTCCCTTTTGCAAGTGTCGTTAGGATTGGTAGTTACTACCGATGATGGTTAATTTTAAGTGTCAGCTTGGCTGGTCGTGAGATGCCAGACTAAATGTTGTTGCTGAGTCTGTCTGGGAGGGTGTTTCAGGATGAGATTAGCATTTGAATTGGTGGACTCAGTAAAGTAGATGGTCCTTCTTAATGTGAGTGGACACCGTCCAATCCATTGAGGACCTGAATAGAACAAAGGGTTGAGGAAGGAGGAGCTCAGTCCTTTTTTTCTGCCTCCCTGTTTGAGCTGGGACATATTGTATTTTGTCCCGTCTACGAGCTGGGATTTGCGTCATTTGGTTGCCTTGGTTCTTTGGCTTTTGGACTTGGACGGAATTATACCACCAGCTTCCCTGGATCTCCTGCCTGCATATGGCAGATCGTGGATTTATCAGCCTTCATAATTGCATATGCCAATTTCTCATAATAAATCATGTATATATATATAAGACTTATATATGTATATGTGTGTATGCATGTATGTGTGTATGCATGTATGTGTATATATACTTTTATATATAGTGTGTGTATGTATGTGTGTATACATGTTTATGTATTGTGTTTTCTATTGGTTCTGTTTCTCTGGAGAACTCTTATTAATATACCACTCACTTAGGGAGAATTCAGTCTTTCAAAATATAATGAGTAAGGCCATTCTTTGGGATAAAAAGCCATAAACAATGTTTTCTTTGACCCTCGGTGCTTATGCTCTGGGTGGATTTCTCATTCATTTCACAAAAGATTATGATACAAGGAAATGGGAAATAAGTGACTTAAGAGAAAACATGCTCCAATGAGGGGGAGAGCATTTCTGACAGCTAATCATGAAGGTATTCTTGGAAACGTTTATATTTTAAAAATATCTTGAAGAATGGAAGGCTTTTAGATAGATAGAATTGGAAAAAAAAAAAAACCTACTGGCCTATAGAAAATACTGAATGAATGAATGAAGAATGAATGAACAAATGGTGGACATCAAGGTATGCTCTGAGAACAACATGGCTGGGACAGAAGGTGTGTGGGGCGAGAGGTGGAAGAGAATAACAGGCATCAGAAGGTTTGCTACTCAGAGCTTTCTTTCACCATTCATGACTTCACTGTAACCAAAAAACAGTGACCAGATTTACGGTCTGTTTTATTTTTTGAGGACAGCGCTGCCCATAGGGACTGACTTGTTTGAGGATGGGTTGTGAGGGCTTGGTGAGGGTGAGATGGCATACATATATTCCTTGTGCTTACACTTTATGCTCAAATGATTCTATTTATTTATACATCTATTTGAAAAAGCTTCCAGTAACCCAGAAACTTTTTCTGTTATGGCCAAACACAAAAACAAGTTTTAATATGTTTACCTTCAGAAGGGCTCCATTCTAATCAGATAATTGTGTGCCACTCCACATTGGGTTTCAAGGACATGTATATGAAGTTTGAGTGTTGATACAACCTTTCAAGGCTGGATGGCATCTGGAAGATACGCTCCAGGATGGCCGTTCTGACCAGTCAGTGCCCAGGGCTGTCAGTTGTATATTTTATAAATCATCCTCAAATGCAGGTATAAGTGAAATACTTTGTACTACTCTGGGCAAACCATTCAACTAAAGAATGCCATGTTGGTGATGTGTCATGATTAGTAATATGCCGTATTATACTGAATGGGAATCATTTTCATTAAAATTCTGATTTTTCTATGGGTAAGTGAATTAGAAATTTACAGTGGTGAAATCATGCCTGATGTTTGAACAATAGAAGCAGCTTTTAACTTGTTATGAGCATAACATGACTAAAGTGAAGATAACAAATTAAAGAAGCCTCTCCCACATGTATGGCCTGTGGGAGGTTACATGATGTGTTTGAGGCCCTGGAGCCAGATGAACTGGGTTCAAATCCTGACGCTGCCCTTTGCTAGCTGTGTGACCTTGGACAAGTTTCTTAACTGCTCTGTAAAATGAGTATGACAATCATTTTACTTAAGGCTGTCCTGAGGGTTAAGTAGTGTAAATATGAAAAGCCCTTCAGGCAGTTTCTGGTACATAGTAAATGCTCAATCAATGTAAGTAATTATCATATCCTTATGATTCCATTCATTTATTTCGAGTACAACTAGGAAATACATTGCTCTAACACATACACACATATAGATAAGGAAGAAGACATATTTTTCTTATGACACTTTTTATAAATACACCATCATTTTGGTTATGCCTGAAGATCTTACTACCAAAGTATACTTCCATTTTCATTAAAATTTTCCAACTGAAAGTGGAAAGTTGCCTTTCTAAACTTACCTTCTGACCCAACTTCCCATGGGTGCTGAGAGCTTGGCATTTTGCAAAATTGCTTTCACATTCTTTTTTAAAAATTTATTTTAATTTATTTTTATTTTTTGAGATGAAATTTCACTCTGTCTCCCAGGCTAGAGTGCAGCAGCGGGATCTTGGCTCACTACAACCTCCACCTCCCGAGTTCAAGTGATTCTCCTGCCTTAGCCTCCCGAGTAGCTGGGACTACAGGTGTACACCACCACGCCCAGCTAATTTTTTGTATTTTTAGTAGAGATGGGGTTTCACCATGTTGGCCAGGCTGGTCTCGAACTCCTGACCTCAGGTGATCCTCCCACTTTGGCCTCCCAAAGTGCTGGGATTACTGGCGTGAGCCACCGTGCCTGGCCCACATTCTTAAACTGTTAACTCACATTCACCAGATGTGGAAGGGGGTCTTCCCACCTCAAAAAGGGGAATCATAACGTTCTCTACCACTCGACATGGAACGCCAAGGTGGCTGACGTGGTGGCATGGGACGCCAAGGTGGCTGATGAGGGACACCCATGCCTCTGATTGGAAAGCGAGCTGGAGGGCTAAGCAACAGGTGAAGAAAGTGGCCAACTTTCCCTAAGCATGTTAAAGCAAAGCCAATCCTCTTTGGAAACCAGGTGATAAGGGTTCAATGTCTACATTAACTCTCAGTGACCTCAGTTTAATGTTTCTTTGGAAGGATGAGCATTCTAGGCAGAGGGAATGATTGTGCAAAGGCTCTGAAGTGGGTTGTTTTGGAACTTCAAGGGGTTCTTTGCAGTCAGAATGTAAACTAAGAGATTCAAGGGCAGACAGGAGGGAGTTTTAAAGTTGGCAGGGGCAGGCTCAAAAATAACACTATTGGCTGAGTGCAGTGGCTCACGCCTGTAATCCCAACACTTTCGGAGGCTGAGGCAGGTAGACCACAAGGTCAAGAGATCAAGACCATCCTGGCCAACATGGTGAAACTCCATCTCTACTAAAAATACAAAAATTAGCTGGGCGTGGTGGTGTGCACCTGTGGTCCCAGCTACTCAGGAGGCTGAGGCGGTAGAATCACTTGAACCCAGGAGGCAGAGGTTGCAGTGAGCCGAGATGGTGCCACTGCACTCCAGCCTGGCAACAGAGCGAGACTCCATCTCAAACAACACCAAAAAACAAAACAAACAAAAAAACAAAACAAAAAAAACCCAAAACCAACCAACCAAAAAACCACCATTGACCAAATATTAATTGAACACCTACTATGTTCCAGGGACAGCATCAGTAAATAATGTGGTTATACTTACTGTTTTCAGTAAGCTTATGGAACTTGAAATACCTTGAGTATCAGGCTAAGCAGTTTGACTTTTATTCTGTGATGATGGAAAATGATGAGGATATATTAAGTTATGGAATGATATGATTAGATCAGCATTTTTAAAGATCACTCTGATGGAAGGGCAGCCAAAGGAAGCCTCATTGGCTAGAAGACCACGGCAAATGTTCACACAAGAGATGGCAAAAACTTAAACAGCAATGATGCAAAGCATAGATATTTAGGAAGCAGAATTGACAGGATTTGATGGCTAATTTTAAGTGGCTAGTAAGGTAGAAGGAGAAAGATAAGATAAATCACAGGATTCTGTCTTGGAAAACTGGTTTTATACTCTACAAACATGAGGGGTCAGTGACACATAAAGCTTCTAGAAGCCCAGCACAGAGCTTATTGCAGGGTATGTATTCAAAAATGCTGGCTGTGGTCAAACACCTTGCACAGTACTTGACCCAGAGTATGTGCTTAATATCTGTTAGTAAAGGGCAAGAAAATGTCATTCCAGACTTATTAAAGTAAGGCAGATCCAACTGGATCACAGACAAAGCTCACCTGCCATAGCCCAGCATTCTCGGAGGAAATAATGCAGCTAGAAGATAAATTGAAGACATGGTCACTATTCCTGAGGAGTGCACAGTCTAACTGAAAAGACACAATATACCCCTTTGCAAACGGCATCAGATGGTCACTACTCTATATCCTTGAGTAGATTTCAATCAGTTTTTCAAACTGTATTAAGTAAAGTCCTTCCACATGACCAAAAGCCATAAATACGCTCAGTACTTATAGGAGCTCAACATATAATTGGATCTCAATTTAAATCTGCTCATTATTGCAACTGTTTGATTTAGACTTTCTCTGAAGAACAGTATTTCAGGCCCCTCTTCCGGGTGTTGTACTTCCTAGTTCCCAGTACTTTTCTTTCTTGGACTACTGTACAATTCTTTTCTACCTGGAATGGTAGCCATTATTCCTCTTTTGCTTTAGAGTTCACAAACCCTTTCAGCCTCCACAAATTACTGTGCCACTAATTTGACAATTTTCTAACACCTGGTGATATCTCTTCCATCATTCCCTTGATTTTATTTTCAAAATTTTATTGTTATTGATTTTTCAAATGTTATCTTCTATTCACAATCAAACAAACAAACTTTCCTTAAAGGCAAGGTCATTCATTAGAAAAGAGGAATAAGTCTTGTGTGCTCAACTCAAGTGATGTTTTCTAGAAGTTTCTGAATTTTTCTGTAATGCCACAGCTTACATTATAAGCCTCTGTTCTACCAAATGTTGGAGACTTAATCTCTATCAACTTGAGGATGTCCCTGCATTGAGGGTCTAGAGGAGATAATAGGGTTCCTCTTGGCATTTTCCTACCCTGTCATCCTCTGAGAGGTCCACTGTTTGTTTAGTCTAGAGTTGTCAATTTACATAGGTTGTTGCTGCCTCTCCTATCATACTCTTCTATATGACCTCTCAAGTTGAGCTATTGTCCTTGAGTGGGACATGGAATTCAAGCTGCTACTCCCCTGCCCATACGCAGCACATAGTTATCACTTTCTGGCTTCTTGCTCACCTACCTAAACTTACACGGTGGAAGGAGCATAAGACTCGCTGTATTGTAGATGCCCTAAACTTGCCTGTCAAGCCTCCAGCCTCGCCCTGAGGTAGTGGGCAAGACAGATCATGGAGCTCCCTCTCCCAGATATACATAATTTGGGTAAATATACATTGCCTTGTTTTTGACTCTTCTTCCTGTACTAGCAGAATCTTGATTTAGTCTTTGGAACTCTAAGTTTTTCTCATCACGTATTTTAATTGAAAATCTAAAATCTATGCTCTGAGTTCTGTTTATTTGCATTTGAAGTCTTGGCTTTTGAGTTTCTAAAGAAACAGCTTCCTTTTCCTTCTTCCATTTTTTTTTTTTGGCATTGTCCACTTGCTGAGGTACCCCAACAAGGCGAAGAGAGACAGGGATACCTGAACATAGAAAGTTTAAAAATGTCTTGGTTAATATATCCAAATAGTATCTTGCCCCATTTGTCTTTCTCTCTATTCCAAGAAGCAATGACCTGGTGACTAGAAAGGAATCTAGAACTGGTGGTGGTTTGGTTATTACACTGTTAAGATCTTTATCAAGCTGATGTGCTGAGTGTCTCTTTCATAAGACCCACAGCAGTGATTTTCAAATGCAGACGATTTTCAGAGACTCCAGGAGATGCTGATTTAGAATGAAGGAGGGGGTTTGGAGATCCAGGAATTTGCAAAAACACCTTCCTGGATCTAGACCAGTAATACTCAACCTCCGGTGAATATCAGAAGTATCTAGAAGGCTTGTGAAGGCAGATTGCTGGACCACACCCCCAGGGTTTTTGATCCAGTGGATGTGGAGTGAAGCCTGATATTTTACATTTCTAACAAATTCCCAGAAGATGCTGCTGCTGCAGTTCTGAAACCCCTGTTCCCTTTCGAGAATTACTTCTCTAAGTGAATGGTTCTCATACTTTGATGCATTTTGAAATAATCTGGTTAGCTTTAAAAAAACCTTAATTCTGAGACTACACCTCATCCCAAGTCTAGCAGAATCTCAGGGCTTGGGATCCTAGGCATCATTAATGGTTCAAGCTTCTCAGGTGATTCTAATGTGCACCCAATTTGAGAACCAGTTCTCTAATCTTTTGATTTTCGAACTTCAGTGACTAGACATTTCACCAGAGTATTTGGTTAAAATGCAGATTCTGATTCAGTAGGTCTGAGGTGGGGGAGTTTGTGTGTTTCTTTTTCACTTCTCAGGGTGTATAACTTACATAAATACAAAAAATGCCCTATGTTTAAGTGAATGGTTTGATGAGTTTTGACAAACGTGTACACATATGTAACCTACCACAATCAAGATATAGAACATTTCATTACTCTATTAAGTTTCCTCATGCCCCTTTAAAATCAATGAAGTCCCCCATTGCTGACCTCCCAGCCCCGGGTAATCACTTATCTGTTTTCTGTCACTATAGATTTATCTTACCTCTTCTGAAATTTCACATAAGTAGAATCATACAATTCTTATTATTTTCTGTCTTGCTTCTTACTTGCTCAGTAGAGATTTTGCCTTTCTAATAAAATCTCAGGTTTGTAGACCACACTCATTTCTCCAAAGCAAGACACTTAAGGATTTAGAAATCTTTGACTTACGGTATTAATCTCAGACACTTATGCATGATTGATATTTATTAAATAGAATACACTCAAATGATTATTAATTTTTAAGATCAAATATTCAAAATCAGAGGCTGTGATAACTACAAGTTCTGTGGGGAACAAGGCAGGTACAGCCTGTCCCAGGCATGAGACTCCTGGGATAAGAGCAGGGAGACGAGTATTTAGGGAGGCCCAGGAGGAGGAGCAGCAGGGCTGCCAGGAGGGAGGTCAGGATTTGGTGGCCTCTGAGGTTACACCAAGGCTCTGAATCCACAACGTGAAACAGGTTTGCTCTCGGTTTTGCTTTTTTATGCCTCTATATCCAAATGATAAGGTGCTCCTTTTCTTGGCTTTGACAATTTGGGGAATTGCAAAGCTCAGGAGAAGGTAAGATAAGATGTCTGCAACTGCATTTTAGAAAAATGATGTGTAATATCCACTTTATGACATCTAAATGAGGTCTCTCTTCGCTGCTTCCCAGGGTCGTGCCCACTGCTAACTTTAATACACTCACATGCTTGCCCTCATCTTTCATCATGTCACCAAACTTAAAGAATACTTTGTTTGTTTTTTTCTATTGTGTCCCTTGTTAGATGAGAGTATATTTTATATCTCTTATTAAATGGCAACAGTTATTTCTGAAGATTGATAATTTATAGCTTCACTACTAAGAAAAAAACTGCAAGCGGTTGGTGGGAGAAATAAACCTCTTGTTTTATTATGCTCCGGGAACTGATTATGGGCATAAAAAAATAGAACAACTCATACATCCACCAGAGCTTATTGTATTATCAGGTAATACACCTGCCTTTCTGATAAATAGGACTCAGTAGAACAGTTAATAAAAGCCCGAGAGTTATTTGGTGCAGGAATACAACAATATAAAGCTACTCATATGCAGTCTACAGTGATTTTTTTTCATCATAAGAAAGGCCTTGACATTCTAACAGGCGATGCTTTCCACACCATCAGAACAGAGACAGGACATTTCATGTTTCACCTGGAATCTTTCGGAGACTCTAAGTCCCAGGAGCTGAATATTTTGCAAACACACAAAACTAACAATGCACCCCAAATCACACTCATATGTGGCTTCGAGTCTTTACAAAGGCTTACATGACACCATCCCCCGCAACACATGCACACACACAATCTCTCTGGATTCTAACAATAGCCATGTGGCTTAGGCTGTGTAGGCATCATCTGAATTTGGCTGATGGTGACGTGAAGCCCAGAGACAATAAGGGACTTACCCAGGCTCTCAGGCCACTGCAGGCAGAGCTGACTCCTGAACTCCACAGCTTGCCGCTCCTTCTACAAAGCAAGAAATAAATGATGTTTATGATGAACTTGTGGCATTGTGTTTCACAAAATGGGAGATCACAAATTCTTGAGCTACAAGTGTCAGCAACAGATGATTGTGACAGCCACTTTGCCAGCAGACAATGCCTGTCCAAATATCCTGGGAAACTATTATTGATTTGGCTGTAGATGAGCTGGAGTTGTGGAGGCTCTTGGTCACTTTTGGTGATTCCTTTTCAAAGTTTTCTCCCCATTTTGTTTTTCTTTTGCCATGAAGTTCTTGATACTGACTGACATAATTTTTATTTATTACAGATTTTTTCTCATTTCATTTTCTTGGAATTTGAAAAACAAATGCTTGCTAATGGTTTGGATGTGGTTTGTCTATGCCAAAACTCATGTTGAAATTTGATCCCCAATGTGTCAGTGGTGGGAGGTGGTGCCTAGTGGAAAGTGTTTGGGTCATGGATGCAGATCCCTTATGAACAGATTAATGCCTCCTGCAGGGGTGAGTGAGTTCTGATTCTTGGGAAGAATTAGTTCCCACGAGAGCAGATTGTTAAAGAGAGTGTGGCTTCCTCAGTTTCTTTCTCTCTTGTCATGTTCTTTGCACATACCCACTGCCCTTCTGCTTTCTGCCATGAGTGGAAGCAGCATGAGGTCATCACTAGAAGCCCAGCAGATACTGGCACCATGCTTCTTGAACTTCCCAGCCTGAAGAACCACAAGAAGAATAAGCCTCTTTTCTTTATAAATTACTCAGCTTCTGGTATTCTGTTACAGCAACACAAAATGAACAAAGACATTGCTCATGATGCTCCAAATACAATCCTTCATGTAGGTGAGGAAAATAAGGCCAACTTTGTGTATATACACAACATTTTCTTTGTCCATTCATCTGTTGATGGACATTTAGGTTGATCCTATATCTTGGCTATTGTGAATAATGCTGCAATGAACATGGGAGTGCAGATATCCCTTCAACATACTGATTTCAGTCTCTGTAGATATGTACCCAGAAGTGGAATGCTGAATTATATGGTAGTTGTAGTTTCAGTTTTCTCAGGCACCACCATGTTTTCCATAATGGCTGTACTAATTTATATTTCCACCAACGGTGTTACAAGGGTTTCCTTTTCTCCACGTCATCACCAACACTTGTTATCATTCATCTTTTTGGTATTAGCCATTCTGATAGGTGTGAGGTGATGTCTCATTGTGTCATTGTATAGACATATCAAAACACCACGTTATACCTCATAAATTTATGCAATTATGATGTCAATTAAAAAATATTAATATCACAAAAATAAAATTAGGCCACCTTTAAACCTAATAGGACCCAACAGCTGCAAATGTGCTTCATATGTCCTATGGCTTTAACCCACAGAACAGCTCCTTGAAGTGAACACTATTCTTTGTGCCCATTTTACAGATGTGGAACCCACAGCTGGAGAGGTCCAGTGACTTGTTCAGGATGCACAGCAAATTAATGCCTGTGATTCACCTCTGGGTTTTCTGTCTACAAACCTGTAGCTCTTTTACACTCCTAGGCTTTGGTTTCTGTTTGTTTGCTTATTTACTTTTTAAATTATTGTTTCCTTTTCACTGTTTGTTTTATTTGTAGTTCAAACAATGCCAGTGTTAAGCTCATGATTGTAGGAATTTATTTCTTGCTGATTGTTATCACAATTTTTTTTTTCTTTTAGACCTTACGGTTTACACAGAAAGAGTTTCATGGCAGAAAAATGGCAACTGTTACATTAGTCACTAAAGGAAAAATAAAATTTAATTTAATTAGTGTGTAATTCCACTCCTAGAGAAACTCATGCAGAGCTGCACTAGGCTGGATGTGTAAGAGTGTTCATAGTGTCACATTGTTCATAGCAGCCATAAACTGGAAAAGAAATCCTAAATGTGCACCACTAGTGGAATGAATAAAGGAAGTGTGCTACAGTCAGATGATGGATTACTCTATAGAGTTATAACAATAGGTGAGCTATAGCTACACACAGCAACTTGTGAAAACCTCATAAACAATGTTGGGCAAAAGATGTAAGATAGTCCATTTATTGAAAACTGAGGAGAAAATGGTGAAACTAAACTAAATTTTGTAGAGCTGAAAAGCATACAGAGGTGAGAAAACTACAAATAAAACCCAGGCAATTATTACTAAAGTTAGGATACTGATGACCTCTAGGGAGAGACATTGGGTCTGGATCAGGGACGGCCACAGCATGTGGCCTTAGAGAGCTCATTGTATGCCTGTTTTCTAGTTACGTAGGTGTGGTCTTCATACGTGTACAGTCTTTAATCTCTATATATATGTTTTATGTCCTTTTTCTGCATGTTTAGTGTGCTAGCTTTCCTGAACGATATGCTAGTGACTGCTTTTCATGTATGCACACATGCATTCTTCCGTGTAAGTATACGTGCGTTCATTTAATAGCCAAAGATCTTGCATGATCTCAGGGTCATTATTCTAAATATGTATAGTTTTTGTACAAAATGAAAGAATGTGTTGAAGACTGAATTGAAGACACTTAGACCTAAATCATCTTGTGGAGGTTTTATTGTTTCAATGTATTTGCCATCTTTTTTTGTTGCCATTTCCCCTTTTTTTGTAAAGCAGAGAGAAGATAGCAAATACTGAATAATGGTAAACTCGATTAAGCTTACGAGATTACTAAAATCTTAACATCTTAGACTTACAAGTAGATGAATACGAAATTTATTGTTCAAACTGGGATACTTTTGGAAGTAAAAGGTGGCACTACTGATTACACTGAATCAGACATAAACCAGAATCATCTATGGTAAATAAAATTGTATAGTCATGTTACCTGTGGAAATTAAATGGTCTAAACTTACATGAGGAAGTAGTTCTCTTAAATCAAACAAGAAGTATGATTTTCCCAAAGAATGAAGAAGGAAGAGCTCTTAAAGGAAGCTTCTTGTTTTTCTCCTTGATGACCCCCAGAATTGGCAACCCTGATGCTTATGTGGCCATTGTGCCTAGACTACTTGTATCAATTTCTTGGGTCTGTTCTACTACTGCCACAGACTGGGTGATGACAAAAATTTACTGTTTCATAGATCTGGAGTCTGGAAGTCTGAAATCAAGGTGTTGGTAGAGCCGTGTTCCCTCTGAAGCCTCTAAGGGAAGATTCTTACTTGCTTCTTCCAGTTTCTGGTAGCTCCAGGCATTCTTTGGCTTGTGACAACATCACTCTACTCTCTGCCTCTGTTTTCAGATAACCGTTTTTGAGCGTGACTCTGTTTTCATATAGTTTTCCGTTTTCCTCTTCTTATTAGGATGCTAGTCATACTGAATTAGTGCCCACCTTAAGAACTTCATCTTAACTATATCTGCACAGATTCTATTTCCAAATAAGGTCACTTTCATAGGTAGTGCAGGTTAGGACTTCAACATTATCTTTTTGAGGGACACAATTCAACTCATAACACCACCTTTCGAACAAAAACTGTTTTTTCTTTTTTGGCTCATTGCTTCTTAGCACGGATTGTATGGGCTAATATTTCAAAAGGAACTTTAGTGAAATTTAAGTGGGAAAATAACAGTCCTATTTCCAAAGAATAATTTCCAAAGAACTATTTCCAGTAAAAGCAGTGAAGAGTTCTTTGTGTCAAGATAATCAGATTATCGTGGATAATGTCAAGGATGCTGCTGTACTCTCCCCATCTGAGCTCCTTGCCTGTTTCATAGATGAGACCTGTGGGAGCCATCTTGTTTTTCTAAGACTCGAAGCTATTGTTCTTTGATGTATTGCCCTGTTCACAGTCAAATCCCAACTTCCCCACACTAATCCTTTTTTCTCTTTCAAACGGCCTTTTCTAACTAAGACATTTCATTGAGTTCTATGAAAGGAATCTGTCTAGGTCACCATTAATTGATACACATAAGTCTAAAGTGGACGATCTTGCCTTTTCCTGACCCATGTTATAAGCAAAGTTCCTTCTGGGGAGTTTTGAGACAATATGCTTTGTTCTTTCTCTTTTATTTTTCCCCAGCCCTTGCAGAGAAAGGTCTCCAATACAATATTACAGACGGTAGGCCCCCTGTTATTCAATGCAATTGGATCTTGTAGTTGTAATAAAAAAAAAGAGACTATAAAAGTGACATACACATACCATTTTTTAGATAAACATATAAGTGTACATACATTTAATAAAATAAATAATATTGCATTATTTAGAAGAGGAAAACTAATTTTTGTATTATGGTCCAATAATTTTTCAAGTTATGACAACATTAACTCAGATTTTTCAATGCAAAAACTAATTCTTGTGTATTTTTATTTACTATATTAACAATTTTTGGCTGCAGCCTTGATCCAATACATCTTACCCTTCTCCTTCTTCTTCATGTTTAGATTCATTTGTTTCTGTCATGATGGGATAATTTCTATATCATCCATGATTCCACTTTCTGACACATAATTTCCATTAATTCATTTGTTGTTATCTTCCTTCAATGTCACACATCAGGTGGACTACTCTAAAATTTCTCCCTGATAGTGCTGAATAAATGGATGTCATGCCTTTTTTCAACATAGACTTGTCCATCACTTATACGGCTTTTAATTTTTATAACTTTTTGGCATATGAATAATCTTTTGATTATATGGCCATAGATTTGTTCATTGGAGGTTCACTTTATCTTTATTGTATTTTCCATGCCCATAAATGCATTTTTCATTATTTACAATTTGAGTTAGAAAGTGGATCTAGAGTTAATGATATTGTACCAACATCAGTTTCCTGGTTTGGACAACGTACGATAATTATGTAAGTTATTATCATGGGGGAAGCTGAGTGAGAAGGGTACATGGAATGTTCTGTATTATTTTTGCAAATTTTTATGAGTCAAACTATTTCAAAATAAAAATTAGGAAATGGATCTGGAACTAGGAGACCTATGTGAAGATATCCAAGTGCAGTATTATTCTGAATTCTCATATATTATTTTACACCAAAACTTTTACAGTTGTCATACTTGCATCTATTTCAACAATAGTTTTTAGAACCTTGCTTTAATTTTACTGTAGAGACTCATCTAAGCATTTAATTTTATTTCTGAGAAACAACTTTTATACTCACTAGTGTGAGTACTAATTATGTAATAAGCAATAATAAAAGTATAAGTAATAATTAATAAGGCTGCAATTATAGTCACAAGTACACTGGTGTAAATAGGTTTATATACATCCAGAACTCAGCCTATAGCCAGGCAGGGGCTGGAGTGCTTGGAGGTTCTTGGTTTGCTGTGGCTTGCTGTGGGAATTTTTTTCATGTTTGGGCTGGAGTGTTGGCAGGTTCTTGATTTGCAATGGTTTGCTATAGCAATTTATTCATGTTTTCCAAGCAAATAAAGACTATAAATTTATCCAGCAAGTTAATAACATGCAAGATGGTTAAGAAAGCTTCTACTATACCACAAGTGCTTAATCTTTCAATAGCAATTCCCTTAAGCTTACTCCTTTCACAGACAAGGAGGAAATGAGGGCTCCAAGAGTTAGAGTGACTTCCCAAAGACTTGGCGACTCAGAAGCTGCACTGGAGTTAGAACGGAATTTTCCAGTCTCTGAGGTTATGTATATTCCCATCTGGGTATCCTTTTATTAAGGTCTTGGCTGAACAGTCCTACAGGAAGCATTAAACTCTTTTTCACCAAATTAGATTTGTAGGCTGGGTGACAACACTGACTTTAGCTTGAAGAAATTTATAAAGTTTTGTTTGTTTGTTTTGTGTGTGTGTGTTTTTCCTAGAAGATATTCACTTTCTTGCTTGATCTTAAAAACTATATTTAGGCTTGAAAGCTTAGATATTATAGAAAACTCTTCTCATCACACTGAAAATGAACTTTAAGTAGTTTTAAAGTCCATTGGCCTCCACATCAATTATTCTAGTCTCCTTCCACTGAACATTAAATTTTCTAGCAGAGATGAATTGCCTCTTGTGAGATTTCACTTCCATTTTGTTCTAGTAGGATTTACACTGCTGCCTTCTCCAGGCTGTCAAGTTCTCCTTTCTGAGACTTGCCAGGAAGAAGAGTAATGGGACAAGG
Organism: Homo sapiens; assembly: GCF_000001405.40. Lineage (NCBI taxonomy): Eukaryota > Metazoa > Chordata > Mammalia > Primates > Hominidae > Homo > Homo sapiens. Next base: position 114,186,194 of record NC_000002.12, read on the forward strand.
AACAGGTAAAATCTTGGGGATGTGAATGAAAAAGTAACAGGAAACACTTGTGTTTGAATAACGAGGTACTTTGCCCCCTTCTCAAAGGAATTTTGTAAAAACCAAGAATGTCTTACCAAAGAACATTACACAGGGCATTATATGGTTTGGCTGTGTCCCCACCCAACTCTCATCCTGAATGCTAATCTGAAATGTAATCCCCACGTGTCAGGGGAAGGACCTGGTAGGAGGTGATTGGATCATGGGGGCAGTTTCCCCTGTGCTGTTCTCATGATAGTGAGTGAGTTCTCATGAGATCTGGTTGTTTGATAAGTGTCTGGTGCTTCCTGCTTCTCTCTCCTTTTCCTGTCACCATAAAAGATGTGCCTTGCTTCCCCTGTACGTTCCACCATGATTGTAAATTTCCTGAGGCCTTCTCGGCCATGCGGAACGATGAGTCAATTAAACACCTTTTCTTTATAAATTACCCAGTCTCAGGGAGTATCTTCATAGCAGTGTGAAAATGGACTAACATAGGGCATTTTACCAAGAGTGTATATAGATCTTCTTGTTTATTTTTAGCATTGCTCTGACCTATTTACACATGGATTAACCATCATCCAAAAGTGAAAAATTCAGAGCCTTATACTAGATGTTCCAAGCATCTGGATGGAGAACAGAGAATGTTTCCAAGGTTTGAATTCTCCTCTCCCAATAAAGAAGCCTGCTGCATGGGGAAGTAAGTGTGGGAAACTGTAATTTAAACCAAATCCGAGAGCTGTCTGTGGTAGGACTTCTCCTAATCCTTGCCGACGCTGAGGTTCATTGGGAATCTCTAAGAGGAGTTTGAATTCTAAAGCACTTGTCAATTATATTTGGTCTGAGAACTTTCTGAAATCATTCTGCATCTCTCTTGGGATTTACATTGGAAAGAGATTAGTTTAGGAAATGCTGATTTTCAAACAATTCAAGGGAAATGATTTCTCTCCTTCTTACCTGATCCTTTAAGCCTCAGGAAAAGAGGAAGAGAGGCAAATACATTGGAAATTATTTTCACAATTAATCCTTCCTTATAATTTCCAGTAAAAGTAAGTCATTATTTCTCACCTTCTCAAATGCAGCCACTATTTTTAAAATCTGCTTTTTGCATGACTTCTGGTTAATTAGCTGCTACAGTTAATTTGATGTGGTGATTCATCAGTGTAATATTTTCTTTTCTGAAAATTACCTATCAAATGGTAATGTTTTCATTTTCAGAGTCTCACTCCTACCTCGTAACTTACTTTAAAGATAGTATTGTACATATATTTGCCAGAGCTTTTTATAAAAAGGTGATAAAAGTGTGCCCTAGTAAAACTGGGCTGGAATCTGTAAAAAACCAACATCCTTTTATAACAATGCTGCTGGGGGATAGTAATGGGATGGATATTGTCTATGAAGTGTTATTTCATAAGAGTATGTTTGGCAGAGTGGGGGTAGAACTGGGGGTTATTGTTTGACAGACCCTACAGTAACAGAGCATAATACTAAGAAGTTATCCTACATTTGCTTTGCATTTGATAGTTCTAATAATTTTTAAGAATCATCTATAATCATTTATAGTTGTTGACATTTTAAATTTCTTATAGTACAGGTGGAATAATGGGAATAGCAAGATGAATAAAGTGCTTGGCATATAGTTGGCACTCAGTAAAATGTCTGTTTTCTGAAAAAAATTAATATGTTATAAAGAACCAGTAGTGTTCCTGTACTCAAGGTTCTTCATAATGTATTAATTATTTCTTTCCTAAATTGGAGAAGTTTATTCTAAAAACTGCTAGTTCCACAAGGATGGCCTTGACATGCACTGAGAAAGGTGGTTTTAATTAAAGCTACCATGCATCATCATCTGAACTTTGTTTATTGCTTCATGGATCTGATTTAGGAAGAGCAGAGGATGAATAAATTCTTAAATGTGAAACTTGGGTTGGAAGAATTAGAGGGAAATTAATTTTAAAGTGTAACTAGAGCATAAACGTATTTGCTCTGTCTGTAATCAAATATAAACTTGATTTCTGCTTCTGAAAAAGCCAATGCCATTGCTCCCCAATGCCAACAGACCTGCTTGCCTGAGAGCATGACACTGGAATATCTGGATGACAGGGTAAGTTTGCAGCATTTCCAGCAGACTCAGTCCACACATAAAATGTGAAAACCACTAGAACTAAAAATAGCACTCTTTGGTGTCACAGGATTTCTTCAAAATTTTTAGCAAAGCTTGACCAATGACCAATTTGGTTCCCTGTGATGTTTAAAATGTCAAAACACGTTGGGATTTTCAAAAAGTTGACTGCTTTGACGGCTTGCATGTTGTCTATGTGTTGACATTATCTGAATCCCAAGCAAAATGATTATGCGCACCAATTGTGTAAAAAAATCCAACCCTATGGGTTATAACCGTAGAAAAATGTGTATGTGTGTTTGTGTTTGTATGGGGATATGTGTGTGTGTGTGTGTGTGTGTGTGTGTGCATATCAGATAAATGAAGAATGAAGCTTAAGATTCCAGGTCCTTTTCTTCTCTTTTCTTTTCTTTCTTTCTTTCTTTCTTTCTTTCTTTCTTTCTTTCTTTCTTTCTTTCTTTCTTTCTTTCTTTCTTTCTTTTTTTTTTTTTTTTGAGGCAGAGTCTCGCTCTGTCACTAAGGCTGGAGTGCAATGGCGCGATCTCAGCTCACTGCAACCTCCAACTGCTGGGTTCAAGCGATTCTCCTGCCTCAGCCTCCCGAGTAGCTGGGACTACAGGAGCGTGTCACCGTGCCCGGCTAATTTGTTGTATTTTTAGTAGAGATGGGGTTTCTCCATGATGGCCAGGTTGATCTCTAACTCCTGACCTCGTGATCCGCCCACGTTGGTCTCCCAAAATGCTGGGATTACAGGTGTGAGCCACCGCACCCGGCCGATCCCTGGTCCTTTCTACTAGCAGAGACTGGATCTAGGATTGTGGCTTGATTTCAGTCTCTCTGGTGTTGGAAGAAATGTTTCTGAGGTATTCTGCTCTGAACAGCAGAATTTTCCCTGGGTCTCCAAAGTCTTTAAAAATGTATTGTCAAGAATCCTAAGGGAGATTCTGTTAATGTGTTATTCTTTCTAGCTGTATTATTAAGTCGACAAGGGAGAGACTACTGTCTTAATCAGCTCTGTGTATTCAGTGATGAGTTTGCTGTGTGACTCAACAAACATTTGTTGTGAGAATGAAGCACAGATGGCTGGGTGGTGGGAGAATGGCCAATCAATCCTATGGGATGGCAACTGCTTTCCCCACTGACCCTAGAGTATGGCGTTTCTCAAACCATGTGGTAGTTAGCATGGTCCAGGGGACACCTGTATCATTTGGGGACTTCCTACTGAAGCAGACTTTGTGAAGTTAAGCCTCAGAACCCTGCATTTTCAGCAAGCTCCATCATACAGGTGATCCTCGCACAGATTGCTCTTGACAACCACTGTCTTTGTGGTTATGTACCTCTCCTTTCCATCTGTACACAAAAGCATCTTAAGGTCACAAAGCTGCCAACTGTGAAACAAGTTGCAGAGTCAGCTTTGTGAGTGTTAAATTTTCTACATTCACGGCCACCAGACGAGGAGAGAGTGAAAGGTCTGTACAGCTGTAATATCCTTCCACTGGGAGTCATTACCACGTGCGATCTGTGACCAAATCCTTTGGACAAAATCTCTGGTTTCTGTTTTAATCCAAAACATTACCAAATAGTTAAAAAAAAAGAGAAACACCTAATGTAAATGATGAGTTAATGAGTGCAGCACACCAACATGGCACATGTATACCTAGGTAACAAACCTGCACGTTTTGTGCACATGTACCCTAGAACTTAAAGTATAATAATAAGAAAAAAAAAAGAGGGAAACAACTTAAAAGCGCAGGCCAGGCGCGGAGGCTCACGCCTGTAATCCTGGCACTTTGGGAGGCCGAGGCAGGCAGATCATGTGGTCAAGAGATCGAGACCATCCTGGACAACATGGTGAAACCCTGTGTCTACTAAAAATACAAAAATTAGCTGGGTGTGGTGGCATGTGTCTGTAGTCCCAGCTACTTGGGAGGCTGAGGCAAGAGAATCGCTTTAACCCAGGAAATGAAGGTTGCAGTGAGCCGAGATTGTGCCACTGCACTCCAGCCTGGCAACAGAGCTAGATTACAACTCAAAATAAACAAAAAGTTCAATTAAAAAAATTTAATGTATTTGACATAACAAATAAAAAGACTCTGATACATAGAAGTATTTTCCCCAAATGAGTCTGCTTCTTTTTATGAAAGTAAGAAGTATATGATTAAAAAATAGTGAAGAAGTGCTTCTGTTTCTACGCAGTGTTACTTCTCAGATAACATCCCTTTTAGTCACTATCTTTTAGGTCTGATGGTTACTTCTATCGGCTGGAATTTGTTTGTCCACAAGCAGTAGAAAACCCAACAAAAGTGGCCTCAACAATTTAGATGTTTATTATCTCACTCAAGAGAAGACTGAACAAAGAACATTCTAGGTCTTATCCAGCAGCTAAACAATTTTTAAAAACTGATCCAGTCTTTTTCTAGTTTCCAGTTTTTCTACGCTTAATTCATTCTTTCATTATTTTTCTTGTCATCTCATGGTCCTTAGATAAACACTCCTACTCCATTATCATGTAAAGTTCCAGACAGGAAGAATGGCACAAAGGTCTTGTTTTGCACCTGAAATTTTTATTAGGAAACTAAGTACTCCTCCCAGAGGACCCTATTCGTCTTCCTCTTATATATCTCATCGGCTAGCACTGGGCTAAAAGGCCTTAGCTGGGCAATCGTCAAGGGGAGCTTGTTGAAATCTGGCCTTACACTGGGACTTCTTAAGTGCTGAAAAGAAAAGAGAGGGTTTTACTCAGGATGGTGAAGTCCACCCTAACAGCTCAATTTTCAATTGTTCAGTTTATTCATTTTCGTTAGAGAGACGTTCTCTTGTACGGTTCTTGTCATGATGGTGTGTGTTTCTCCTGGGGATCTCATGTCCGGTAGTCAGCTTGGGCTCCTAAGGACAGGCCAGTGTGAATGCATGTGCATACATATGTGTGCATATCTGTGTGTACATGTGTGTCTCTGTGCATTTGCAAGGGACTGGGTAACATGGGACATTGACTAGAACAGTGGCCAGTAGATGGAGTTTCAGCTACCGTCCCCTCTTTCGGAAACTCTTTCCATGTCCATTTTCCTTGCTGACTTAGAAACTGACATTTCCATTGGCTTTTTGTAGGACATATGGACTCTTTCTCTTGGTTTTAGCCCTCTGCATATTTTGGGCTTCCTAGTTAACATTTTACCCACTCACGGAATTCCATCCTTTTTCCGAGTTTTAGAAATTTGTTAACATCTCCTGCTTGCTGATAGTCCCCGCTTGTTCTTTTTGTGTTCGGTTTTAATTCTGTCACTTTCATTTTACCGGAACCTCAGAGTAAGGTGATAGGGAACCTTTTGTGCTAATTTTCATTTTGAACTCACTATTATTCTTGAACTCTTTTAAATCATACTCGCCCTTTCCTTTTCTCATAGTAGCTTATGGTTTTTGACATAGAAAATTGAATACACTTGAACATAAAGATGGGAACAGTACTCACGGGGGGCTACTAAAGGAGGAGGAAGGAAGGAGGCGTGGGCTGCAAAACTATCTACTGGGTACTGAGCTCACCACCTGGGTGACGAGACCATCTGTACCCCAAACCTCAGCATCATGCGATATACCCATGTAACAAAACTGCACATGTAAAATACTTTTTATTTTTTTAAAAAGTGAAACAAATTATCTGTTCCTTTTCACAGCTTTGATTCCTACTTTAACACAGGATAACTTGTCTTTTCCCTCTCGCTAATTCCAATCTTCTTATTTACTCTCCTAAAAGGAACTTCCTCAATAATCCTCGCAGCCTACCAGGTAAAGTCCACACCACAGAGCTGACCCAAGCCCATCTATTCAGTCTTATCTCTGTATTTTTTCTTTTCTTTCTTTCTTCTTTTTTGAGACGGAGTCTCTGTCTGTCACCAAGTCTTGAGTGCGGTGGCATGATCGATCTTGGCTCACTGTAGCCTCTGCCTCCTGGGTTCAAGTGATTCTCTTGCCTCAGCTTCTTGAGTAGCTGGGATTACAGGTGTGCACCACCACGCCCAGATAATTTTTGTATTTTTAACTAGAGACGGGGTTTCACCATGTTGGCCAGACTGGTCTTGAACTCCTGACCTCAAGTGATCTGCCCAACTCGGCCTCCCAAAGTGTTGGGATTACAGGCTTGAACCACCATGCCAGGCCTTATCTTGGTATTTCTTAATAATCACTCTGGTGTCAAAACAAACGAAATCACTCATCTTCCCCCAGCATGCCTTGCTATCTCATGACTCACTGTGTTGTCATCTTTGCCTCAGGAGGCCGAGGTGCTCCCATCCTCCCCACAGCCTTAGCTCCTGCTCCCTCCTGGGGGACCCTTGCATACATTAAGGGCTTGTGAAGGCTGATTTTCTTTGGGGGTTATGTCTTCTCTCTTCTATATACCCGTGGCACCTTGTATTTTATGACATTTGTCAAGTTTTAAAAAATTGTTTATCTGTTTTCTTCCTAATTGTGAGCCCTTGAGGACAGGGGCCTTGTCTTCTCTTTCTCTTGCTATGCTAGCTCAGGGTTCACCTCACCATTTGTGCTTCTTCAATACCCGTAGGCTAAGTTAATGGCTGCGTTCAATTTTTTTTCCCAACCAGTTACATCTCTGCTCGGACCCAAGATAGTTTACTCAGTGAAGAGGATATGCTTCTGCATTTTTGCAGCTCTTCTCTTAAGTTACCTGAAAATACCACCAGGAGAAGCTTACGACAACCTTGCCATTGCTGTTGTCACCTCCAGGTAGGGTGTCCCTTCATTGCTGCTGTCATTTTGCCAGACTTAACCTTTATAAGAAAACACATGCTAACCTCTATCAATCTTCAGCTTATTTCTTTAATCTACCTGCACTGGTCACATTTGCTCATGAAAGTACAGAAAGAATAATTAGTTTTTTATGGGTCTTAGAGTTATGGAAATGTTGAGCTTCATGGTACCTTAGAAATTAATGAGAATCAACATTTCATCCATGGATCAGGAAACTGTGTGACCCAAGAGAAGGGAAGCGGCTTCTCAGGGTCACACAGTGGGTCAGTGATAGAGCTAGAATTAGTGCCTAGCGCTTCAGATGCATTATTAGTGCTTTTTCTAATTTTTGTTAGTGCATTTCACTCACACTCACACACACACACACGGTTTTCCAGCTATAGAATTCCTTCTAATGAAATAGAAAATTGCACAAAAGTTTAAGTACTTAGTGCTAAGATATTTGAATTTATAAAGCTCTTTGAATTTTTGGAGGTCTACGGGTGCTCCAACAGGAATTTTGTTAGAAGGTATAACATTAGCAATGTTAATGAGGGAAATTCTTCATTATGTGGGACTGTCTGGAGCCTTGCAGGCCATTTGGCAGTCTTGCCACCCCCAAATCCCAAGATATTGTGACACCCCCACCCCTATGCTTGCTTACATTTCCAAACACTCTTGATAGTGGCATTATTGCCCAATTGAGAATCACTTTGTGATTCTCAGAGCAAAAGAGGTATAGAGGGGTTGATTTATTTGATTTGCTTGATAAGTAAGTTTCTGCCTGGAACAATGAGTGAACTCAGCTAAATCCACAGACAGGGCTGTTAGTAACACTGGGACTGGGCTGATTCTTGCAACCACTGGTTGTATGCTCTTTTCATCAGATAATTGACTTATTTCTAACTTAGTCCATACTATGCCCCACTCAATGATGTCCATGCTTCACCAGGGATTGCTAATAGGATGGAGAGATGGGAGGGAAAGAGCAAGGAGCTGGGGCTCAGAGAAGGAGAACACATGGAAGAGGACTCATGAGGCAGCAAAACTCCACAGTCATTCAAAACACACCTGCAGGAATCTTTCCTGCTGCTAAAATTCCCCCAAGGTCTGAAAAGGATGGAACACACCAATTTGAGTTACAAAAATCTTTAAAAATGCACGTCGGGTACACCTCATCACTGCCAAGCAATAGCGAATGCAGTGATGTGGCTTCTGCAGTACTTTGCTCTGTTAAAGTTTATCTTCTTAAAAATTTGTCTTCCGAGTTGGCTTATAAATGCCAATTATTTCCATGGGGATGGAAACCAAGGCATCCCTTTTAGGTGGGAATGTGGAGAGGTCATGATTATTTAAACAGAGAATTTTGTGGAGAGCTGGCATAAGGCTTGAGAAGTGTTGTTATTGCTCAAAGAACCTGCAAACTGCAGGGAGAATCTGGATCTGTGCAGGATAACAGATAATAGAGCTTTTTGGTCCTGACTGATTTACTTGAAAGGAAAGGGGAGGGACAGGATGCTGGCTGCAGGGCTGGATGGCTTGGGGAGGGCACAGGGTGATGGGAGACAGGAATGGGGGGTTGCTCTTGCTCTGTCACCAGGCTCCATACATAAAAGCTTCCTGTATCATGAGCTTATTTCCAACATCTCAATTGACTCAAGACCTACGGCATGAGTAAGGCCACAGAAGTGGAGTTATGTTCCACTTTCTTGAGAGTGAAGTATACATGTAAATTATTAGAAATCGGTCTGCACGGTAGATTTGTCTATTCTTACCATTAATCATATAAATTTATATTTGACTTAATGAATTAATATTTATATTAAATTTACTAGTTAATATTTATAAGATCTTAGTATCTATAAGATCTTAAATGAATTATTTTCCCAATTAATTAAATCATACTGTACAGACTCATTATATTTACTTTATACTTCAGGTAATAATTCAATACTACTTATTTTGTTGTTCTTTCTGTTGGCTTATGTGTCCTTTGTATCCCTCCATTACTGTGCTTTTTTAAAAAAAAATTTTCAGAACTCCTTTATATTCTGGAACTATGAATTGCTGCAGGTTCATCTTACATATTTCCTGACCCAGTCCTAGAGTCATTTCTCCTAGGAGCCCATGTCCTTTTATTGGAGGATGATATTAGAAGCCAAGATTTGGATGTTACGTGTGTTCTGCCACTGGGATTTTGTTGCTTCTAGGCTACCTTGGCTGACAGAAAAAAGAAATATATGTGTGTATACTAAACTGTTTATATACACATATCTATAAATATCTCTAATGTAACCATCTGTATTTATATTAAATATAATATGAATTTGTGCTAATGTTTCTCACTCTAATCTATTACACATACACCATTCTAGCCTTCTCTCCTTGCATACTGCAACCTTCCACTTCAACAGTGAAAAATCTGGCCCTCACCATCTTCCATTTCATTTACCTAGTCATTCAATTCCAGCATACATGAATAGTAGTTTCAGAAGTGTTAACCTGTACCTCCAGGGGAAATCAATTTATCATCGAGAGGACAGTGTTTATGTGCAGCTCCTTTTGCCTTAGTCTTACATGCTCCACTCATTTCCAAAGTTACATAGGTCAGCACCTTTTCCTCAGTCCCTTTCAGTGAGATTGTTTCATACACTTGTTACACAGTTTGAGTTTTAGGTCGCATCCTGCATTCCATCATTGCATTCCTCAACATCCTAAATTATGATATTTTCTCTTGCATACATTAAAGTTCCCTCATGCCTTAAAATTCTATTGGTTTTGATAAATGCATAATGTCATATGTTCACAATTACAGTATTACACAGAATAGTTTCACCCCCCTAAAAAAACTTCCTGTGCTTCACTTATTCAACCCTATCTCCCCAAATCCTTGGCAACAACTGATCTGTTTACCATCTTCATAGTTTTGACTTTTGTAGAATGTCGTATAAAAGGAACTATAGAGTATACAGCCTTTCCAACTGGCATCTCTTACTTAGCAGTATGCATTTAAGATTCATCCAAGCATTCGTGTGGCTTGATAGCTTATTCTTTTTTTAATGCTGAATGGTATTCCTTTGTATATATGTACCATAGTTTGTTTATGTATTTACCTATTGAAAGGAATCTTGGTTGCTTCCATTTTGGGGAATTACAGATAAAGCTGTTATAAACATTCATGTGCTCTGTGTGTGTGTGTGTGTGTCCCTAAGTTTTTAAATCAGTTGAGTAAATACCAAGAAGTGCAATTGCTGGATTGTATGGCAAGTCTATGTTTAGCTTTGTAAGAAACTGAAAAAACTGTCTTTCAAATTGGCTGTACCATTTTGCATTCCCACTACCAGTGAATGAGAGCTCCTATGTATCTGCAGCCTTGCCAGAAATTAGTATTGTCGGATAGTTCCATTTTAGACATTCTAGTAAGTACGTGGTAGCATCTCACTCTTGTTTATATTAACATTTCCCTAATGACAACCGATGTTGAGCATATTTTTACATGAAATCTCACACTTTTTTAAACTATACATTCTTACTAAGAGTTGAAGAAAGATCTCTGGCCAGCTGGCTCAGCTACATCCAGCATGGGTGATATCTGGACATTCAAATAAGTCTCTGAAGTCTGGAACAGTTGATAAGGATGTATTTCAGAAGCTGGAAACATGAAGGCATCAGGGCAGGTGGTTGGGGTAGTTGCACCATGCTGAATTAAGAGTCAAGAATCAGGTCTAACAGGTAGGCACCCATTTAGGGCAATGTCCTGACTGTTTTTCTCACATCACATACATTTTCCATATCCTCCTTCTCCATTTCTACATATATATATATATGTATGTATGTGTGTGCGTGTATATATATGTACATATATATATATATATGTATATATATGTACATATATATATATATATATATATATATATATATATATATATATATCTGTGAAGCCATCATCCTGATCAAATAATGAATTCATCACTTCCAAAAATTTCCTCATGCCCTTTTATTGCATTTCCCTCCTACACTTTCCCTGCTTCTTGGCCTAGGCAAACATTTATTTGCTTTCTGTCACTGTAGATTAGTTTGTATTTTCTGGAGTCTTATACAAATGGAAGTAAGCAGTATGTATTTTTTTCTTACTTCCTTTACTCAGCATCATCAATTTGAAGATAAGCCATATTTTTGCATGTATCAATGGTTCATTATTTTTTGTTGCTGAATAGTATTCCATTGTATGGGTTATACTATAATTTGTTTATCTCTTCCCTTACTGATGGACATTTGGTCTATTCTAAATAAAGCTTCTATGAAAATCATGTAAATTAATATATGCTTTCATTTCTCTAGCTATGTGTAAATACTTAGAAGTAGAAGGCTGAATCATATGATGGATATGTATATAACCTTTAAGAAACTGCCAAACTGTTTTCCAAAGTGATTGTACCATTTTACATCCCACCAGAAGTATATAAGACTTTCTTTTTCTCTACATTCTTGCCAAAGCTTAAAATAATTGTTTGCTTTAAATTTTAGTCATTATGACAGTTGTATAGTGGTATCTCATTGTGACTATAATGTTGAGCGTCTTGTCATATTTATTTGCCATCCATATATCTTTTTCAGTAAAATGTCTGCCTAAACTTTTTGTCCATTAAAAAAAAATGGATTGTTTCATTCCTTATAAATGAGTTTTGAAAGTTTTTTTTTTATGTTCTGGATTCAAGCTGTTTATCACAGATATGATTTTTTCTTTTTTTTTTTTAAGATGGAGTTTTGATCTTGTTGACCAGGCTGGAGTGCAATGGCATGATCTCAGCTCACTGCACCCTCCACCTCCCAGGTTCAAGAGATTCTCCTGCCTCAGCCTCCTGAGTAGCTGGGATTACAGGCATGCACCACCATGCCTGGCTAATTTTTGTATTTTTAGTAGAGACGAGGTTTCTCCATGTTGGTCTGGCTGGTCTCGAACTCCTGACCTCAGGTTATCCGCCCGCTTCGGCCTCCGAAAGTGCTGAGATTACAGGTGTGAACCAACGCACCCAGCCTATATGATTTTTAAGTATTTTCTCTCAGTCTATGGTTTGTTTTTTTGATTATGTTAACAGAATCCTTTGAAAAGAGAAGTTTGAAATTTTGGTGAAGTCAAATTTATAAATTTTTTTTATGGATTTTTTTTATGCTTTTGTTGATTTATCTAAGAAAACTTTGCCTAACCCAAAGCCACAAATAATTTCTTTTATATTTTATTCTAGAAGTACTGTGATTTTAAGTATTACAGTTAGGTCCACAATTTATTTCAAATTAATTTTTATATATGGTGCAAGGTATCGATCATAATTTTTTTTTGTACATGGCCATCTAATTGTTCTACCACCGTTTGCTGAGTAGGCTATTCTTTTGCTATTAACTTGTCTTTTCGTGTTTGTCAAAATCAGTTGTCCATATACATGTAGATATAATTCTGGGCTATTCTATTCCACTGAGCCATGGAAAAAGCCATAGACAAATCCTTATGCCAATCTCATAATTTTTATTTTTGAAGCTTTGTAATAAATTTTGAAATCAAATATCATTTTCTCTTCAACTTTATTCCTTTCTGTATCTCTCTTTTAGTGTGTACCCACTATATTGCCATCACTTATTGACACAACTCTTTAACCTAGTAGGCCAAGAGCCCTTTGTAGGTGGGAAGCATGACTTACTCATTTTTTAAAACATAAATCAGACCATGCCAGCCCCCTACTCAACCTGCCAATGGCATCCTACTGCCAGCCCCCCATTCAACCTGCCAACGGCATCCTACTGCTCTTACACAGGAGCCGTGCCGCAGAGGGACTTATTGGCCAAGGTAAGGACTTTGGATACATTCTATCTCTCTAGTTTCACTCAGTTTCTTTGTGGCTGCTGCATACACACAAGCACATTCCTGTCTCAGTGACTGTGCGCGCCTTTCTCCCTCAGCCTGGAAAGCTCTTTTCACTGAGGGGCATGTGACTTGCCCCTTCTTTTCACTGCTCTTACACACCCACACAGCCAAGGCTTTCCTGACTTCTCTTTCTGGAGTGTCTTTTCTGTGATATCTATTCCTCTACTCTGATTTTTTGTTTTTCAAAAAAAATTTTTATTGGATATTTATTAGTTTATTTACAGTTTATTTCCTTCAGTAGATGATGAAATCTTTATAAGTGAAAGTCTTTTGTCTGCTTTTTTTTTTTTTTTTTTCTGTATACCCAGCATTTGAAACTGTGTCTGGCACATAGTGGATGCTTAAAAATAAATCTTTGGAACTCATTCCTTAGTACAATGCTTGCTGGATAAGAAAATGTAATGAAAAGAATTGATCGAGGAAGACTGACTGCTTAGAAAGGCTTGTTTGCAGGGCTGGTGCTTGACTAGCATCTAGGAACTTGGATTTGGGGAGAGTCTCCACCATTTCCAGAACTGATAAAAGTGGCTTTTATGCTTAAACTAAACTGTTTGTGCAAACAATATGGCTTATGCTGAATACTTGCTTTTCTTTTGGGAGTCTTGGAATTTTGGTATATGCTAGTGGAGGGTTGCCCATGTGACCTGCCCACAACAAAAGCCCCTGAGCAGTAAATCTCTGAATGACTTCTCTGGTAGACATTTCACATGTGTTATCATAAGTTGGTGCTGGAAGAATTAAGCACGTCCTGTGTGATTCTGATGCAGGACAGGAGAGTCCCAAAGTTGGGGCTTAGCCTGGGAGGGTTCCTGGCTTTGCCCAGGAAAGAATTCAAGGGCAAGCTGGTGGTGTTAGCAACTTCTATTGAAGTGGCAGTGTACAGCAGCAACAGAGGTGCCACTCCTTGCAGAGCAGGGCTACCCCAGAGGCAGTGTGCCAAGAGTAGCAGCTCAGAGGCAGTTCTGCAGTCACATTTATACACACTTTTACTTATATGCAAATTAAGGAGTGGGTTATGCAGGAATTTCTAGAAAAAGAGTGGTAACCTCTGGGTCATCAGGTCATTGCCATGGTAAGAACTGGTAACTTCTGTGAGTTGCCATGGCAATGGCAAACTGATATGGCACACTGGTGGGCATGTCTTATGGAGAAGTATTTTCACCTTTTCCCTGTTTTAGCTAGTTCTCAATCTGGTCCAGTGTCCAAGCCCCACTTTTGGAATCTGGTCCTGCCTCCTACTTCAATTCCACAGACAGAAGACTCTTGGAAGTTTATGCCTGGTTTCCTCCAGACTTCATCTTATGCATTTTTCCTTTTGCTGATTTTGCTCTGTGTCCTTTCAGTCTGTTTATTAGTCAGGCTATGATCTCCTCCATTTAATGGCTGTATTATTTTAGGGAAGTTGTTTAACCTCTCCATACCTATTTCTTCATATAGAATGGGAATAATAGCAGTGTCCACTTTATAGTGTTGCTAAGAGGATGGAGAGTTAATTCCAAAGACAGCTTTACATGTGACCTATTATTTCAGGAGCACTAGGTGCTAGCACTGTGCTACATACTTAGCAGGTAAGCTGCAAGGTCGGCTTTGCCAAGCTGCTGAGAACTACACTGTGAGTTCTAGGTCTCCATGCATCCTTCACATGGGGGCTACATTTGCACCAGAGCCTGAAGTGGCTGAGTTTCATGTGGGGACTAAAGGCCCTACCTGGCTAGAACAGAAGGAGCAGGTGTCAAGGTTACAACTTGACTCTGTGGGGAACATTCGAGATCAATGGAAGTCTGGGTCTTTTAGGTTTCTAAATTATTCTGGGAATCAATGTAGGGATTCATACCTCCTCCAGCAGTTGCCAATATGAATTTCTCCTTTCCTCCTTTCTCTAATGCTGAGCTCCGTGAATGACCACTTATATTTAAATTCAAATGTTTATATATGAAATCTTTATACAGGCTGATTTAATTTTTGTGTTGCTGGAAGAGTTAGGGGTGCAGAATCCTATATGGTGATGTAACTGAATTCTGCAAGTGGACAGTGTATTAACAAGATGGGTTGGGGGCCAGGGAATCTTGGTCTCTCCAAAGTTGTTCTGTATGGTAGTCAGCAATGGGTAGTTCTTTACTGCCTGTTTATCTGCCCTGATGACTGAAGAATCTGCATACTGATATGGCAGACCCATTGGATTAAAGACTCCTGGACTGCAAAGTGCCTGCATAGAGGCCAGACACTCTGGAAAGCCTCCTAGTCCCAAAACAGACTTGTTTGAGTAAAAAGTGCAATAAAGTCTTGATGTGTAATTATGGAATTGTTTGTTATTCAGCATAGATTATCCTAGCATGACTAACACACTTGTTTTGCTCTATCTGTCCTGCTCCCCGTCCTCTCACCCCCATTTCACCCTCCTATACTAGGCCAACTATCCTACTGTCTTTCAATTGTCAAATTTTAGCAATTTTAACCAAGCTTTTTGTTAACCCCTTTGTCATAACGACTTAAGAAAGAAATTTTGGGCCAGGCGCGGTGCCTCACGCCTGTAATCCCAGCACTTTGGGAGGCCGAGGCGGGCGGATCACGAGGTCAGGAGATCGAGACCATCCTGGCTAACACGATGAAACCCCGTCTCCACTAAAAATATAAAAAAAATTAGCCGGGCGCGGTGGGGGGGCGCCTGTACTCCCAGCTACTGGGGAGGCTGAGGCAGAAGAATGGCTGATCCCGGGAGGTGAAGCTTGCAGTGAGCTGAGATCGCACCACTGCACTCCAGCCTGGGTGACAGAGCGAGACTCTGTTTAAAAAAAAAAAAGAAAGAAACATTGTTGTGAGAGAATGTGAGGAGGGCACCTTTTATACCTTTTATTTAATTAGCATTAAAATTATTTTAAATCACCAAGTGTATTCTCTGGTCTGTTGAATGACTATTTAATTCACCCTCAAAGCAGTTGTACTCCTTTGAGTCAGGCAAAGTCCCCAAGAACGGCCTTCTGCCACAGGAGACAGCTCCCTCTTTCTGCCATTTGTTCACATTACTGATTTATCTATCATCTGTTCACATTATCTGCCCATCATCCATCCGAAGCGGAGAAAAGTGCCATCACCAAATTTGGTTTCTCTATTGTAGTGTTTTTTTGCTTAGGAACATTATAATGTTCCTAAGAAACATCATAATGAAATGAAATGAAAGAAAGCTCTCATTTTTCAGGGAACTTTCTTTCAAATGCTAACAACGATAGATTAGCTTTAATAGCCTTTTTCATTAATTGTCTAACCAGAGTAAAAATAAGTCTTGGGAGACTGAATTTACTTTCATATGCCTCTATAATGTCAAGGCACTATGGAGTATCTTTAGGACTGAAGCCAATCCCAGAATCCAAATTGCTTTTTCTGAGCTATTTGACTCTGTTCTTATAACTATAATCTCAGTATGTCAATTTTGACATTTTTGTCGGTAGACGCTGCACTTTAAAAATATAAGGTAGGGAATTATTAATGGTATTAAGGGGAGATACAGAAAAATCACCCAATGTCATTTACATCTATCCCATCAAAGGATGGATAACAATCTGTCATGGAAGGTTTAAGTGCCCTCCTGCTAGGGGCGAAAGCAGAGACAGCAGGAATGGTATTAAACTACATGACCCCTTAAGGCCCTGTTCACTTTTAGGAGCTATAAATGATGCATTTCAGAGCTGGAAGTATCATTTCAGATAATCTCTTTATATATGAGAAGACCAGAGCCCATTTGGGGGTGATAACAACTGTTATGGTGAGATGAGTTCAGAATCCCTGCTTCATTCAAGATTTAGTAACTTTGATCACCTACCATGTGCCACGCTGGGGCTACTGTTGTCAAAAACATAGAGCACCTGACCACATGGGGCTCACGCCTAGTTTTTCATTCATGGCTGTCTTTGTGCTGCAACAAATTGGTTCAAATTTGGAAGTTGTTTTTCTTCTAGACCATTCTTCACTCTGAGATGCAAGAGTGCCCTAATGTCTTTTGGACCATGATATTCTTCCCTTAAAAAAATTTACTACTTTATTTTAAGTATTGCCCCTCCATTGGATCTTGTTCATCAGTGCAGCAGCTCTGGGGTAGAGAATACATAAAATTCTTAATCCCTTGTTGACAATTGATTTATTATGTCATTTTTATAGATGAGAAAAATGAGGCTCTGAGAGCCTAAATTACATGCCCGTGACACAGAAATCCTAAGTATGTGAGATGAGATTCTAATGCACGTCTGTATTAAAGAATCCTGGACGGCAAAGTGGCTGCATGGAGGTCAGACACTCTGGAAGCCTCCGAGTCCCCAAACAGACTTGTTTGAATAAAAAGTACAATAAAGTCTTGATGAGTAATTATGGAATTGTTTGTTACCCAGCATAGCTTATCCTAGCCTGACTAATACAGCTGCTTCCAAAGCTTTTAACCATCTTCTCTCCAAGCTACTTTAATATCCCAACTCTGTGTATTCTTGGAGAATATGTTCTAGAAAATCATAATAAATAGAGATTCTGTTTCTTCTCAGATATTCCTTCTTTTCCAGCACACTTTCATTGGTTCTGATTAACTTTGGGAAATAGCTTCAGTGAAACATTTAGGGCATTAAGTCCTCTCAGAGTAGAAAAGGATGATTTCAAGGTGAAGGGGCAGGGAGTATTGGAAGCCTAGGGTTCAAAATCTGTGACTGAGAGGGATGACCAAGAAGGCCAGACTATTTTTTTTAAGAGCTATACTCAGTGAGTGAATTCTGAATGGTACAAATGAGGCTTGTTGCTATGACACCAAATGATTCCATATTTAGTGCAATGGAATCCCCATTTGTGTTCTTAAAAAATTAAAGCAGTTTTATGGATATTAAATGTTTAAGTGGCTCTAGCAGCTAGAAAGAAAAATTGCCTTATGAATAAAACAGACCAATGCGTGATTGCTTGCATGGAAAGCATTTGAAAAATGTGTTTTCAGAGTATGGAGCTTGGCAGCTTTTGTTTTACAGTGTGCAATGATAGGAGGAAATGAATGAATGAATATATAAATGATTGTAGGCAAACTATGGAATGAAAAAATTGTGGGAGAGAAATTAAGGTTACTTCAATACACTTTTTTCCTGAGCATTTATTATGAGTTCAGCAACATGCAGGGTGTTGGAGCATGCTAAAGCAGCCCCTTGGGTGGAGTTTGACTTTACTCTTCCTCCATTCATGTATTAGCTAAAATGACACTAGCATATTTGACCATGTACTAAATAAATTCCAAGATTCCAATGTCTTAATACAGAAGATGTTTTAATAATCAAGTTTACTGAGGAATAATTTATATAAAGTGTACAGTTCAATGAACATTAACAAAGATTTACAACTAAGTATACAGCACCACAGCCAAGACACAGAATATTTCCATCACCCCAAAAAGTTCCCTTATGCTCTTTTGGAGTAGTTCCCTCCTTCCACCCCCAGAACTGAGCAACTACTGCTCTGATTTCTGTTCCTATGATTTTGACTTCTCCAGAATGTTACATTAATGGAATCATTCACTATATAGCTTTTGTGTGTGTGCCTGTCTTTTTTACATAGCATAATGCTTTTTGAGATTCATTCATGTTCATATATATATATATATATATATCTTTAACACATTTTTTATTGCTGAATGGTATTCCATTGTATGCATTTGCTGCAATATGTTTATTCATTTACCAATTAACAACCATTTGGGTTGTTTCTAGTTTTTACTTATTGTGAATAAAACTTCTTAATCTTGTACAGATCTTAGTGTGAATCACAGAGTAAATTTTTCTCACTTATGCAAATGTTCAATATGGGTTTTCTCAATGGACAAAAACAGCTTTTTGTTTTTTTCCCACACAGTAACTTGGAAATCTAGGCTTCTTTTGTCTTGTGGCTCCCTAACCATCCAGGGCCTTGGACTTGTTTGTTTCTAGGCATTGGAAAGGAAAAGGATCTACTTCAAGTACTCCATCTCAGAAAGGAACCAAATCACTTCTACTTATATTCTGCTGGTAAGAACTAGATATGTGGCCACCCCAGGATGCAAGGGGGCTAGGAAATTTATTCCATAAACAACCCTATGCTATGGACAGGGGTGCATTGATTTTGGGTGGACCAATATTTTCTGATAACACAATTTATTTGCTCACCAAATATTAATTGAGAATCTACCAAATATCAAGTACTGGGAGATAAAGCAAGGACCAAACAAATAAACCAAAACAAATCCAGGCCTTAACATCTTGTGTTTATAGTCTGGATAGATTTTAGGGAAGTATAATGTGTATCTTCATCCAGAAAACAGTCACTAGGAATAAAAGTGCCATATCAGAAATAATGGAAAATGGAAAAGATATGAAAATTATAAAATAATAGATGAAGGGAAAATCACTGGAAATGGGGGAGGGAAATCTCCCTGGAGGGGATAAATTTTCATTTGGGTCTTAAAGATGCAAGAAATGTGGATAGGTAGATGGCGGTGGAGTGGGAATTTCAAAAGAAATAAATAATCCAAAAAAGGGAGTGGAAGAAGCCATATGCCTTGGGTATGCCTTGCTTGGGGGTGGCAAAAGAAATTTATCTGACTTCCCTGCTTTGTTAAGCTGCCACATGCTGACCTTCCAGCCATAGTGCATTTAAGTTGCTTTCTAAGGAAGTTCTATTCAATTTGACTGCTTAATGGCTGCTGCCGTTTTATGGATGGTGATTGAATGTTTCAAAACGTGGAATTGCATACCCCATGGTGAAACTTCTTCATAAGATGAATAAGTAGTGCCATCACCTTGAAGGAGTTTTCTAAATATTAATAGAATTAAATAAATTAAGACAACAAGAAGAAAGCTACTCCTTTTAAAGAACGGTTTGGAGCTAGATCATGCCAATTACAAATTAAATCCTTGACTGTTTAAATCTACAGCTCTATTAATACTCTAATATGCCATATTATTAGTTCACAGATGCTGGCCCCATGGCACAAGCAGGTAACAAAAAAAGAGGACTGTGAGTTCTGCCACAACTGGCTTGTTTGCTGCCACAGCCTCTGAAGAATGCCTTGACCTCCACTTACCTCTCAAATCTCAGATGAACTGATTTCACTTACACAGCCTCAATTTCATTCATATTCCTAGATCCAAGAGAGTCTAGGAAATGTAGATTTTAGTCTTTTAGTGTTTCTGACTTAGGACATGGAAGGGCTAAGTGGCTATCATTGCTAAACCCCAATTGGCAACAACTAGTCCAATTAAATTTCTTTTTTGGCTCCCTCACTTTTTTTTTTTGTCTTTCTGGCAGTTGAAGAGAAAGAGTTTTTTTGTTTGTTTGTTTGTTTGAGACAGAGTCTTGCTCTGTCGTCCAGGCTGGAGTGCAGTGGTGTGATCTCGGCTCACTGCAACTTCCACCTCCCAGGTTCAAGCAATTCTCTGCCTCAGCCTCCCAAGTAGCTGGGATTACAGGTGTCCGCCACCATGCCTGGCTAATTTTTGTATTTTTAGTAGAGACGGGGTTTCACCATCTTGGCCAGGCTTGTCTTGAACTCCTGACCTCATGATCCACCCATCTCGGCCTCCCAAAGTGCTGGGATTATAGACACGAGCCACCGTGCCCAGCCGAGAAAGAGTTTCATGTAAACATGCCATAGAAAGAGAGACATTGAGACATTATTATTCTTTTAAATAGGAGAGTTCTTGTATTTTTATTTGATTACATTCTTATAAAAACCAGTATTAAAAGAAAACCAATTTTAAAAGAACACCAATTAAAACCAATTACAATTCGGATTGTCCATGGAAATTGATATCACATAGTACTAGGACTTCTGCATCATGGACACACTAGACTTTTTATGCAGTGGCTGTGTTCCTCATACATCTTTGCTGCATCTCCGCCCAAACAATTTTATTTTACTTTTTAAAAAAGATGACTAAACATTTTATTTATTAAGTTTATTTTTTTAAATCTTTAAAATTGTTTTATTTTCATAGATTTCGGTGGTACAAGGGCAGGTTTCTTACATGCCTATTGAGAGGTGAACCCAGCTGGGCTTCTGGGTTGGGTGGGGACTTGGAGAACTTTTCTGTCTAGCTAAAGGATTGTAAATGCACCAATCAGCACTCTGTGTCTAGCTAAAGGTTTGTAAATGCACCAGTCAGCTCTCTGTGTTTAGCTAATTGGGTAGGGGACTTGGAGAACTTTTCTCTCTAGTTAAAGGATTGTAAATGCACCAATCAGCAGTCTGTATCTAGCTAAAGGTTTGTAAATGCACCAGTCAGCTCTCTGTGTCTAGCTAATTGGGTAGGGGACTTGGAGAACTTTTCTCTCTA
Organism: Homo sapiens; assembly: GCF_000001405.40. Taxonomy (NCBI): domain Eukaryota; kingdom Metazoa; phylum Chordata; class Mammalia; order Primates; family Hominidae; genus Homo; species Homo sapiens. The sequence goes on from NC_000002.12 coordinate 114,207,321, forward strand.
GTTAAAGGATTGTAAATGCACCAATCAGCAGTCTGTATCTAGCTAAAGGTTTGTAAATGCACCAGTCAGCTCTCTGTGTCTAGCTAATTGGGTAGGGGATTTGGAGAACTTTTCTCTCTAGCTAAAGGATTGTAAATGCACCAATCAGCACTCTGTGTCTAGCTAAAGGTTCGTAAATGCACCAATCAGCACTCTGTCAAAACAGACCAATCAGCTCTCTGTAAAATGGACCAATCAGCAAGGTGTGGGTGGGGCCCAATAAGGGAATAAAAGCAGGCAACCCGAACAACCAGTGGCAACTCGCTAGGGTCATCTCCCACGCTGTGGAAGCTTTGTTCTTTTGTTCTTTGCAACAAATCTTGCAGCTGCCCACTCTTTGGGTCCACACTACCTTTAAGAGCTGTAACAATGAGCTGTAACATTCACTGTGAAGGTCTGCAGCTTCACTCCTGAAGCCCCTGAGACCAAGGAATGAACAACTCTGGACACACCGCCTTTATGAGCTGTAGCAATGAGCTGCAACACTCACCACAAGGGTCTGTGCCTTCATTCTTAAAGTCAGCAAGACCAAGAACCCATGGAAAGGAACCAATTCCGGACACAGTATGTTGCATGGTGATGGAATCTGGGCTTTTAGGGAACCCATCACCCGAATAGTGACATTGTGCTCAAGAGAGAATTTTTCAACCCTCACTCCCCTCCCACCCTTCCAACTTCTGTAGTCTCCAATGTCTACCACTCTATTCTATATGTCTACGTGTACTCATTGCCCCAAACAATTTTAAGTCAACAGTTCATGAAGCGTAGGTATTTTATGAAAGATTCAGTTATACGATGGGGAAAAGGCTTCATATCATATCCTACCTCATAAAATTGCTTGTTCCCATCAAAGTTCCTCTTCCCAGCCTATTTCATTCCTTCCTAGGGGCTCAAGGAAATTATCTTTATTGTGTCAATAAATTCAGCTGCCACTCTCAGCTTGCTTATGTATCACTCAGCAAAAACAAAAACTAGGTAGTTAGCGGAGCCATCTCTATCAATGACTCCTCAAGAATGGCCTCTTGCCAGAAGGTGGGCATATAATGGAATGAGCTTTCTTTTTAACTTGCACCATAAGTGGCTTTTCAAAGTATTCACCAACAAAAGAGTATATTCTTACAGTAAAATTCTATCTTAAGAAAATACATTTTGCATTAGGGAAATGCTTCAGGATATTGGTCTTGGCAAAGATATTTTGGGTAAAACCTCAAAAGCACAGGCAACAAACACAAAAATAGACAAGTGGGATTACATCAAGATGAAAAGCTTCTGCACAGCAAAGGAAACAGCAGAGTAAAGAGATAACCTACAGAGTGAGAGAAACTATTTGCAAACTATCCCTGTGAAAAAGAATTAATAATCAGAGTATAAAGGAACTCAAAGAACCCAATAGCAAAATAAAAAGATGATAAAAAATGGGCAAAAGATCTGAATAGACATTTCTCAAAAGAAGATACAAAATTGATCAATGGTATATGAAAAAATTCTCAATATTACTAATCACCAGGAAAATGCAAAACAAACATAATGAGATAGCATTTCATCCCAGTTAAAATGGTTTTTATCAAAAAAATTAAAAAATTACAAATGCTGTCCAGGATGCAGAGAAGGGGAACCCTTGTATGATGTTGGCAGGAATGTAAATTAGTACAGCCATTATGGAAAACAGGATAGAGGTTTTTCAAAAAACTGAAAATGGAAATAGCATATGATTTAGCAATCCCACTGCTGGGTATATATCCCTAAAAAAGTAAATCCATTATTATGGAGATATCCACACTCCCATGTTTATTATAGCACTATTCACAATAGCCGAAATACAGAATCAACCTAAGTGCCCATTAGTGGATGAATGCATAAAGAAAATGTGGTATACATACACAAGAAAATAGTATTCAGCCATAAAAAATAATGAAACCCTGTCATTTACAACCACATGGGTGGAACTGGAGGTCATTATGTTATGTTAAATAAACCAGGCATAAAAAACCAAATATTGCATGTTCTCACTCACAAATAGGGGCTAAAAACGTGGATCTCATGGAGATAGAGAGTAGATTGCTGGTTACTAGAGGCTAGGAAAAGTGGGAAGGTGGGTGGGGTGAAGAGAGGTTGAATATGGGGTACAAACATACAGTTAAAAGGAATAAAATCTGGTCTTTGATAGTATAGTAGACTGACTATAGTTAGCAATAATTTATGGTGTATTTCAAAATAGCTAGAAGAAAAGAATGAGAATGTTCCCAACATAAAGAGAAGATAAATATTTGAGGTGATGGATATTCCAATTACCCTGATTAGATCATTATACATTGTATGCATGTATACATATCACATGTACCCCCAAAATATGTACAAATATTATGTATCAGTAAAAAGCTGTATGAATATCCATGCACCTACTGTTTGTTCAGCAATTAATAAATGTCTGTTAACATAACAAAAGTTTTCTTTTAAAAAATGCAGTTATTATAAGGATTTATTTTGTAGAACAAGAGCCCAACAGTCAACATTTTAGAGAACTCTTACAAATTATAATTAATATTATGCAAGAAACAGAAATGGGATAGGATAAAGCTTTATAAAGTACACATTAACTAAACAGGAAAATATAAAAGTAATTAAAATATGATTTAACTTAGATACTATGACATGTTTATATTTGATGCTTTTCAGGTTTAAAGCACCTCCTGTCCCTAATTTTATCTGAACTCTACAATGATGTCACAAATACACAGGTCCAATATTTTTCTAAAGCTCTGTGCTTTGAAGTGGTGACTTCTAGGCTATAAAAATTGTGGCCAACTTATTTCCCTTGTTGTTACTACGGAGTATTACTAGGCACCTCCTCTATATATTTCTTCTTTATATATCATAGCTGATAGTTTCAACCCCATCCAATTCCATTAAAATAATAAAAACATACAACTTTGAGTGCTGGGTTTGTGCTATTTGCTTTATAGACATTACTTCAAATTCTCATACTGTTCCAAGATAGTATATGTACAGTTGTATAGAACATTGGTCCCCAACATTTTGGGCACTAGGAACCAGTTTCATGGAAGACAATTTTTCCACGGACGGGGGGCAGGGGGAGATGGTTTCAGGATGAAACTGTTTCACCTCAGATCTTCAGGCATTAGATTATCATAAGGAGCACGCAACCTAGATCCCTTGCATGCACAGTTCACAATAGGATTCATGCTCCTATGAGAATCTAATGCTGCTGCTGATCTGACAGGAGGTGGAGCTCAATGGTAATGTGAGTGATGGTGAGTCGCTCTCTTGCTAGCTGCTCACATCCTGCTATGCAGCCAGGTTCCTAACAGGCCACAGACTTGGACCAGTCTGCAGCCTAGGGGTTGGGGACTCCTAGTGTAGAAGATTATTTAACTTTAATATTAAAGATTATTAACCCAAACTAGAACATTGGTAAATGCTGGGAATACCATTCAAACTTAGGGTTTGGGCTCCTTGCTTTCTCTATCTTGTTTCCTATGAGTAGAATCCAGAACCGGAATGGTTTACTTCAGTTTTAAAAATATTAATAGTTATTGAATGATAATGGCTACTTAATTTGTGAGTCCCAGGTCAAAATGAAAATGCAAGGCTCTTTGTTAAATTATGAAGAATTCCAAGATAATGACAGCAGAGCAAAACACCAAGTGCAGGGTCCTTCCAGTCCCTGAGTGGCTGCACAGCTCACTGCCCAAGAAGCTCGCCCTGGGATTTGGCTTATGCGACAGCTGCTGTACCAGGCACTGTGGATACACATCAAAATAAGGTATCTTCCTCCTGCTTGGGGAGCTTCCAGTGGTGGAGGCTGTGGAGAAATCTCTCTTTTGGAATTGTCTGTAGAGTCAGCATCAACTTCTTTTGAATATCTTCAGAGTGGCAAATCTTTTCTCTCTGAAGGATAGGATTTCTTGAAATAGCCAAACTCACTCTGTTACAAGCCTTGTCAATAACCTGAGAGGACAGCCTGGGTAATTAGTAATGGAGCCTTTGGTTCAAACCAAAGTGTGACCATGAAGAAGGAAACTTGATTATCTTGTGAGGCTTTTGACCTAATGCTGGATATAGGTACAATAAAAAGGCTCCAAAAATATTGGCGACCATGAAGCATTCTCAGATGGGCTGACTACATTGAAAGCAGTGCTGATTTGGTCTCTGCTAGTCAGCAATAGAAATTAAAGAGTATAGTCAGCTTCAATACCTTAAAGTCATGCTTTCTATGCTTGGTAGATTGCTACTTTGGTATTTTCCTCAAAAATAAAAAATTATCCTTAGCACTACAAACTTTGATAACCAAGCTGCACTAGAGATTTGTAATAGTAGAAATAAACTTGAATTCAGGAAAAAAGGTGAATGCATGAATCTTGTGATATGATGAAATGATAGAGTCGGATAGCATCCTTCCAAGTCATCTGGGCAAGGCTTTCAAGACCATCTCTCCCTATCAAGGTCATGAGGATCAAATGAGAACGTGTGTTTTAATGTACCTTGTAAAGTGGAGAATGAGAGAAATATAAGAAATTACATAGCCTCTTCATTTTACAGAGAACGAAACTCATCTCTCTGGGCTTGGTCATCTGTCTTCTGACTCTCTTTGTTTCTCAAGGTCAAGCTTTTATTGGTTGGGTCTCGTTCAACAACCGTGGCTGGGACTCTTAGTTATAATGCAGCTGCTATCTTCTCACCACTACAGTAGCAGGGCCCTGTGTAATTTCTGGGTGATGAATTAGACCTGCCTAGTCCCTTGGCTTCCCCACTTTCTTCCCTTGAGTTAGAGGCTAGATGACTTACATGTATAGATTGGGTCTGCTATGAACAAGGTATGTGCTGGGAAAATGAAATGAAGAATGGACTCAGTTATTCGAAGGTTTATTTTCCCAACCAGGCAAGGGAGAACAGTTTCTCTAAATAGGTAGGCTTGGGTAGCTGTCAACTCTAATCACTCTGTAACACAGGGTCTATCTATAAATGACTAGAACCTGGAATCTCATGTCATCCAGGGAATCCCAAAACAGAAACCATCACTCCAATTACGAGGCGTTTTCTCTCTCTCTCTCTCTCAACACTTTGGCTAAATTAGGCTGTGGACTGAATGATCAAGACTGTTCCTTTGTTCCTTTGTTTACTTCCTGTATGTTCAATGGTGTGTGTGCACCTGTTTGCATGTGCATGAGTGTGTGTGGGTTTGATTTTCATAGTCTAGGGGAATGTACAATTGCTTAATCAATTGAAATAAAACTACCTCTTCAACATCTTGTTATTTATTTCATTATTAACTTTGGGTTTATTTATTATTATTAAGTGTTCAGAATTGGAATTTCTGAGGTGAAAATGCAATGTCCATGGACTCAACCTTAAAAGTACCACATGTGCTAGAATGCACATATATATGGTTAAAAATCTGGTCTGCAACAAGTCTTATCATCAGTTTACAAGCTTCTCCCCAAAAACGCTTCTATTTGTAAAATTTCTCTTCTATAGCTTGAACCAATGCTTTAGATATATATTTTAAAAACAGGATTTAGCTCAGTACCCTTCCTTTTAAAATTTCTCATCTTTGTTATGAAGGATTCAAATAACACCAACTTGGAAATGTTAGCTTTGAGGATTTTATTTTTAATAGAAAACAGCTAGCTGAATGATGTCCTCTTTTTTCTAAATAACCTGATTTCTCAGGCTATCTTGAGAGTTTTATTTCTCTTTGATTTCCCTTACCACTTCCTATCTTATCTCTCCGGATAATCAAATCCCCGTAAATGTAAAACCCTTCTCCTTTGAAGCTGCTGCCATTTAGAACATGACAGCCTTCTTATCTCTCTTCCCTGAGCTGCTTCTTCAGCTCATGCCAAGTCTCAATTGAAATGTATCTTTTCTTCTTCTCTGTTATGATCCAACATTCAAGTTACATTGTATAATATTTAGGGATATGAAATGTGTGTATATTTCATTTGAACTTGCACATTTTGCTACACTGAGTTAATAGCATCACTGATAAGGATTTTACATCAATCATTCAGAAATATTTACTTAGTTGCTGATACGTATAAGGCTGGGAGCTAGGTCACATGCAAGGATACATGTAATGCATGGTCTTCGGCTGCTTTCAGGAAACGTCTGCATTCTAGCACAAGTAAACTTATGGCTTTGAGATGCTGCCCCACAGAAAGGAGACTACAGTGGATCCTTGAACAATATGGAGATTAGAGGTGTCAATCCCTACACCGTCAAAAATTTGTATAGAACTTTGACTCCCCCAAAACTTATCTATTAATAGCCTACTCTTAACTTGAAGCCGATTGGTAACATAAATAGTTGATTAATGTATTTCATGTTACATGACTTATTCTGTTTTCTTATAATAAAGTAAGCTAGAGAAAAGAAAATGTTATTAAAATCACAAAGAAGAGAAAACATATTTACTATTTAGTAAGTGGAAATGGATCTTATAAAAGTCTTTATCCTTGTTGTCTTCACATTGAGTAGGCTGAGGAGGAGGAAGAGAAGGGGTTGGTGTTGCTGTCTCAGGGGTGGCAAATGAGGGAGAGAATTCACATGCAAGTGGATCTGCCTATTTAAAACCAGTGTTGTTCAAAGGTCAACTGTATTTGCTACGTTGCATGACTTGTTGTGCAGACATTGACCTGAACTTTGCTTCTGTTATAGCATCTTCACCCACTGTGACATTTGCTGGTAGTTGGTTCCTCTCCGTGTACTGCCCACTTCCATTTATCTTTGGATGTTCAGCAGAGTGCATTGCACATGCAATAACTTTGTGAATGACTGATGGAGGAAATGCATGTCTAAGTATTCTTCAAGGGCCGCTTTCCCCTAGTTCTGATCTAATACTGTTTGTGTAGAGTCCTGTTAAATTCTAGTGCAGCATGATCTCTGTCAGATATTAAATTCATGGTTTTGTCTCCATTCCAGAAAGAGGTGTCAAGGGTTTTTCTGGTCTGCCTTTACGTAGAATTACTTTATCTCACCTATCCTTCCTTCTTCCCCACCCCAAGGTAAACAAGCTTATGTTTCACAGTTTATTCTCCCTTGGAGAAATCAAGCTCTACTGTTCATAGACCACGATGACCTGAACTGTTTTGGATGTCATGACCCACGGGGAGCAGTGTGTGGATCTTGAGAAGGATGGAGGAAAGAAAGGTGATTGGAGCTGCACTCCTCACTGGGGCAAGACTGCTGAGGCCATCTGGTTTTGAACCTGGTTTGTAACCTAGGGCGTCTGGAGGGGGACAGTGCTGCGGTAGCAGCACAGCCCAATGCCCACCCTCCAGGTGATATGGGGCCTCATCCTATACTGTCTTCTAGGAACGGCTCCCTTGGCCTGTAGTTTGAGCCTCAGTTGTGTCTGTGTTTTGAAGAAGGTGACTGCTGATCTGGCCACTTCCTCCATGCTGAGCTGTGGTGCTGACCCCTGTGAATTGCTTCTGTTTACTAAGTTATAGCGTCTGCTTTATCAGTATGCTTTTCATTTATTTGAAGCTACTTCTCACCAATTTCATGTTCCATATGAGACCTTGGGGCAGGGATTTAAACCTCCTATTCTATGGGGTGAGTGAGGCATAAAGGTAAATTTTGAGTTGGAGAAACATGTGGTAGATAGTAATTCCTATTAAAATAGGACCATCTCAACTCAACAGAACAAAAATACAGACTTATTTCCTGCAGCAAAATAAACCCACATGTGAAGATGTAATCTGCTCAGGCCCCCAGATGCTCCTAACAAAGGGAGCATTAGCCTTTAGTGTCCAGATTGCCAGTGTCCATTCTGTAAATCTTTTCTCCTCTATATTTACTCTTCAGCACCTCCATATTTTCCTTATTTCTTATTCCTTTTATTGTCACATTTGCTCACAAGAAAGGGTGTAATGTTTGTTGCTGTCTGTTGATGGAGGAAACTTCAAACTGAAGCATCTCTTCTAGGGGTGCCTGTCTTTTAATAAGCACAGGATTGGTAAACCAAAAAACTAGAACTCAACAAATGAATTAAAGTGTTGACCAGAAAGGCCTAAGACATTAGAGTCAACAGACATTCTTGGTTCTTCTGAAATCTGAAGTGTGAGGACTTATCCGCCCCACCTTAATGGTTTGGAACATCACTGGTGACAGCCATCTTGTTTAAAGCTTTTATTTGTATCAAAGTATATTTCACAGGAGTTTATGGTAAGTATCACCCATGATTCCAACCTCCAAACTAAAGAATGGGACTTGAAGTGAATCTTTCTGGAAATGGCAGTTATAAATCTCCCCCCTCCTCTTTGTCAGCATGACCAGTGGTGGGAACTGAAGCCTGAGAGGTTCCCAACATTTCAACCTGATGTTTATGTTTGAACCCATCTTGACGTCATGAAAATCCACACTTCTTTTGGTTAGGAGGGACTGAGCAGCCTTGCTGCTGGCTTATACTTGAGTCTTCTCATATTAGGGACATTCAGTGGTACAAGGAGAGGAAAGCAGGGAAAATTGGGAGGAGAAATCCCTAACCTAATGTCTTCATCAACCCCTTTTGCTCACTGGGACCAGCCACCATAAAAAGTCTGTTCCTTTCTGCTTTGTGGAATGTCTCCAGGATGGTCAAGGGGAACCTGTTTATTCCATCCATTTTGTCTGTGTTCACAGACTTGGCTGAGGATTTAGTTCTTGCTGTTCATAGCCGTCCCAGTTGGACCTGAAGCTTCCAAGAGTGCCTTTATGAATGAAGAATTCAATTACCCACATACCCCAGCCCCAGCAACCAGACCCTCAGCCTGGATAGAAACCTGGATCGCCACTTAATGCAAACAGAGAGGTCAGGAAGCAGAGTAGGGTAGTTGTATTAGTTTTTTTTTTTCTTCATAGCATACAAATTTAACAGCTTAAAACAAAAGAAACCTAATATCTCATAGTCTCCATATGTAATATTCTGGGCTTGGGTTAACTTGATCCTTTGCTCAGGGTCTCAATTGACTTAAATCAAGGTGTTTTCTGGGGCTGCAATATTATTTTAGTGTCTCATCTGAGGGCCCTCTTCCAGGCTCACTAGTAGTCCAAAGAATTCAATTCCTTGTGGCTGTAGGAGTCAAGGCTGCTTGCTCCTTCAAGACCAGTAGCTGAATCTCTCTGACTTCCGTGAAGAACTCAGCCTTTCTTTCAAAGGGCTCACTTAATTGGGTTAGGTCCACCCATGATAATCTCCCTTGTGGTTAACTTTGCAAAATTTCTTTTGTCTTATAATGTAACATAATCACAGAGTGACGTTCCATCTTATTAACAAATCCTGCTCATACTCATGGAAAGGGCTTATAGAAGATGTGCACATCAGGGAATGATGGCAATCTTAGGGGCCATCTTAGAATTCTGCCTACCAAAATAACGAAAATAGCATGATCCTGGGAGACAGACCGTGCTGGGTTTCATTCCTGTTCTTGGCTTTTACTGTCTTGTCAGGTAATATTGGGATCTGATACTTCATCTGTCAAATGAGGCTGATAATGGCTACTGTGCAGTCTTACTATACAGATTTAAGGTAATGTGTATAAAGATCTAGCATGCTGCCAGCCACACGGTGAGCCCTCCGTAGTAGTGATACTATGATAAGAGGAGAAGATGCCAGACTTGGCTAAGGAGGGAGAGGTGGGGTATGTGCAGCTGCAGTAATGCTGATATGTTATGGGCCTAATTATTGCTGAAAAACTTTTGAAGGATTTTGAAATATTGAGGAACATCTGCAAGTCCATGTAAAGAGTGGGGATATGTCAAGTGATAACTGGGTAGTTTCACATTTATTTTTATGTTTCCAATTAGTTCAGCCTCAACTACAAAATTCAAACAAAGAAGATGTAAAAATCTGGCCCAGACCATGCATCTGATTATAGGGGTAGGTAGAATGAAAGTGATTTCTTTACTTTTATAAATAAGTTTGATTTTTCTATTTATAAAAGTAATATATGCAAATTATAGAATTCAGGGACCACATGTAAATATAAAGAAGACAACCACTATTAACATTTGGTTTATTTCTTTCCAGTGTTTTCTTCTTGCACAGCTCATGTCATATTATTGGTACCTTTCTATACCTATAATTACAGATCATTCTTAATCATCTTAACATTAGATCATAGACAGATTTCTCTGTTTTTGGACAATTTTTAAATTAAAACCATCATTTTAAATGTCTGCACCCTTCAGAGGTTGCAGTTTTATGTTAGCCTGTGTGATTATTTGATTAATGTCTTTCTTCCTCAATTGGAATATAAATTCCATAAGGAAAAGAACCAGGTCTCTTTTGCATTATTGTTGTATCCCCAGCAGCTAATAGTGCCTGGCACACGATAGGTAAACAATAAATATTTGTTGAAAGGCTGAAAGAATAAATAAATGGCTACATCTTGTGGATGTGCTATAATTTACTTTCTGCTCTCTTGTTTTTAACATTTTTTCATTACTATAAATGAAACTGCAGTGGGCATTGCACATAAATCATTTTCCATGTGTAAATTGGTTGCTTCTCTCCTCAGTTTAGAGTGCAAATTGCATGCTGCAGTTCCCAAAATGCAATTTATGAGTATCCACACATGAATACCGGCAGAAAATACAGAGGACTGGTCTGTTCTTGTACAAGTGACCAACCTCTCTTCCTACAGGGGTTAAAAAATAGGTAAGTGTGTGTACTTTTTTCGATGACAGGAGCCCAGTCTCATTGGATTCCTTTGGGTTATGGATTATAACAGAGAACATACTGGCTGTTGATTAATAATTGAATTTGACAAGTAAGACCCGAAATGGGTAAAGGTCGAAATTGTCCCCTGCTTTCCTTCTGACCTCTGTCCTTGGGTGGCATTTGATCTAGCAAAAAAGATGCTTTTATAATGAGACTACAGTAGGCAAAATTCTGAAAATGGACCCCAAGATTTTATACTTTAATATCCAAAACCCATGCAGATAATGAGCTAGTACTCCCATGATTATGTCAGGTTAGATATCACAGTTGACTTTAGGATAAGATGATTATCTGGGTGGGCCAGATCTAACCAAGTGAACTCCTTTGAAAGCAGAGAGTTTTTCTCCAGCTAATGGCAGAAGAAGTCAGAGAGATTTGAAGCACAAGGGGAATTTGATGTGCTGCTGCAGGCTTGGAGATGTGAAGATGGAGGGACTGTGTGAGAAGGAATTCAGTGGCATGCAGGGGCTGAGAGAGGCCTCTGGCTGACAACCAATGAGGAAATGGAGATCTCAGTCTTACAACTGTGAGGAACTGAATTCTGCCAACACGCTGAATGAGCTTGGAAGCAGTTTCTCTCCACAATGTCTAGATGAGGGTCCAGCCTGGCCAGCAACTTGCTTTAAACCTCGTGATAGCCTGAGCAAGAGAATATAGTCATGCTGATGTCTGACCTATAGAACTGTAAGCTGGTGAATGGATGTTGTTTTAAGCTGCTCAGTTTGTGGCGATTTGCTCCACAGCAATAGAAAACTATCACAAGTACCTACCCTAATGTTAAATCCAGTGAAGCAGGCTCTCAGTTGTGTAAACTCTTATAGCTACTAGTTCTATATCAAAATTATCCAGGAATCTGGCTTCTAGGTCTTAATTCTTAGAGCTTTACAATATAACTTACCATTTTACAGGAAAAAATTCCTGATTGCTATTTTCTTGAGGTATCTCCAATTACTAACTATGAAGACTTTTAGCTACTACAGTCTCCTGCAATGCCCAGAGAGGACGCATTCAAAATCAGAAGAAAGTATTTGAAACCAGGCCTTGGAATTACTTCTTTAAAAATGGAACATTGAAGTGGTTATGCAACCCACCGGCAGATAACAATTATAAAAACTGTATAAAATAAAACAGGAAATGCTGGAAAGCACCCAAAAGCAGAGAGAAGCTAAGGGAGAATTTGACCCCCAAAAAAGAAAAACAAACAAACAAACAAAACCAAAGCTGTACAACCTGAAGAACAGGAAGAGACAAGAATTTTGAGTTCAGGGCTTCCTTGGCTGATGGCATTGCTCACGGCTACGGCTCTTTCCTCTACTGTCTTAGAAGCTAATATGCTTAAAGACTAAAGGAATGAAGCTGAAAATTGTAAAGAGGAATCATGAAGGATATGAACCACAAAAAAAGAAGAAATTAGAGCATTAACTGCCCAGATCTGTGGCTGACAACTAACTAAACATGCCCTGAGGGAGCCTTTCAGGAAGCATGGCAGAAAAGGAGTCAGAGACCAGAGATAAATCTGCTCTTGAAAGATAAAGCTATGGAGAGCCAGATCTGTGAATTTCATGCTTTTCTTAATTTAATACGTCTCCCAGCTGCTCACAGCTTGGGAGGCAGAAATACTAAAGGGTCAGAGAACAGAGCCCAAGGCTAGAAATTTGGGCAATTCTTAGAAGCAAGGAAACTACAGAGGGATGAACTCTATTTCTACCCAAATCCTTGGCTGACAGCCAAATTTGATAGGCACAGGAGAGAACTAGGAGGTTCAGAATGAAAAATCAGCAATAAGAGGACATAAGAATAAGAAATAAGAGCTGTATACCAAGGGAAAGGAAATATTGGTGGTTATATTCCAGGCAACTTATGCTGCCTAATAGAACAGAAATCTAACAATTTTTATTAACACATGGCAGAATCCAAGTTGCTATCCTGTATTATCTGTGATGTCTACTTTTCAACCAAAACTACTAGATGTGTCCTATTGCTGTACAACAAATTACTTCAAAACTTAGCAGTTTAAACAACAACAAACACCTATTTTTAAAAATCACATTTATTTTCTGAGAATCAGTATCTTAAAGAGGCTTAGCTGTGTAGTTCTAGCTCAGAGTCTCATAACATTGCCATCAAAATGTTTACTGGGGCTGCAGTCATCTGAAGGCATGACTGGTGCTGCAAAAATCACTTCCAAACTCAGTTATATGGTTGTTGGCATGCATTCTCCAGTTTCATTTAATCTCCAGTTTCCTCCAATGGTGGTAGGCTTGGACAATAAAGGGCAAGTTCTGTACAAAGCCCAGACATGGAATATGCAAGATCAGAGCCTAAGTTAGTTGTGAACATCAGGGTGCCTCTGTTTACTTCTTTATAACACTTTAAATTGTGTGTTTTAATGGAGATGAAATTAATATAATATGGGAATAAAATTAGATTACTATAATACAAAAATACACATATATGTATGTATATTTATATGTATGTGTGTGTAACATTAGTTGGGATTATGGAATGTTATAATGTTAAGGGTTTTAAGGATTATTAAAAAATTTAATTAATATTGGCCAGGCACGGAGGCTCACGCCTGTAATCCCAGCACTTTGGGAGGCCGAGGCGGGTGGATTACCTGAGATCAGGAGTTTGAGACTAGCCTGACCAACATGGGGAAATCCTGTCTCTACTAAAAATACAAAAAATTTAGCTGGGCGTGGTGGTGGGTGCCTGTAATCCCAGCTACTCGGGAGGCTGTAGCAGTAGAATAGCTTGAACCCGGGAAGCGGAGGTTGCAGTGAGCTGAGATTGCGCCACTGCACTCCAGCCTGGGTGACAAAGCGAGACTCTGTCTCAAAAAAAATGATAATGATAATAATAATAATTTAATATATTGCCAACATTTAATTTAGAAAATCAGTTTGTGAGTCATATAGTTTAATTTTGTAATTTGAATTCCCATAGTTCTGGCACTTAAATTTCTTGAGTCTGAGGTTATGATCTCTGAGTTTACCTCAGAGATCAAGTTCTTAAGAAACTACCCCCAATATATTTAGAGGAGAAGAAGGCCTCTGCTATTTACTGTATGCATGTATATAACTTTGCCGAGTCCTGGTTTCCACCTCTGTAATATTAGAATAATAGTATCCACTTATAAAATTGATAGGGAGTTTTAGTGAGATATCATGGGAAATAGCTGTGCATGTGGAACATGCCAGACTGTACAAGGAAAAGGTTCAATTAAGGCTAGTCTTGTTTCTCAGCCTCCATATCCTTCTCACGGTATTTGCTTCTCAGTATAATTTTTCTTGTTTCTCTATGTTGCACAGTAATATGAAATGTTTTAGGACCATATCTGATCCTATTATTCCACATCTATCTCAATTATGCATTCTTGAGGTTACCCAGAACCCCTCTCTTAGGAAATGGTGGCATTAATGGGATATTAAATAAAGTATGAAATATTTATTCAGTGGGGGTATTTAAAGCAATTTCCAACAGAAGCAGAATGAATGTTTATTAATTAACTTCTAAAAATAGTGGCTTTTCCATGTGGTACCGCTAGTTCTCATTACTGCATTCTTGGTATTGCATACCTAATCCCTGAAAATATTGATGCGATCGGACTTAACTGTCTTTTCTTATTTCTCATCACCAATGACATTAGGTTTGATTACAATCAGGCCGGATTGTCCACTCCCAACCCCTGCGGAGATCGCTTCCATTCTGTGTCACTTCTTAATTTCCTAAATCACATTGTCTCTCGTTTCCTTACGTGAGTGAGGCACAGGCCACTAGAAGCTTAGGAAACATGTATTTTTTTCATAAAAAGACCATTCATTTTTTCCCTTTGGACAATGCTTTTTTCTTCCTCTAGCCTTTCTCATTTGCATACACATGCAACCACCAAGGTATGCACAGAGAGTCTCTGTCCTCTGATCTCCCCCCAAAAAAACGTATGAGAAGAAAACACAGGGCAAGTGCCATGAACAAATTTGAAATTTAGCAAGAAAGACAAGAAATGAAGCAGTTGGTTCCCAATAGCCCTTCCCTACCTTGATAATGTGAACGTGAATAAAAGAAATAAACATGCTATTAGAAAATGGATATGCCCTCCCTGTTACCCAGAGTCCTAAAGAAATGAAAACTCAACTTTGAGGCTGAGTTTAGATTATCTTCAAGCTTGTCTTCCTCTTGTTTCCTTTTTCCTTTGCATCTTTGAGAAGGAGTGATTTGTGGTTGTAAATAGTTGTCATAACATCAGAATGGCTCTGACAAATTTGTCTTCAAAATAGGATCCCTCTTCACCTCCCCACCTGGACTGACAGTTAAGCCTCAAGTTGCCCCTTGTATCCTGACACCTCAGCTCAAGACAACTCATTTCCTGGAGGGAATACAACCAGAAGATATTGATTCTGCCTGGGGCAGGCCAGCTGGCCCCATGATCCAGGGTGTCAACAAAATGACATTTACCCAGGGGACTTTGCCAGAGCTCATAATCTAACTTCCAGCCATGCAGGCTTAGAGAGTAGCTTTTGTCTCCACACTAGGAGTGGGTGGAATCACAATAGCCAACCTGTAGAAAATGATGGATGAGCTGCAAATGGAAAACGTTCATGGGTAAAAGGGAAACTTAATTAAAAGGGAAAGTGTTGAATTTCAAGGATGAAGAAAGAATTATAAAAGCATCACAGCATTAAAACAATAATAACAATCAACCAGCCAACAATAAAAACAAATATCTAAGAAGGAAAATAAAAATCTGGACGGCCCTCAGACTTCTTTGCAATGTTAGATGCCAGAAGATAATGAAGCAATGATTACAGTAACGAAGCAATGATTACAACAGCATGATGGAAAAGGTTATGCCTCCACCTTCTATCTTTAGCCAAACTGTCATTCATCTGAAAACAACAAAAAAGAATGCATGAATATGAAAGGACTCAGAAATAAAGCACTTAGGCATGTTTCTTAAAAACAAAAATTTTTTTTAATATTTTTTTAAGAAGGAAGAAAATAAATCAACTATTCAAAATAAATAAAAAAGAACAGCAAATCAAATATTAGGTTGTGGTGAAAGTAACTTTTGCACCAGCCTAATACATAGAGATAGAAGGAAAGAATTAATACAGATTAAAGCCCAGTTTTATAAATTAGAAAACAAAAAAGAATACAATTTATATTTAATTGCAAGAGTGTATTTTGTGAGAAAATAGATAAAATATTAAGTGATTCGAAGAGCTAAAAATGCAAAATTGACAATGCAATAAACATATTACATCAATTATATGAAAATACTTTGTACAATTCTAGGCTAATGATCTTCAAAGTATCATTTGAATATATATATATATATATTTTGTCAGATTACTAAAATTGGTAGAAATAAGATAGAAGATATCACTATATAAATATCTTTTAAAAAATCAAAATCTTGTCTGAAGAATTAGCTCCAAGAAAGGTGTTAGTTTAGATGGTTTCCTAACTGTTTTGTGGTCCTTCAGGGGATAGATAAAGGATGTTGATTATCTAACTTTACAGAGCACAGGAAAGGAAGTCCTTTGCAATAATTCTAATTATTTTTATATGGGTAGTGTAAGTCTGGTAGCCCAAACTTGAAAAAGTTGGCATACAATAAAAAACAGATATCTGACTAATTTTTTATTTATATATGAAGTAAAGATCTTTAATAATATATTAGAAAATCAAATCCAGGAGTATATTCAATGAATAATTCACCATGACTAAGTGGGATTTATTCCAGCAAAGAAGGGATGGCACAACATTGAGAAATCTATTAATATAATTCATGATATTAAGAGGTTAAAGAGGAAAACATTATTTCACAGTTGTCAAATATGTATTTGATAAAATTTAAGATTATGCTTTAAAAAACAAGATCTCAGTTCCTTGGAATTAGATATATCATTCCTCAACACAAGGGGCATGGTGGGGGATCCATCTCCAGCCAACGTCAGTTCCTGGCTCGCCAAAGATACACTGGATTAGATGAGGTCAGATGAAATAAAACAATAATACCTACTGTCATCCCTACTATGTAAGATGATTTTGGAAGTATTAGTTTATAAAAGTAGAGATTGAAAAATAACAAACAAAAGAGACATGATAATTGGAAAAGAAGAAGTAAGTTTATTATTTACAGGAGATATAATGAGTAACTGTCTGGGAAACCTAACACAATCACCTGAAATCAGCTATTGGAAAACCTAAGGGAAGTTCAAAAACGTTTCAATGATTGTTTTACTGTATAGCAATAATCATTAACTAGAGAATAAATTGGAAAACAAACCTCATTTAGAGTAGTACCCAAAAGAAGGAATTACTGGGAAAAAGCTTACCACATCCTAAAGCCATAGTGTGATTCCACTATGTGGTTGGGTTCAGCTTTGGTAAAGGACAGACTGGTTACAACTTCAGATCTTCCTTTTATTAGTAGTGTGGCCAGTTAACTAACCCAAACTTGCATTCTCCTCTGTAAAACCAAGAGAATAATGTCTCACGAGAGTTTTATGAAGATCAAATGAGAAAATGTACCCAAAATTCTCAATGAAATGCTAGCACATAAGATTATTATTGAGAAAATCCCAAAACTCTCCTGGCACTTGGTAACTAAATTGATCTCAAGAAAAGCTGATTATCTGCACAAATGTGTATGCATAAAGAATATGTACAAGTATGACCTCTGTGGGTTTTTTGTACAGAAAAATTAGAAACAATTATATGTCAACATAGGTGATTGACGGAATACATTTTATACATCTAAAACGTGTGATATTTGTGTTGATTTAAAAATACAATATGGCAGTATATTTATTGACCAGTAAAGATTGTCATAATACATCCAGTGAAAAGATGAGCAAAAATAGAATTTATAGTCCTATTTTGGTAAAAATTCTGTATATAATCATATGTATTTAACTGAAAAATAAAAAGGACTAAGATATATGCTAAAATATTAGTAATGATTTGCTATGGCTTATCAGATTTCTTTCCACTGATGTTTTGTTTAGAAAATTGGGGTTTTCTAACAATTCTGTAACAAATATTAATTTCTTACATTAACAAAAAAAGTAAGAAACAGGTTGCTTGAGGTCCTCTCTTGCACACTGAAATCACTTGTCAAATCCTAGAGGCCAAGACCCCCTCTCTCCTGATAGAGTTTAGGTGGACAGAGCTTAGGTTGTCCACACTTATCTCTCAGTCTTTTTTTTTCTTCCAATCTATGTTCTCTGTTGGATGAAACCCTACCACCATATGACTGACATGTTTCTTTATATATGTCAATATCTTTGGTCAAGAATTGCTTTGACTTGGGAACCGCTCTGTCTGTGATGTGATTTGTACACCTAAGCTCTCACCATTCATTCAACAAATGTTGACCCAGCATCCAGACATTTGGCTAGGTACTCAATATGAGGTGTTTGCTGGGGGGCCTAGGGAGACCAATAGAGAGCACGGCTCTTTCCTGAGTAGGTTCTGAACCAACGGAGAAGACAAAAGAGAGGGCAGATGGAGAAACAAAACGTGTGTGTTAGTTTCTTACATGAGGAGCAGCTCAGCTAAGGGAAGTTGGGGTCTGAAGAGCGATCTTGCTCTCCTATGTCATCGTCATTGCCTCTCACGTCCCAGTGGAGTGGGAAAGGGGATCCACATCTCCTGCGCAAGAGTGTGGCTCTGGTAGTGCCTCTTGCTTGAGAATCATGGATAAAATGCTCTCTCTGGATAACCTTTTCTGCCTCTCCTAAAGAAGATTGAGGAAACCGAGTGGAAAAAAATTAGGAGGATGATGCTAAAACTCTTTTCTCCCTGTGAAAGGAAAAGGCCAGGGCTACGGATGTCCTCTGTGTGGATGTGACTGCAGTCTCAAAGGAAATCTGCTCCTAGATTCAAAGACATTCCCCCACTCCTAATTACTACACTTTTCAATATCTTTTGGGACGCCTGTGGGCAGCACTGATTTTACCCCTGGATGATGCTGAAATGGGGGAGAAGAGTATATTAATTAAATTAAATTTGAGGCTACTCAATAAGGTTTGGCTGTGTCCCTACCAAAATCGCATCTTGAATTGTAGCTCCATAATTCCCATGTGTCATGGGAGAGATCCCATGGGAGGTAATTGAATCATGGGGGTGAATTTTTCTTGTGCTTTTCTTACGATAGTGAATGTCTCATGAGAACTGATGGTTTTATAAAGGGGAGTTCCCCTGCACATGCTCTCTTGCTTGCCACCATGTAAGATGCACCTTTGCTCCTCCTTTGTCTTCTGCCATGATGGTGAGGCCTCCCTAGCCATGTGGAACTGTGAGTCCATTAAACCTGTTTTCTTTGTAAATTACTCAGTCTCAGGTATGTCTTTATTAGCAGCATGAGAACTGACTAATACACTACTCTATCCCAAAAGCTGAAAATTCATTCTTAGTTGCACTTACCTTTCCAAATTATGTCTAGCCATGTTTTCCAATATAGCCCACCAGAGATAATACAATAAAATTAAATGACAACATTGAGATATTCTCAATAATAAAATGTCAAAAACATGGAGATACATCAAATTGAGTATAAACATCCTCTTATTATCAAATTCCTGAGGAGAAGTTAGTCCAAAAATTACACTGTTTTGCAAGTTCAGGTGCAAAAGAATTAGTCAGAAATTAAATTTGCTTGCTCTTGTGAATTAAAGGCCTAATGGAATCAAAGTTCTCTCCCGTTTCTTATTTTGTTCATTTTTAGCCAAAGGTGGTCTTTTAGGTGGAACTGAGGTTCTTTCAGTAGCTTTCTTTGGGAGTGATAATGATCTCTTCAGGACCTCAGAAGATGAATTACTCTAATGCCAATCTCCAATGAGCTTCACCTTTAAGACTTCAAATGTATTAGGGCATTAATGTTTCCTAGTATTGACCCCCATCCCCACCACATTTAGAAAGCAAGCCAATCCCCAGCCCTGACAGCAATTGTTTCAGGCAAAGCTTTGTTTTCAGAACACAGTGCTGGATGCTGCCTGAGTCCAGGTGGGGACCCAGTGATTACTAAGGAGGGCGACCAGAAGTGCCAGTTTCCTTGGGACAGTCCCATTGTATGCATCTTCTCCCAAAGTAATGATTGATAGCAGCCATTTTTACTCTCAAAATTGCGCTGTTTGGAAAACAAATTTTATGGTCATTCTACGATGAAAGAAATCTAGATTTCAGCTTTGTCAGGAAGGCACTCACTTACTCCGGTTTTTTTGGAGTCTACCACCTGTGGATTAAGCTCAATTGGAAGAAAATCTTCAAGTAGGAGGTTAATTTGGGTAATATGGTCCTATCATATCCTAGGGTAGGGGGGAATCTAGCTACTTATACTGTGTCCTCTCCCAGAGAGTGAATTTGATACACTGTTTCCTTCTCATTAGGTTTAGAAATTTGTGGTGGTGGTAAATCCAATCACTGGGTCTTACTTGAGGTTCCTTTCTTTCCCTTCAAATATTATTTTCACTTCTAAATATTCTTTCCCCGTTGCCCTGAGTACAAGCATTTAGTATTAACAGTATAAATTTAGGCATTACCTTTGTAATGTCTGTAAAGCAGAACATGACTTATTTGCATTTTAAGAGCAGCAAATATTGTTGGCTCATAATGTCTATCTGCATGACCTGTACTGGGAAAGATTATTCTCCATTGCTGACTTTTTTGTTTTGTTTTGCAGGGTCGATAAGATTTATTTTGTTTTAATTTTAATTTCAATAGTTTTTGGGGGAACAGGTGGTGTTTTGTTACACGGATAAGTTCTTTAGTGGTGATTTCTTGGATTTTGGTGCAACTGTCACCTGAGCATTGTACACTGACTTTAATGTGTAGTCTTTTATCCCTCATTGGCCTCCGACACTTCCCCCCAAGTCCCCAGAGTCCATTATATCATTCTTATGCTTTGCATCCTCATAGCTTAGCTCCCACTTATAAGTGAGAACATACAATGTTTGGTTTTCCATTCCTGAGTGACTTCACTTAGAATAATAGTCTACAACTCCATCCAGGTTGCTATGAATGCCATTATTTCATTCCTTTTTATGGCTGAGTAGTATTCCTTGGTGTATGTGTGTGCATGTATATATATATATATACATATGTATATAAAATAAAATATAAAAATATATATATATCTCATTTTTTTCTTTTTTTTTCCTTCAACTTTTATTTAAGATTTGGGGTATATGTGCAGGATGTGCAGGTTTGTTACATAAGTAAATGTGTGCGTTTGCTGCACAGATCTATCCATCACCTAGGAATTAAGCCCAGCATTCATTATCTATTCTTCCTGGTGCTCTCCCTCCCTCCGTACCCCTCAATGGGCCCCAGTGTGTGTTGTTCCCCTCCCTGTGTCCATGTGTTCTCATTGTTCAGCTTGTGTTTAAAAAAGATAACATGTGGTGTTTGGTTGTCTGTTCCTGTACTAATCTGCTGAGGATAACGACTTCCAGCTCCATCCATGTCCCTGCAAAGGAAATAATCTCATTTTGTTTTTTTTTTGTTTTTTGTTGTTGTTTGTTGTTGTTGTTGTTGTTTTTTTTCATGGCAGCACAGTATCCCTTGGTGTATATGTACCATATTTTCTTTATCCAGTTTATCACTGGTGGGCATTTTGCTTGATTCCATTTCTTTGCTGTTGTGAATAGTGCTGCAACAAACATATGCATGCGTGTATCTTTATAATAGAATGTTTGATATTCCTTTGGGTATATACTCAGTAATGGGATTGCTGGGTCAAATGGTATTTCTGCCTCTAGGTCTTTGACGAA
Source organism: Homo sapiens (assembly GCF_000001405.40). Classification (NCBI taxonomy): domain Eukaryota; kingdom Metazoa; phylum Chordata; class Mammalia; order Primates; family Hominidae; genus Homo; species Homo sapiens. The sequence continues at coordinate 114,228,867 of NC_000002.12, forward strand.
TTGCAACACTATCTTCCGTAATGGTTGAACTAATTTACATTCCCATCAACAGGGTAGTAAAAGTGTTCGTATTTCTCCACAACCTCGCCAGCATCAGTTGTTTTTTGACTTTTTAATAATCACCATTCTGACTGGCATGAGATGGTATGGTATGTTATTGTGGTTTTGATTTGCATTTCTCTAATGATCAGTGATGTTGAGCTTTCTTTCATATGTTTGTTGGCTGCATGTTATGTCTTCTTTTGAGAAGTGTCTGTTCATGTCCTTTGCCCACTTTGTAATGGGGTCGTTTGTTTCTTTCTTGTAAGTTTGTTTAAGTTTTTTGTTTCTTGTAAATTTGCTTTTGACTCTGGATATTAGACCTTAATCAAATGGATAGATTGCAAAATTTTTTTCCCATTCTGTAGGTTGTCTGTTCACTGTGATGACAGTTTCTTTTGCTGTGCAGAAGCTCTTTAGTTTTATTAGATCCCGTTTGTCGATTTTTGCTTTTGTTGCTATTGCTTTTGGCATTTTCGTCATGAAATGTTTGCCTGTGCCTATGTCCTGAATGATATTGCCTAGATTTTCTTCTGGGGTTTTTATAGTTTTGAGTTTTACATGTAAGTCTTTAATCCATCTTGAATTAATTTTTGTGTAAGGTGTAAGGAAGTGGTCCAGTTTTCATTGTTCTGCATACGGCTAGCCAGTTCACCATTTATTAAATAAGGAATCATTTCCCCATTGCTTGTTTTTGTCATTTTTGTGGAAGATCAGATGGTGGTAGGTGTGCAGTCTTATTTCTGTGTTCTCTCTTCTGTTCTGTTGGTCTATATACCACATTTTCTTTATCCACTCATTGGTTGATAGGCATTTAGCCTGGTTTCATATTTTTGGAATTACGAATTGTGCTGCTATAAATAGACGTGTGCAAGTGTCTTTTTCTTTTCTTTTCTTCTTTACTTTTCCTTTCTTTTCTCCTCCTCTCCTCTCCTCTCCTCTTTCTTTTCTTTGACAGAGTTTCACTCTTCTTGCCCAGGCTGGAGTGCAATGGCGCATCTTGACTCACTGCAGCTGCTGCCTCCCAGGTTCAAGTGATTCTCCTGACTCAGCCTCGTGAGTAGCTGGGATTACAGGCATGTGCCACCACGCCTGGCTATTTTTTTTTGTATTTTTAGTAGTGACGGGGTTTCTCCATGTTGGTCAGTTTGGTCTCCAACTCCCTACCTCAGGTGATCCACCTGCCTCGGCCTCCCAAAGTGCTGGAATTACAGGTGTGAGCCACCGCGCCCAGCCACAAGTGTCTTTCTCATACAATGACTTCCTCTGTGTAGATACCCAGTAGTAGGATTGCTGGATTAAATGGTAGTTCTGCCTTTAGATCTTTGAGGAAGCTCCATACTGTTTTCCACAGTGGTTGTACTAGTTTACATTCTCACCAGCAGTGTAAAAGTGTTCCCTTTTCACCATGTCCATACAAACATCTATTATTTCTTGATTTTTAAATTATGGCCATCTTTGCAGGAGTAAGGAGGTAATTAGTGATGTTGAGCATTTGTCCATATGTTTGTTGGCCATTTGTATATCTTCTTTTGAGAACTGTCTATTCATGTCCTTAGCCCACTTTTTTTATGGAATTGTTTGTTGTTTCCTTGCTGATTTGTTTGAGTTCCTTGTACATTCTGGATATTAGTCCTTTGTTGGGCGCATAGTTTGTGAGTACTTTTTTCCCAGTCTGTGGGTTGTCTGTTTACTCTGCTGATTTTTTCTTTTGCTGTGCAGAAGCTTTTTATTTTAATTAAGTCCCATCTATTTATCTTTGTTTTTGTTGCATTTGCCTTGGGGTTTTTGGTCATGAACTCTTTGCCTAAGTCAATGTCTAGAAGAGTTTCTCCAATGTTATCTTCTAGAATTTATATGGTTTCACATGTCCTTCAATAGCTCAGTTGGTAGAGTGGAGAACTATAGGTGTGTGGAGCTAATTTGTATGGTTTCAGGTCTTAAATTTAAATCTCAGATCCACGTTGAGTTAAATTTTGTACAAGATGAGAGTTGAGGATCCAGTTTCATTCTTCTATATGTGACTTGCCAATTATTTCAGCACCATTTGTTGAATAGGGTGTCCTTTGCCCACTTTATGTTTTTGTTTGCTTTGTTGAAGATCAGTTGGCTGTAAGTATTTGGCTTAATTTCTGGGTTTTTTACTGTGTTCCATTATTTTACATGCCCACATTTATAAAAGTACCACGCTGTTTTGGTACCTTTGACCTTATAGTATAGTTTGAAGTCAGGTAATGAGATGCCTCCAGGTTTGTTCTTTTTGCTTACTCTTGCTTTGGCTATGCGGGCTCTTTTTTGGTTTCATATGACTATTAGTATTGTTTTTTTCTAGTTCTGTGAAAAATGATGATGATGTTTTGATGGGAATTGCACTGAATTTATAGATTGCTTTTGGCAGTGTGAATGAAAATATCTTGGGCCCCCCATATCACTAAGCTAAAAGGAAAACTCAAGTTGAAAACTGTGCAGGGTAAAACCTGCCTCTCCATTCTATTCGAAGTTGTCTCTCTGCTTACTGAGATAGATGCATGTTCTAATTACCTCCTTTGGAAAGGCTTATCAGAAACTCAAAAGAATGCAACCAGTTTTCTCTCACCTGCTTGTGACCTGGAAGTCCCCTAACTGCTTCGAGTTGTCCCCACCTTTCTGGGTGGAACCAACATCCTTCTTACATGTATTGATTGATGTCTCATGTCTATCTAAAATGTATAAAACCAAGCTGGGCCCTGACCACCTTGGGCACATGTTATCAGGACTTCCTGAGGCTGTGTGTCACAGGCATGTGTCCTCAACCTTGGCAAAATAAACTTTCTAAATTAACTGAGACCTGTCTCAGATTTTCTGGGTTTACAGCAGTATGGTCATTTTCACAGTATTGATTCTACCCATCCACGAATATGGGATGTGTTTCCATTTGTTTGTGTTGTCTATGATTTCTTTCAGCAGTGTTTTGTAGTTTTCCTTGTAAAGGTCTTTTACCTCCTTGGTTAGGTATATTCCTAAGTATTTTATTTTTTTGCAGCTATTGTAAAAGAGGTTGAGTTCTTGATTTGGTTCTCAGCTTGGTCACTGCTGGTGTATAGTAGTGCTACTGATTTTGTATCCTGAAACTTTACCAGATTCATTTATCAGTTCTAGTAGCTGTTTGGATGAGTCTTTAGGGTTTTCTAGGTATACAATCATATCACTTGCAAACAGCTACAGTTTGACTTCCTCTTTTCTGATTTGAATGCCCTTTATTTCTTTCTCTTGTCTGTTTGGTCTTGCTAGGACTTTCAATACCACATTGAATAGAAGTGGTGAAAGTAGAATCCTTGTCTTGTTCCAGTTCTCAGGGGGAATGCTTTCAACCTTTCCTCATTCAGCATAATGGTGACTGTGGGTTTGTCATAGATGGCTTTTATTACCTTGAGGTACGTCCCTTCTATGCCAAATTTGCTGAGGGTTTTCATCATAAAGGGATACAGAATTTTGCCAAATGCTTTTTCTGCATCTACTGAGATGATCACACAAATTTTTTAAATTATGTTTACATGATGTATTACATTTATTGACTTGCATATGTTAAACCATTTCCGTATCCCTCACATGAAACCTACTTGATCATGGTGTATTATCTTTATGATATGCTGCTGAATTTGGTTAGCTAGTATTTTGTTGAGGATTTTTGCATCTATGTTCATCAGGGATATTGGTCTGTAGTTTTCCTTTTTTTGTTATGTCCTTTCCTGGTTTTGGTATTAGGGTAATACTGGTTTCATAGAGTGATTTGGGAAGAACTCCCTCTTTCTCTAGCTTCTGGAATAGCTTCAGTAGGATTACTACCAATTCTTCTTTGAATGTCTGATAGAATTCAGCTGTGAATCCATCTGGTCCTTTTTTTTCTTGGCAATTTTTAAATTACTGTTTCACTCTCGTTACTTATTATTATTATATTTTGCATTTCTCTAAGTCTGTCTTTCATTTCCAGAAGTTGTAATTGTCTTTTCTTTTTTTTTTTTTTTTGAGACGGAGTTTCGCTCTGTCGCCCAGGCTGGAGTGCAGTGGCGCGATCTCGACTCACTGCAACCTCCGCCTCCCGGGTTCACGCCATTCTCCTGCCTCAGCCTCCCGTGTAGCTGGGACTACAGGCGCGTGCCACCACGCCCGGCTAATTTTTTTTTTTTGTATTTTTAGTACAGATGGGGTTTCACCGTGTTAGCCAGGATGGTCTTGATCTCCTGACCTCGTGATCCACCCGTCTCGGCCTCCCAAAGTGCTGGGATTACAGGCGTGAGCCACCACGCCCGACCGTCTTTTCTTTATAATATCTGTTTCTCTGGAGACTTTTTCATACATACCCTGTATTGTTGCTTTTTTAAAAATTTCTTTATGTTTGTTTTCACCTCTCTCAGGTACCTCCTTGAGTAGCTTAATAATCAACCTTCTGAATTCTTTATCTGACAAATCAGAGATTTCTTCTTGGTTTGAATCCATTGCTGGAGAGCTAGTTGATCTTTTGCAGGTGTTATAGAACCTTGTTTTGTCATATTACCAGAATTACTTTTCTGGTTCCTTATCATTTGGTTAGACTGTTTCAGTGGTAAGATCTGGAACTCAAAGGCTGCTGTCCAGATTCTTTTGTCCCATGAGGTGATGCCTTGATGTGGTGCTCTCTCCTTTCCCCTAGAGATGGGGTTTCCTAAGAGCTGAACTGCAGTGATCGTTATTGCCCTTCTGGGTGTAACCACCCAGTGGGGCTATCAGGCCCTGGGCTGGTGCTGGAGGATGTCTGCAAAGTGTCCTGTTATGTGATCTGTCTTCAGGTCCCCGAGCTATGGATATTAGCACCTGCTCCAGTGGAGGTGGCAGAGGAGTGAAGTGGACTCTGTGGGAGTCCTTGGTTGTAGTTTTGTTTAGTGCACTGGTTTTCTTGAATGCTGATTATTCTAGCAGTGAAGTTGTCACATGGACAAGATTCAGGACCTCTGGTTAGCCAGGATGTTGCAGATGGTGGAATTAGCTGTTTGTTTTCTCCTTATTTGGAGCAGGGTTTTTCTGTTATGAGTTGCTGTAATGGCTTGACTTGGTTGGCCTCCAGCCAGGAGGTGGCACTTTCAAGAGAATACCAGCTGTAGTCGTAGAAGGGGGATATAAGCTTACCCTATGTTGGCCAGGATAAGTACCCAGGTTTCTCAGGCGATGATAGGTGGAGCCATAGAGCTCCCAAGAGTTTATGTATTTTGTCTTTGGCTACCGGGGCAGGTAGACAAAAACCATGAGGTTGGGGCAGGGTTAAGCGTGTCTGAGCTCAGACTCTCCTTGGGTGGGGCTTGCTGCAGCCACTATGGAGGATGATGGGGTGGTTCTCAGGCCAAGGGAGTGTTGTTCCCAGGGGGATTATGGCTACCTCTGCTGCATCATATAGGTTGTCAGGGAAGTGAGGGAGAGCTGGCAGTGACAGGTCTCACTTGGCTCCCACACAGTCAGCAAGGCTGGTCTCACTCCTGCCATGCCCCACCAACAGCACCAAGTTAATAACCAGGCAGCTGGTGAGCAGGGCTGAGATCTTGCCCCAGGCTGTAAGCCTTCCCACTCAGAAAGCAAGCCGGGTTCACAGGCCTTGCCCTTCCCCACCTGCCCACATCATTGGCAGGGGCTTCTGTGTTCATATCTGAACTTCTCATTCATCCCTCCAGATTCTGCTCAGGAAAATTAGTGCTCAGTCTAAATTATTACAAAGTTCATCTAGGAGCTTCCTTCACTCTGTGGCCCATCCCCAATTCTGACTACCTTCCCTTCCCCAAGAACCCCTGTGAGAGAAAGCCAGGAATGGCTTCCCTGGGATGGAGCTGGGGACTGGGAGTGCCTACAGGGTTCTTCCTGCTGATTCTTCTACTTTTATATTTTGCTTGACTCCCTAAATCCACTTCAGCTCTAGATAAGCTTAATCCTTCTCCTGTGATCTGGAGTTTCAGGTCCCCAATGGAGATATGTGCTCAGAGGCAGACTTTTCCCCCATCTCACACTTCAGGAACTCAGTTTTTCAGTTGTCTTGTGGAGTTTGCAGCAGCAAGCTGCTTCTTTCAAAGGGTCTGTGAATTCTTTTGGCTTTTCTAATATGTTCTCATGGTGGTTCTTGGAGCAAAAGTTCACAATGTAAGTTTCCGAACACTGTTCTGTCCATCCAAGTGGGAGCTGCATGTTAGTCCTGTCTCCTATCTGCCATTTTACTTGATCCATTGCTGACTTTTTGTTGTACATGTGACTGTGTAGGAAAATTTGGGCCAGTGTAGCTCAGGAAAAGCTGTAGCAGCTACACCCTGAGCTCATGGAACTTGCTAAAGGTCTAGCACTCAGCCATATTTTGCTAGACCCACAAGGCCAGCGTCTGTGGAGATTGTCTTTTGAGTCACTGCTTGGATAAGCACCTCTCTACCCTCACCTGCCTGGTTTAAAGTCTTGCTTTTATAGCTATGCCTTTCCCAAAACAGTTCTCATCTGTGGACCAACCCACCTTAAGCTTCAGACACCCAGTAAGGTGGAAAGGCCAAGGTCCCTGGCTCCCAGCTCCAGCAGAGGTGACACAGTAAGAAGTCAAATGCTTAATGGTGTGCTGGTAAATACTTAAAAACCAGCTCTCTATGGTAGGGACAGGAACGGGAGTCCCCAAACCTGATTTATAGTGTTTGCCAATTTCTGTGGTTGATTTTAGTTCATGCTTTTTGTGTCCTGTCTGATAAATTTTTGCCTAATCCAAGGTAACAAATACTTCTATATTTTATTCTAATTTTTTTTTTTAGTTTTCAATGTTCAGTTATTCCAGCACCATTTGTTAAAAAGAATATCTTTTCTCCATTGACCTGCTGTTTACTTTTATCAAAAACCAATCACCCATATATGCATGGGCCGACTTCTGTGAATGCTATTTTGTTACATTGATCTCTATGTCTACCTTCATGCCAACACCACACTCATGATTACTGTAGCTATATAGTAAACATTTGAAACCAACTAGTAAGAATTCTCCAAATTTGCTTTTTTCTGTCCAAATTGTTTAGACACTTGTAGGTCTTTTGTTTTTCTACATTATTTTATAATCTACGTGTGTTCATTCCTTTTTCTGCTCATTTCTCAACATCCCAGGAATTTGGAGTTGAAACTCATCTTCTCCTAAAATGCCAGACAAGGCCTGGCCTTGTGATTTGTTGCCTGGAGGAGAGTAATTGTGAACTCCCAACTAACGTTGGGAGCAGTATCCCAAGAAAGAGAGAGAGGAAGGGCTGGTTTTAAGTCATGTGGACTTCTAGATCAATTTCTAGAGTTAGGTAGATTTACACAATGCACTGGATCAGGCAGGCCTTCCTCCACTTCCAGAGGACAGAGGAATTCATCTTGTTCCAAAGAGACAGAGAGAGGAAGGGCCTCAGTTCTGCATGCTCTTTTACCATCTTCCCTCAAACTCACTAACCACTTGTCTCCTGAGGGGGTGAGGAATGGGTGAGAACAAGAAAGTATAATAATGTCACTGCCATGACATGGAAGAGCATGTCAGGAGTGGGGAAGCTGCATTCTCTCCACCAGCACTGACTCTACCCATTAGCATTGAGTGGTCAGCCTTATTTCCCATTTCCATGTGCACAGGGAAACCTAGCTAGGTACTGTCACTCACCTAGCTAGGTTCCCCCGAGCACATGGAAATGGGAAATAAGGCTGCTCTGTAGAAAATTTTATGTGATCTAGATTCAGCTGACTTCATAAGTCAATGCCACAGAAAAGGAGTTGCATAATTTTTTAAGGAGTCTTTTTTTTTTTTAAATAAAGCCTAGCTATAAAATGGCAATAAAATGTCAGGATTAATTTTTTGAACATATACACCAACTTCTATTTCTGAAAGAGTAGTCATGGTGGGTTCATCCTCTTATCCCAAATAAGTTTTGTTTCTTGAAGCACATCTTTTCCCTGAGAATATCTCCCCCAGTTATTTCTGGCCTCTGGTGGGTGCCTGACATGTCTCTGCTCCAGCTCCATTGGTGCTTTACCATTTCTCTGTGAAGATGCCAAACCTGGGTGAAGGGCTCTGTCCTTGGGTGCCCCACAGCTGATCTTCCTGGTACAGGATTCCCCATAGCATAGGGACAGTGTCTACCTTGAACTTTTTCTTCTTGGGCCCCGAGGCAACCTTTCTCTTATGGGGTTCCCAAAGATTTTGTTTGTTTAAGTCAGCTCTTTCAATTTCAGAGTTACCTCTGTTTTACACAAGCTCTCCACACACTTTTCTCTTCTCTCAATACAACTCAGCTCTCCTCAACAAAATCCCTAATTGTCATGGACAGGTTCTCTCCAAATAGAGCCTGCAGGTTCACCGGCACATTAGTTTCTAAAAATACTTTCTCTTTATGCTTGGATGAGACACTCTGCTATAATTTCCCATCTTTTCCTACTCTCAAAATAGAAAACAACTAATGAACTATAAATGTGTTGATTTGTTGACAATTTATTTTTCTATGGCAGTGTACTCTCACTAAGCATGGTACCTCAACAAGACATTTGCATTTTATGCCTCATCGCAAATTGAAATAAAAGATCGTTTCTTGTTCTTATGTCTTTAAGTGGCCTATGGGTACAGCTGTCTGCCAAAAAACCCTGGAAAAGGCTCATTCTCTGCTGATGTAGGTTTTGGCTTCAACTTCTTTCTGCAACATGAGAAATTTTGGGGGCCTCAGACATAGGAAAGAAAAAGAATTAATATTTGGGAGATATTTACTGGAGATTGAGAAATTACAGCCTATTATTTAGTGCTTACCAAGTGCCAGGCACTGAGTTAAGTGCTTTATAATCAATTTCTCCTTTCCTGCTTCATTTTTTCTTCATAGAACCTATCGCTCTCTCAAGTTATACTACATATATTTATGTATTTATTCATTCTTTTTTTTGTTGTCTGTCTTCCCCTACAAGAGTATAAGCTCCATGAGGACAGGGATTGTTGTCTTTTTAATTATCTGCTATATTCCTAGTTCCTAGCTCAAGGGAGTCGCTCGAGATATTTGTTGCATTAGTAAATCTCTTATCCCCTACAGCAAGCTGTATGATTATTTTCATGTATGAGAAAATAAGGGCTTAAACAGGTTTTGTAACTTTTCCAAGGCCGTCAATTTGGTAAGTGGTAGAACCAAGAATCAAAGCCAGGATTCAACTCATGAGTCCATAGTTGTACCATTTATCTAAATTACCTCCCATCTCTTTCAATCCTGACAGCAATACGCTCTAAAGTAGATACCACTCTTATTTTAATGAGAAAATGGAAGCCCAGAGAGGTCAAGTAAACTGGTTCAGGTCACACAGCTGCTACATAGATAACAGAAGTCCCAAACTCATATTTTTTGACTCCAAAGTCCATGTACTTTTCTATATACCATAGTGTATTGGTTGAGAGGCATTAAAAATTACTTGGATTATGTATTTCAGGCTCAAGTTATGATGATGTTGAGAGTAACAAACATTCATATATGGCAGAAAACACAGGCAAAACATAGTTTAAATCAAATATGTGAGGTCCTCATGTTTCATGACTCAGAATCTGGATTTTCTGGGGTTCACCTCTTGCCGTGTGGTGTCTCGGGTAATAAGGAGCCTGTAAGCCCTCCTTGCCTGCTCACTGCCCCTTGCAGCAGAAATATATCCTCCCATCCCACTACAGTTAGTGCCACCAAAGACAGATTTGTTTGCTGTCTATTTACCACATTGACAAATCATTGATCAGAGTCCAGCTGGGAAGACTGTACACTAACCAGACAGAGCCACGAGGGTGCCTTAAAAATGATGAGGGAAGTCACTGGAAGCCCTATTAGTACCCAGAAGGTACTAAGGATGAGTGCTCTGTATTCTGGCTTTGTACTCTCCTAAGCATGGAAGATAAATATCAAGTGCTGCTAAAATCCACTTGTCCAGATTCCAGCAGACACAAGCTCTTTAGGGAATATGGTGCTTGAGAAGTTAATAATATTTAGAAATCCCTGGGCCTGTCAGAATAATGAATGCAGCTAATAAACATTCTAATTAGTTAACCTGGAGAAAAATCTTTGCCACTGTAGAGTGGACATTTTCATATGATCCTGAATGTAAACATTACCTTATCATAGACGGCTGTTTAAATGTTACTCTATATCTTTTCTTGGGTTTAGACACTGTTATTGACTATGCAAAAAGCAGCAAAAAAGAACTTAATAAAAAGTGACAGCAGGCAGCTCTCCCTGCCGGCAGAGATTAAGTGCTTAGCTCTTGGCATTTCAATTACCTAAAACTAATGGAATAAATATTTTACAATATTATTGCCTTTTGGGGGGTAAAGCACTCAAAGGAAAAAATATACATGAAATGGGATTCTGTTCTTTTCTTAATGAAATAATTGAAAATGGATTTAGTATCTGAGTGTGATCATTGCAAAAATAAAGATGCTAGAATAGTATCAGTGTGAAGAGATCAGGACATAATTTCTTGTACACTTGGCCTTCACTGCTGTCATTTTGCCTCTAGCATAATTTTAAAATAATGCCCTCTAACTATATCCATAAAACCATTTTAGCTGAGCTCAGATGATTTTACGATGGCATAAATTTATTAGGGTAATTTTTTTTTAAAGATGAAGCTAGTCAAGAATTTCCATTCCTAGAGAATATTGTATTCTGGACATCACGGGGTTGGGGTGTTATTAAGTTTACTTTTTGAATTGGCTCTCAGGGATGCAAGGAAACACAGGCAAGCAACGGCTGCCTGGAGAATGTGTTTTTTCAATGAAATGATACTTCTCTATTCCTAGTACAGAGGCTTCCATGCAAAGATAATAATGGCTTTTGTCCATTTATAGAAAATAGTAGGACCCAAAGATAAATTAAATACTGCTAATTTCAGTGTGTGAGGTCTTTGGATATTGGGAAATGGTCTATTTTCCCTTTAGGTACGTCATCATTTTCACTAAAGTTAATAAAAATATCAAACATGAATCTGCAAATGGCTTGCATACTCTATAATGTTACATTATGTCTGATGGGGCCCATTAGTTTATAGTGATTGTTTATAGAATTTTCAATGCTGTGTGTATTTGTTTGTGTAAGTAGAGAAGTTTTATAATGAAACTAAAAATTCAAAAATATCCATTATGTTTTAAAAGATCTTATTCCCTGCTCAAATGATTTGCCCTATGCACATGATATTCTCAAGAGACATCCCTTTAGAGACATGAATTTTACATGTCTTTTATAATTGTTATATCGGTGATAATAGCAGATAATTTATTCAGTGAAATGCATCTATATATGTGGCAAAATACTCATCACTTCAAAAGAAGGCATTTGCTATTTTATCTGTTTTTTTAAATGTGATGATTTATGTATACTGGCAAATATGCATGGAATGAGAACTATCTTTAATATTAATTATCTGAAAAGATTGCTTGAGCTTTTAGAAAAAATATATACTGGAAATAAAAAGAGTTTTTTAGACATGGAAAGGCTGAGCAAAAATATTCTCACCATAGGATTTATTAAATTTTGCAAAATAATATAAATTAATATTATGTAATTTTAATCTATAGATTAAAAATGATCAATATATGGCTCTTGATTGAGGAATCACCTCAAATAACTTGCCTAGAATCAGTGCCAGAATCCAGGTCTTAATAACCTAGAAATCTAATTCATTAGCATGCCTATTGAATTAGATTCCCATGTCCATCCACTTTTCCATGACTCCAGTTCCATCAGTCTAGTTCAAAATTCTATTATTTTTCTTCTAAGTCACTGTAAGAAATGATCTTAGCTATTGCTCTTCTAGAATCATTTCTCAACACATTTCTCAATAATACTTTAAGTGGTCAATTAAAGATGGAAATGAATCCTGTAATTCTCTGGCTCAGACTTTCCAGTGGCTTCCTATTACTTCAAAAATTAAATCCAACCTCTTAGCCTATAGGGTCCTTCCTGCTATTTCTGCCACCTCATGCCCTAGCACTCTCCACCTCATTCTTTTGAACCATTATCCAGCCACCTTGCCCCACCCACCTGGAATGTCCTGCTTTAGACATTGGATCCCCAAGCCCCCTTAGTTCTCTACATCCTCAGTCCAAGCCCCATCTCCTCTGGAGGCCTTCCCCAACACAGACATAGGCACATTTCCTCCTAAAACTTTTCAATACCTGATGCTTTATTTGTTGATTTATTGTCACACTTCTACTATACGTTAAGTTCTGCAGTGCAAGCACCTCACCTGTTTTATTCACAACTCTGCATCCAGTTCTTAGAACTGTACCTAACACTCTAATGGTTCTCAGTGTTTGTTTATTCATTTATTTATTGATTTAAAAATGAAGTTTTTTTCTGCTGTTTGATGACAGTGCAACCTATTCTTATCTCAAATAATTAAAATGTACTCTCTTTTTTGATGTTTGGATCTGAGCACTAATTTTCATCCAATTTAGAGTGGCTAATTGCAAAATAAGAGAGGATGATGTGATAAGTTTTTGTGGTATTTAAGATGAATAACACTTGTTTATTTTTAGTGACATGATGAACAAAGAATTATTCAAGATGTGCCCTAGATTTCCGCTGGTAGCCATTACCCTATGAACAGGGTACCCCGATGTGTTTTATTTAAAAGCTTCACATTGGACCTCATGATCACGCACTAGATTCATGGTTTATTAACCCACATTAACTGACCGACTGATAAGTTAAACATTGTGGAAAGGATTCACTCCCAGCATCTCCCCAAGGTGCAGCCATATATGCTGGATACAGATACCCCTTGTTTTTCTTGTTTATATTTATAACCCAGGTACTTAGGCACTGAGATTTCTGTCTGTTTTTCCTTTCACTTTTTCAAGGCATAAGCTATCTTCTTAGAACCTCCTTCCTATTCTCTGGTCAAGGTTTGAATAATACCCACTTGTTTCTAGAAATGTCCCTCATACACACTTCCATGCTTGGAGCAGCTGGTAGCTTTTTACAACAGTTGATTCTTCCCATTCAATACTGAGCATATGGGTTGGAGTCTCCTTCTAAAAACTGAGCGTCTGGGTTTTCAGAAGTTCCAGGAAATCTGTAATGTAAGGCAGAAGCACAAACTCTTTGTGAAGAATGAAGGAAATAAATGGATCTTGTATAAGAAGTTTCAGGAAATATCTGTATGGATGAAGCATTTGAGGAAAAAAGATGATACTCTTGAAATAAGATTTTATTTTAAGCCCATAGAAAATCTAAAGATAGTGTTAAAGTTCTGGAAGGGTTTTGATGAGAATTGTCTGATGGGTCTCATCATATTGCATAATGAATTAAACAAGTTTTGCACCAACTTCATTTATTGACATACATAGTCCTTAAGACTCCTTCTCAAACTCAGTGAGTAAGAACTTCTTTATCTTTAGATGGCTTTGTTGACATGATTATCTAACCCTGTGGTTTCACTTGGTCTTCTTTACCTTACGTACATCCTTGCATGTCAACTGTCTTCCACTTTCCTGGGTTCATTTCATCACCCTGAGTCTCACAGGACTTGTTAAAACTTCTTGAATACTTCCAAAGAATTCATTGATATTAAAATATATTTAAATTATTAATAACCAAACCATGTGGTTCTGGAATAGTAATAAACTGTGTGTTAGTCTGCTCTCACATTGCTATAAAGAAATATCTGAGACTACATAATTTATAAAGAAAAGAGGTTTAATTGACTCACATTTCTGCAGGCTGTAGAGGAAGCATGATGCTGGCATCTGCTTGGCTTCTGGGGAGGCCTCAGGAAACTTACAATCATGGTGGAAGGTGAAGGAGCAGGCACATCACATGGCCAGAGCCAGAGCAAGAGAGTCAGGAGGGAGGTGCCACATGCTTTTAAATGACCAGATCTCATGAGAACTGACTCACTAACATGAGAATAGTACCAGGGGATGGCTCTAAACAATTCCTGAGAAAACTGCCCCCCTAATCCAGTTACCTCCCACCAGGCCTCACCTCCAGCATTGAGGATTACAATTCGACATGAGATTTGGGCAAGGACACACATCCAAACTATATTAAATTGATAGATAAATGAAACAAAGCACAGATTCTAGAAAATGTTCCAAGAATATTTGGGAATATAGCATTTAAGTCAGTGGAGAAAAGATGGATTATTCAACAACTAACGTTGGAGTAAGTGGCTAGACACTGAAAAGAAGCCAAGGCCTTAAAATAATTATAGATGAATCAGTAGTTCAAATTTTAGAGTTATACCATATAAATACTCTATGAAAATATGGATGTTTTGGTGATTTGAGAGCTGAAGGTTTTTTAAGGTCTAACATCCCAGCTAGAAACCACAGAAGAAAAAAATAATTGATTGACCACTTAAAATGATAAACTTTTATATAGAAAATATGTCATTAGGCAAAGTTTGAAGAATGAGAAAGTGAGGAACATATTTGTACTGTAGGTCAGGATTAATATCTCTAAAATATATATTTTAAAACTCCTACAAAGCATTGAATAAAAGATTAATATTCCCATATAGAAAAAATGTGCAAAGGACATAAACAGATAATTCACAATAGGATCAATAAAAATGGCCAATAAACATGAAAATATATATAACATTCCAGATATTCTGCAAAAACAACAGCATTTTTTTCCCTCATTTATTTGATTTGCACACAACAATCTTGCTAACACAACACGTAAATAAAATATAGGGAAATGGGCTGGGTGTGGTGGCTCACATCTATAATCCCAGCACTTTGGGAGGCCGAGGTGGGCGGATCACGAGATCAGGAGATTGAGACCATCCTGGCTAACACGGTGAAACCCCATCTCTACTAAAAATACATTAGCCGGGCGTGGTGGTGGGTGCCTGTAGTCCCAGCTACTCAGGAGGCTGAGGCAGGAGACTTGCTTGAACCTGGGAGGTGGAGATTGCAGTGAGCCGAGATCACGTCACTGCACTCCAGCCTGGGTGACAGAGTGAGACTTTGTCTCAAAAAAAAAAAAAAAAACACACACACACAAAACAAAAAACAGGAAAATGGACACACTTATGCACTGTTGTACAATGTTTCTCAAGGGCTGTTTGGTAAAAGGCACCAAAAATAGAAATTCAACTTCTAGGAAATTATTTAAAGGAAGGAATGAGCTTGTGTGTCAAGAGATAAATGTTAATGATCATTGTAGTTTTGCTTGTTATATTGGCAAAGAAAGTAAAAAGATTCAAGTTCAGCATCCTAATACTGTTCCTAATATGGAAACGAGCATGACTTATATTTCTTATAGAATAGTATGCAGCTGTTAATTAGGGTGTCAGTCTACCTTAATTGTAATAGGAAGACAGCCACAATGTTATTGAATGAAAAAGTTGACTACCCGATGCCATGTATAACATGATACCATTTATTTAAAAGTGTGCACATTTACATTTATGAACTCAATATGACCCATCACATGGGCTTTTGCTATTCAAAATAAAATATCATATCACCTTTTTAAAATTTCAAATTAAAAGGCCCAAGTCACCAAGTTGCCTCTTTTCTCTTTCTAGGGCTTCCTCTCATGATAGTCCATGATGGTCTCAGCAAGTTATCAAGGTGCTGTCCATAGGGTCAGTTCAGACTACTTTTGGCTCATAGCTGGAGCCAGATATTAGCCACATTCCCTTGATGCTGGAGATCACCACAAATACCACTTAAACCTGGTTCCTTTGAATAGCATCATCAGTTACCCAGCCAAAGACCTGGAGGTTGCAACTTCACTCTGCCTGTTTGACATGTCCAAGTCCACAGCTGAAGAACAGCATAATTCTCATCAAGTCCGAATGGCATGACCAAGTCTGAGCCTCTGTTTCTGGTAGTCACTCCTGGCCCTAGAGCAGATTTTTTCAAGAAAGCACAAGTGGTCCTTTGATGAACGAGAGAGAAATATTACTGTGACCCAACTGTGTACACCTGTCAAACTGGGTCTGCTCTCTCAATGCTTCAGCTTTACAGATTGTACCACTTCCGTGCCCCCGACCCTAGCCCCAGCTGCTTTCCCAGGGGGCAAGACAGGTTTGATGGATTCCAGCGTGTACTAATCTTAGGGCATAGTGCATGGAAATGCCCACCCATCTTGTCTTTCTCTATCTCTATGGGGATTTCTTTACAGAGAGGTCTTTTTGATCAAACTGGATCTACCCAATACATTTCTGTATCTTTTAATATTAATGAAAATGGCTGGGCTTTGGAACTTCTCCTCCAGAAGGTCTGTGTACTCCATTTGTAGTGTTTTTCTTCATATATCTCAGCAATATTCAAACTCAGAGTACCAGCAGTATGTTTGGAAAACAGCAAATTAAAATTTAATTTTGCTTGACACCACCTCTCCCAATAGTATTTTTGGAAAACAGAAAATTAAAATTTAGTTTTGCTTGACACCTACCTCTTCCACTGGGAAAAAAATGGGTGTTACAGAGTGAGAGACAATAGAAATTATTTAGGATGCATTTTCAGCAACATTTCAACTTGGCTATTTCCAGGCAATAAGATTTAAGGTGATTTGTCTATAATTTTTTCCTTCATTTTAGTTTGGAAAAGAGCATGTAACATTTTAAAAAGAAGGTAAAAAGCTATTTATTTTTGGAAAAAAAAATTTCTCAAATCTCTTTGTGCAAACTCTTGCTATTAGAGCTTGGACAAATTATTTAATGTTTGTAGGCCCCCTTAACCTATATGTGAAATGGAAGAGTATGATTACTTACCTTTAGTCGAAAAATGTTCTCTTATTTTCCTAAAAGAAATAATTCACAATAGTACAGAGGAGGTGACACACTGTGTTGTGTTTTCATTTTAAAAATGAGAAGTTGGTGAGATAGTCTTTAAGGTCTATCTCTGCTTTAACATTCAGTGAGCTTTGGAAAAATTAATGACTTAGAAGACACACGAGACAACTCTTGGAAGAGGTTGGCGCCGCTAACTCTATTGACTTAAATGATCACATTTAGTTGGAGCTCCTTCAGAATGAGATCTCTTATTTACCAATTGCAGAGATTTATTTCCTTTATTTGTCTAGTTAAAAGGCACTGGGAAAAATGAGGCCAGTCCCTCACTCTTCAAGGGAGCTCTTATTTCCCTGCACTGCCTATTAGACTGGGGATAGCTGAAAGTTTTTCATTGCTTTTACTTAGGACACGTTTGTAAGGCATATTTTACGAAGGTTGCTTCAACAGACTTTTCAACCCCCTCAGCAACCATTCGCTCATTCTGCTCTTTTGCTTAACATTGTCCTTTTTTGCCCTCATGATCTGAGACCACATTTGACTGAGATGAGTTGATTTGTCTGGCATTCCTCTTCTCTGTTTCACTCATATTCTCTCTCAGGACTTTCTTTCCATGATAATTTGTTGGGGTCATTCTTTAGGTTTGTAATTTTCAACAAATGTCATTCAAACTGTTTTGTCTTATTCATGGATTTGCCTCTAACATGCATATAATTACCTATTAAAGCATAGCATTTGAACTATTCTAAAGCAAAAGATCTTGTAAATCACTGTAGTACTGTTAGGATTGGAACTCAGAAATCAAGTCTCAAGGGGAAACACGTTGCTTGGTTAGGATAGTTGTCCATCCTGCCAGAATTCAGATGTAGCTGCTATGGAACTGAATGTTTGTGCCTCTCCCCACTCAATTCATTGTTGAAATCTTAAAGCTCCAAAGTGATGCTGTTAAGATGAGGGGCTTTATGGGAGGTGAATAGGTCATGAGGGTGGAGCATTCATGAATGGAATTGGTGTCCCTGTAAAAGAGACCCCAGAAACCTCTCTTGTTCCTTCTGAGATGCGGTGACACAGCAAAAAGACAGACATCATTTATGAACCAGGAAGTAGGCCCTCACCGGACACTGAATCTGGCGGCACCTTAATCTTGGGCTTCCCAGCCTCCAGAACTGTGAGAAATACATTTTTGTTTATAAGCCACACAGTCTTTTGTGTATATTCTGTGATTGCAGCCTGAAAGGATTAAGTCAGGAGCTAAATCTGGATCCCAATTCTGTGCTCTTTTCTACCTCTATTCTCCTCTCCTCCCTCTCTTCCTTCTTTTTTCCTCTAAATTATTTAACTTAAAACACTTTAAATCACAAATGACTAGAATAAAAATGTGAAATCCCCCATCAGAGAATTCCACCCTCACCCTCTCCTTTTTAGTTGTAGCCACTATTTTGATTTGTCTTAATAACCATTTTTTATATGCGGGAGATTTATGTATATATGATATACATATATATGTCTCATGTGGAGTTTTTCTTTTTTGTGTGAAAATGAATTGTGATAAATGCATAATTCTGTGACTTTTTAAAAAATGTAATAAGCTCTGGATATGTTTTTGGTTAAGTAGATCTAGTTCTACATTATCTTTAATCCAACCGTGATAAGTGAGGACGATAATATATTTAACCATTTTTCTATTAATGATCATTCAGCCCCTTTTAAATATTCTTTATAAAAACAATGCTACAATAAATATCTTTTAAACATATGTGCAAGTATTTTCTCACAATCGTGCAAGATCTAGTTTATGTACTTTGTCAAATGTACTTGGTCATAGTTTTCTGCTGGGCGTGAAAGAAGATAGCCTGGCACTGACTACATTCTTATTGGCCCCAGAGGGGAGCTTGATCAATGCCAAACAGGGGATATGAGGGAGCTGGCTGATAAATTACTCTCCCTCCACCCGATAAGTTGTTATGAGACACAGTGTTTCCAATGCCCCTTCAGGAGATGGGCTGTGTAGGTGAGCAACCAGATATGGTTTCTAATGAGACCACAACCAAATTAATTATATAACATTTTGTATTTTATTTTTGCCTTTCTTTGCCTCATTTTCTTTTTTCCTTACTCTAGCTTCCTTGCGATTATACTCCTCATAAGACTTTCTATGTAAATATTGTCTCAGGCTTTGTTTTCTAGAAAAGGCGGGCTTAGAAAAAGATATATATTGAAAAGACAAATTATTAGGTCAGAGGGTATGCGAGTTTGGGCCACCCTACTTTTTAATCAGGTACATGCAATTACAAATATGTAGTTATCTTTTCTTTTATTTTCTATTAATTATCAATATTTCAATTATGAAAAGAACTATATTATTATTATATACATTATATAAAGTAATATATTGTTACATTATGAGCATTCAATCTTAGTGCAGAACCTCTCTGTCTGGATGTATATTCAGGTAAAATGTTACACGAATTCCTGTTAAGTGATGAGAATTCCAGTGCTTTAATTTTGCAGCTAAATAAAGCAAAGCCCAAAGCCGGAATTAATTCTTTATTCTTCTCTATATTACATCATAAAGCAGTTATTCCTCCCACAGAAGCCATCTCTCAGAAAATATGAAGTGGTTCAAAAAAACATCATTAGGACACCCTACATTACATGTTGCTGTTGGGAAGATTTTATACAGCATAAGCTTTCATAAGTTCATAATGGGGAGATAACTTGATTAACCTTTTGCCCAAGTTTTGCCATAATATTGAAACAACAGAGAAATTAAAGAATATATCTATATTTTTTTCTATTTGGTTTTCCAGGAAAAAGTGGTTGTAGGTTAAGTGAGAAGTGGTTAGCATCTAGAACAAATAGGATTTCTCACAACTTGGGGAACTGAATCTAATCTCTGGCTTGTCAACTTGCCAAGGTGTTCTTAATACCATCCCCAGAAATCCTAATTCAAACTCACATTTTGGCTTCTGGCGACTGCCCGGCAACAGCGAACATGCAGCTCACTCCACCACATCCATTCTGTGGGAGTCCCTGTAGGACTGTATTTTCAAATGAGCATGTAATTCACAATACTCCTTCATCGTGAGAATGTGGGGGAACAACAGATAGCCCTTAAATCATGGATTGGGAGCTAGAGTGTAACTTGCTAGGTCAGGCACACCCCTTCATATACTCATCCTGTATTGTTGGCCATTCATATGGAGATAGGTTCACAGAGGAAATTTCTATTGCCCTGTTAATGAAGGCCCTCTTTACATCTTTTCATCGATTTACTGTGGCTGTTCTTCTGACCTGGCTGCACTGACAGGACCTTGAGGCTTAATCATGAGTAGAAAGAAGAGCCTGAATTTTCCTGGAGAGTTTCCAAGGGAGATGCTTGTAGCAACAAATTCCTATTTAGATCAGGAAATTCGAGAAAGTAGGTGTTAAGTAGATATATGAGAGTTGTGTTGGCTTTCCATATTTGCTTAAAGTGGGAAAATGGATTGTGTGGCGATTTGGATAACTCCTGAAACCAATGTGCTCAGCCAAATGTAAATGTGGGGTTGCAACACTGATGTGAGAGGAAAGGAAATTGTTGATGGAGTGGAAATGCTTCAGCTGTGCTTAGATTGCCAGTGAGCCAGATACACCTGTGTTGGCTTGGCGTGAGGACTGCATGGATTTGCGAAATGAAAACCTCACTTACATTCTAACCAGATTAAAGACACTGATGAAGTCAGGTCAGTTTTACTCTGCAATTAGGAAAACTGAGGCTCTCTTCAGTAGTCATCTCTTGAAACACACTGCTTTGCAGTGCTTTGTTGAAGAAGTGGTATTTATCTAACGCCTATCAGCCTGGAAACCGTATCTTGAATCCAGTGTTGCCACTCCTCAAATTGCAGCTTCCTGGTGGCAACTGAACAAGCAAGTTCATACAGCAAAGGGGAGAAAACTAAAAGGTCATAGCATCCCTTCCATGATTAGCATTCTGTCTTTGACCACCTCTAGTTTCTGAAATAAACAGAAACTTTGTAGTAAAATCTTAAGAAAATGTTTTAATTTTTTTCAAAGTAACTCATATAAGTAGTTGCAGAAAATAGAAAAGTATGGAAAATCTTATGATGGAAAACAACATTCTTCTTTGAGGTGTTAAGGTCTGTTAACTATTACAGAATAATTTAATATATAATATGTAACTTGGCTGTATGTATTTTCAGCACTGTTGGTATGGTTTGGCTCTCTGTGTCCCCACCCAAATCTCACCTTGACTTATAATAATCCCCATGTGTCAAGGGCAGGACCAGGTGGAGAAAATTGAATAATGGGCGTGGCTTCCTCCCATGCTGTGATAGTGAGTGAGTTCTCATAAGAGCCGTTGGTTTTATACGGGGCTTCCGCCTTCACTCAGCGCTCATTTTCTCTCCTGCTGCCCTGTGAAGAGGTGCCCATCCCTGAGATTGTAAGTTTCCTGAGGCCTCCTCAGCCACGCAGACTGTGAGTCAATTAAACCTCTTTACTTTATAAATTACCCAGCCTCGGGTATTTCTTCATAGCAGCGTGAGAATGGACTAATACAACTGTATTTTAGGAAACGTGCTACATTAAAGATGGCTGCTAATTGATGTGCGTGTGTGTGTCTCTCTGTGTGTGTGTGTGTGTTGGCGGGGTCTATGTCTATAACTCGTCTCTTTAAATTTGGGTGGCTCTGTGAGTGTTCTGACCAAATGAATATGCAGACATGATTCTGCTCCAGTTTTATGGCTTAGGCTTGAGGAGACTATAAGCTGCTTCTTCCTGTCTCTTGGATATTCACTTGTGGAACTCAGTTTCCATGCTGTGAGAAAACTCAATTATTCCAGTGAAGAGTCTCAGGTAAAAAGAACTAAGGCCCTCAACTGAGGACAGCCTCAGCTGAGCTTGCAGCCAACAGCCAGCACTAACTTGTGATCCTGAGTCAGCTATCTTGGAAGTGGATACTCCAGTTCCATGTAAACTGCCCAGCTAATACCACGTGGAGAAGGAGAATTGCCTAGCCATGCCTGCCCAAATTCACGACTTGCAAAATTGTGTCATATAATAAAATAGTGGCTGTGTTAAGCATTGGATTTTGGGGTAATTGTTATGCAGAACAAGAAGTTAGCTATAATGGAAGCATACAGAACTTGCAGACTTAGTGCCCTGATTTCAAATTCTGGTTCTAACATTTCATAGCTATGTAACTTTGGGGACAGCTATTAAGCCACTGTCAGCCTTAAAGAAAAGTTTCCTTATCTGTAAAATGGCAGTAAAAATATATCTCTTAAAGGCTGTGGTGAGGATTAGAGACAAAATGTGTAATATGACTATTACATTTTCTGGAAAATGATAACAGCTTGACATAGTAGCAATTATTTGCTATTCACCAGTTAACCCACTTCTCTGTACCTTCTTCTTTTTAAGCAGATCTTCCAGACCAGGGTATTGCTGAGGAGAATATCTTTTTTGAAAACCAACTTAGTGGAGTAATTTAAAGATCTACAATGTTGATATATCTTTCATTAAGTAATTTTATTTTATTACTGTATTCTAAGGAAATATTTCTAAATACTGGCCATAGTACGTCTATCCAGGAAATAAGATGCTTATGTATGTTCCTGATCTCTATGCATCGCTTTAAAAAATTCTGCATGTTCATTATTTTGAAGTGCATCACTGTGTTTTAGACACACCAACCAAGGTGTTGGAAGGCAATGGCTGAATCTGCCTCCTCAAGATAACACCATCCCCAACATACTTAGGAACTATCAACAACAATTAGGGAGGTTATGTATATATGAAATAATTCAATGAGGAAGTGTAACTTTTGAGAAGTGCCTTTTATTCTACAAATATTTATTGAATAGCAACAAAGTTCTAGATTCTGGGCACAATCCAGGAGAACAGAGATGAAACCACAGCCTTTGTGCTTTTCTAGAGAGTCTGATGAGTTGCCGTTCTGGGCAGAGTCAAGACTGCTTCTCAAACATTCTATATGTCTCAAACATGTCTTCACCTCCATGCTTCATTGTTAGTCTTTCTTCTCAAAACCATCTTCCACTTTATCAGTCAAAACATTTTGCATGACTCAATTTGAGCTCCACCTCCTCCAAGCAATCTTCCTGGATCTGTGCTATACAACTTCTAGCTCCAATCTGTCCCCTGTTGCTGACTTCTTGTAGAACTCAATGTGTTCTCGTTTCTGGCCACTCTGTGTGGCTAGTTTTCTTTTTTAAATGTCTGTATTATTTCCACAACTAGATGAAAAATTCTTCATCAGTGCATCTCAAACATGTTTCTTATGCACATATGAGATAGTTAGGGGTCTTGTTAAAATGCAGATTCTGATTCTGTAGATTTGGGGCAAAACCTTAGATTCTTCACAGTTAACAAGCTCCAGATGAAGTCCCTGCTGCTAGATCTCAGACTACAGCCTGAGTAGCAAGTACCTAGGTTGTAGAGGGCAGAGACCACCCTGTTACTCTGTTTCTTTACAGTGCCTTGGGCATGAAAGAGGTTCAGTGATTGTTTTTGGTGGTATAGTACACAGAAAAGTATGCAGACTGGTAAAGTTTTGATATTTGTCCCCTCTAAATCTCATGCTGAAATTTGATTCCCAGTGTTGGAGGTGGGGTCTAATGGAAGATGTCTGGGTCATGAGGGTGGATCCCTCATGAGTAGTTTGGTACTGTATTCCCAGTAATGAGTTCTAACTCTGTTAACTCCCTCAAGAGTTTCCTTCTCTCCACCCATGAGAACTGATTGTTAAAAATATCCTGGCACCTCCCTTTCTCTTCCTTTCTTTTTCACCACGTGATGCCTACTTCCCTTTGCCTTTTGCTATGAGTGGAAGCAGGTTGAGGTCCTCAGCAGAAGCAGATGCTGGTGCCATGCTTCTTGTACAGTCTGCAGAACCATGAGCCAAACTTATTTTATTTATAAATTACCCAGCCTCAGGTATATTCTTTATTGCGATGCAAATGGATTAAGACACAGGCCTTGGAACAATTTTGACCTAGGTTACAATATCAGTTTTACTACTTAATGATCTGGATGATTGTGAGCATTTTATTCACTTATAAAGCACACTTACAGAGTTTTTGTGAAGTCAAAAGTAACATATATTTTAAAGCACTTGGCATAGCAGTCATGGATAGCAAGGGACTGACATATAAGATATATTTCCTGTTAATGGCACTGAACAAAATCCATGTGTTTTCAGGCTAAAATATTTCTTCACTAGAGTTGATCTTGATATTGTGCAATAAATATCTTAAGAGGAAAGAAGCTACTAATATAAGCTTTGGCTTGAGTTTTAAATTTTATTATACATATATTTTATCAGTTCTAATATATATACCAAAAAATGTAGAGAAAAAATCATGCCGAGTGAAAATGGGCCAAGTGTAGCCACATGTTGCTTCTAGTCTCTTATAGTATAAAGCTTCCTTGAAGACAATTAAAGCTGATCAATAATAATTAAGGAGACAGTAATGTCACTCTTCCTGCTACAATGGTTTCTACCCAGCCTGTTTGTCAGAGATAGTGTCTAGGTGTTCTGCAGATAAAGCCCTGACAAAGACCCTCAAGAAGATAACTCAGGGTGAATACAAGAAGGGTTGGCTGCAAGCATTCAGTGCTCAAACAGCTGCATTGGGAAAGGCACTGATTGCTGAAGATAGCCCCGTGCTAGACCTCCTGAGTCAGCTCTTCTTGTCCACTGGATGAAAAAGTGGTTGCAATATCTCCCAGGTTCTGACAGTTTGTATTTCAAATGTGAGAGATTAGTAATTTTTCTTTCATGGATTACATGTCAGAGTAGCAAAATAATTGGTAGAGGAAAGTTATCTTTTGAAAAGAATCACAGCTAATAAATGAGAAGAAATGATAGAGAAAACCACATTTGCAAAACTTCATATGTCTAGATAATGGTCATTAATAGTTGCTAAAACTGTTAGATAAGAAACACTAGATGTTAAATTTTATAATAGATGGATCAGGCTGACATGACCTGAATTCACTAATTAATCTTTCCATTACTAAAAGAGGAACAAACGGGACATTATTTTTCTTTTGATGTAAGGCAATAGAAAGCATACAGAGACACTAAACAGTGTTTAAAAAACGACATATCTAGTCAGGCCTCTAGATCTAACTCCCAGTTTACAAAAAATATGAGGATGGAGGGTCATGTTAAATGACATCACAATGCTTTGATCAGTGAAACCTAGATATTCCACAAGACAAAGGATTTAGTTGTTTAAAGAAAAAGAACAAATAGCACACAAAGAGGAAGAATTATAATATTTTAAGAGAGACTTGTGATACACATAATCTAAATGTAATGTGTGAACCTTGTTTGGATCCTGATTCAAACAAACTAACTTTATTGTTAATTTCATAATACCTCTACTGAAGTCATTTTTTAAAAAGTTCTATCTGTTGAGATACTTACTGGAGTATCTATTGATAACAGATGCCCACCTTTACTAGGAATCTGTGACATACAGATTCAAAGAAATAAAATATCTCCCCTGTTAGAGTAGCCAAAATTAAAATGTTTGTGCTGACAATTGGAAGCAAAAGTGGGAGTGAATAAAAACTCATGCATTTGGTGAGTGTTCAAATAGTAGAATCATTTTGGAGAGCAATTTTGTGGTATTTAGCAAAGTTGAAATTGTATGTTCTTTATGTCAAAAGTTTCAGGAATTTCCAGAATTCCCTTTCTAGTTCTGTGAGTCAGCTGATTTAGGCTGGTTGGACAACTTCATCTCCTGCTTATGGATCTGGCTAGGCTAGGTTTCTTATTTAGATTTGGACTCAGGCCTATCCCGTGTTGTTATATTTTTTAAAAAAATTGATAGACTTCATAGTTTTAGATTGACAGAAATAATACCAAGACTTAACATAAACCACTCTCCTCCTGCATAATTTCCCCTAGTATTATATTAGTACAGTACATTTGGTACAGATATTGAATCAATATTGATATGTTGCTATTAATTGATATCCATAATTTTTCTCGATTTCTTTAGGTTTTATGTATTATCTATTTTCTGTCCCAGGATCCCATCTGAGATATCATAGTACATTTAGTTGTTATGTCTTTTTAGTCTCCTACAGGCTGTGACAGTTTCTTAGGCTTCCCTTGTTTTCAATGACCTTGACAGTCTTGAGGAGTACTGGTCAGGTATTAATATTTTGGAGGATGCCCTTATATTAAAATCTTTCCAATGTTTTTGTCATTATTAGATGGAGATTATGGATTTTGGTACACAGGATCACAGAAATAAAGTGCAATTTTCATCAAATGATATCAAGGGTACATACTATCAACATGACTTATGATTGTTGATCGTATAATTGTTTACCTTAATCATCTGCTGAAGCAGTGCTTGTCAGGTTTCTTTACTATAAATTTGCTGACTCCAGCTTTCCATACTGTAGGCTTTTCCTAGATTCCACATGGTACAGTATGTGCAGCCTGCACTTGAGTGGGGAGTTATGCACTTCCTCCTTTAGGATAGAGTATCTGTGTGACTTATTTGGAATTCTTCTGCATGGCAGATTTTTCTCTTCTCTCCGACTTGTTAATTTATTCAATCATTTATTTATATGAGTATAGGCTCTTTGATTTTTAAAATATCTGGGGTTACAATTCAAGACTATTTATTTCATTGTTTATATTGTTCCAATTTTGACTATTTCCTTTTGTCTCTTGTGTCCCTTTGACATATCTCTGTGTGTGTGTGTGTGTGTGTGTGTGTGTGTGTGTGTGCATTTTTCTCAAGCATTTCTTAATGGGCTGCAAGATGCTCCAGGCTCATTTTGTATATTTTGTGCCCCCACCCTAGAATCAGTCGTTTGTCTAAGCAGCCTTGTTTCTTTATTGAAAAATAGTATTAGAAAACAAGATCTGACTGCAGTGTGTGCTCAGTGCTCCTACAGTGTCACTTCTTATGGGCTTGCTTGGCTGACAGAGCAAAGAAATATTTACGTATACTAATCCATATTTGTCCAATTATCTGTAAACATTTCTATATATAAAATGAAGTGCATCTATATTAAAAATTAAACATAAGTTGTTACAATTAGGTACAATTAATAAATCATTAATTGGTATGTCTCTAACTCTAATTCATTACCACATGGGTCACTCTAGATAAGTTTTCCTTTCTTGTTTGGAATCTTCCGTTTAACAATGAAAACCAGCATCCACCATCCATTTACGTAATTGTTCATTATTAGTGTACACATACAACAGTGTCAGAATTGTTAATCCATACCACATGGGAAACAATTTTATTAGCCAGAGTACAGTGTCTAGGTGCAGTTACTTTCACCTTTAATCTTACAAATTCCACTCATTTCCAAAGCTACTTTCTTCATCACGTTTTCTCCCTAACCCTCTTCAGTGAGTCTGTTTCATACATTTGTAACACAGTTAAATTCCTCTGTCACATTCTGCATTCTTTCCTGGGATCCCCCAACCTCCTAAATAATTTAACAAATTTGTTATACATGAAGGTTCATTCTTTGTGTTGTAAAATTCTATGAATTTTGATAAATGTATAATGTCATGTGCCTTATTACAGTATTATACAAAATAGTTTCACCATCCTAAAAATTCCCTGTGCTTCTCTCCTCCTCTTTCTCTAAACCCCTAGCAAGCAATGAATGTTTTACAGTCTCTATAGTTTTGTCCTTTCCAGGATGTCATATAATTGGAATTCTAAACTATGTAGCCTTTTTGTACTGGCTTCTTTCACTTAGCATTATGCATTTAGGATTCCTCTATGTCCTTTGTAGTTTGATAGTATGTTTCTTTTTTACCAAAGAGTAGCATTCCATTGTATGAGGTACCACAGTTTGTTTATCCACTCACCTATTGAAGGGCGTATTAGCTGTTTTCAGTTTGGGGTGATTATGAATAAAAGTACTATAAACCTTTGTGTGCACATTTTTGTGTAGATATGCATTTTCAACTCATTAGTATCAACAACTAGAAGCAATTGGTGGATTGCATGGTAAGACTATGTTATCTATGTAAGAAACTACTAAATTGTCTTCCAAAGTGGCTGTAGCCTTTTGCATTATCACCAGCAATGAAGATGACAGTTCCCATTGCTCTGCATTCTTGCAAACATTTGGTATTGCCAATTTTTTTGAGCTATGCTAATAGGTGTTTAGAGATATCTCATTGTTGTTTTAATTTTCAGTTTCCTATTGATGAAATATATTGAGAATCCTTTTATTAGGTGATTTGTCACTTGTGGATCTTTGTTGAGATGTGTCTTCAGATCTTTTGCTCACTTAAAAATTTTTTTTAATTAAATGTTGAGTTTTTAATACAGTTTAGATATAAGTCCTTTATCAGGCATGTGTTTTGCAAATATTTTCTCCCAGTCTGTGTGGCTTGTCTTCTCTGTCTCTTAACACTCATTTTATTTTTACTTTTGGGACTAAAGATGAGGGATGATCAGCTTCCTGTTCTTCTTGTAATAATAATGGCAGAGCCAAGAGAGAATGCATCAACCTTGTAATCCCATTGGAAGACCCTGATTGTGTCAAGTCCGCTAATGTTACATGGAGTAAACAAAGTCACATGGTCAAATCCTACATTAATGAAATGGGGTAGTATATGCAGTTAGGGGATGGGGAATAATAAATGCTTTTTAAGAATAATATAATCTGCCATGCCATCTATGAGCTGATACTAGCTTTCTATTAATTTATTCTGTGGTTTGTTTAACGTTGGAATCTCTCTGAAAGATCCTTCAACCTTCCTGGGAGACTCTAATCTGAGAAAGCCATTAAAAACGCGTTTCTTTTTTTTGGCATAATTTAAATTCTTAGACATCGTTCACATTTATTAATGTTACATACATAAGAATTTACCCACCATATTCCTCCTTGAGTCCAGTTCAGTATAAAAAAAATGTTGACTTCTCCCCAGTATCTCTTCATGGTTTACAGCATGAAATTCTGTTCTATAACCATTTTTCACAATTGTCTAACAATGTTATAATAGATTGGTTGCTTACTACCAATTTTTAAAAAAGTCATGGCTTCTCCAGTCACTTCTTGCTTATCAAAATTATTTCATGAGGTGGTTTAGGCCTTGCATATTTGAATATGGGGTTTGCTCCTTTCTACTTAAAAAACAACTTGGATCACACTGTCTTGTCCTGATAACTTGGTAGAAGTTGCTTCATCATTGTTATTCTTGTTGTGGTGGTGGTTATTAATATTGTTTCATATTCTATTTTAAGAATTAAAATTTTAAAGAAGATCAATGTCTTTGAGTATCTTCCAAATTCCAGTACATTTTTAAAAAAAGTAACTAATGTTATCAGCTTTGTATGTTTAAAAAGAAGTAACTAATGCTATCGGCTTTGTATGTTATCACTCAAGACTATTTTATATGTCTTTAGTTATATACGTGTTTGTATACTGTATATATATTATTCCATTTCTTCTAGAAGAATTGATTTTTGAACAGAACTTTTTCTTTTCCCAGATGGACCCTCCTTAGGAATCTTTTGTTGATCCTTGAAGTTTGGTAACATCTTCAAATGTGTATATCTCCCTGTTAATTATTTTATGGCATTTTCCTGGACATTTTTATACATATGTATACTTAAAATGAAAGAATAATGTTCCAAAATATGGTAGAAGAAAAAATTCTTTTCTTTCAGAGGTTTCCAACACATTTTATTTTGCAGATAACTGATTTTAAGCTTTTGAGGACCAACATCTCTATCAATTCCTATAAAATGTCCAATTAGTTTCAGTTACATAGCAGGCTGTTCAGTACTGCACACCATACTATGGCTGGTGGTCTGGTCACACATGTATAAAGGCTGCCCACTGGTTCCTGGAGCACGGCGTGTCCAAGTGAACGCCTCTTCCAGGGAGCTTCGTTTTCCCAGGGGTGGTTTCCTTTGGCAAGAAGTTGGTCAGTTTACACATGTGGCTTTCGTGCCTGTGAGCAGGAAGTGTCTGAAACTTGCAGGATGCTCTGCTTTTTCTCTTATGAAGACAGACACCTGAGAATCCAGTGCCCTTATGCTTAATGACAGGAATTCCTCCTCATTGTTTAGTAGGTTAGGATATAAGAAAGCCTCTTTTTAAGTAACACAGATAACCTTTTTAGATTACTTATTTATTCTAGAACTATAAAATTCAAGAAAATATAGGTCCCATGAAAGATTTAAGAGTTTTAAAAAACTAAAATCTAGTTTCTCCCAGCAAATAGTACTTCAAGCAAAACCCTTCCAATGTTTCTAAAATAATACTGAAAGGGCATCTGATTATACCAGAGCAATTTAAAGAAGTATATATTTATTTGAATAATAAGCTTACATTTTAGCTGCAATTTTGGCAATGCAGATTTTTAACATGGATCACAGAAAATGTGCACAAAAAAAGTACTAGTGCAAAGGACTAAACAATGCTAAGAATTAGACTAAATACAGCTGCTGCATTTAAGAAAACAAAAGGCCTGAAATCACTATAAAAATATAAAATGTATTAAACACTACCGTCCATAGAACAGTCTTTATTATTAATTATGTTTAAAATTATTTGCATAGTTAATTATACATTGAATTGTAAATGAGTATTATACATGAACCTCCTTTTTGAAGGGAATTCTTTGTTGCATTATGAAATGTCTAATGACATTATATTGCAAAAAGTATCCTTTTTTTCTATTGATAAAGGAAACCATTAATGGTATTACTGTAAATACAAGGAAGGCTACAGAAAAAGAAATACAATTTCATTTTTTCAAAGTGTTTTTCATGCAGTGAAGTACTTGCTGTGTTGAACTGAATGTCCTGTGTCTAAGATGCTCTTGAATGACAAGACAAGGCTTTTCAATTCAAAGACTAGAAGTAATCATGTAACCCTCTTATGACTGGGATACCGTCGTGTGCCACTCACCAACGCTGTCTTTCCAGAAAACCATTCAAGACACTTAAAAAACCATGACTTACCTGATAAATAAACATAAAATGAAAAGACATCAACTGCCATTTGACATTGCTATTGGTAATGTCTGTCCTATGTGAAAGCACTTTTAAAAAGAGAGCACCTATGTGTAAGAGATAAGTGTCTAGAGATTCAAAATGAATCAACAGTATCAGGTAACAATATAATTCTCAACTCAGAAGCTGACTCAAGATTAGGGGCAATTTCAGTTAATGTAACAGGAAAAAAAGACAATGGATTTTATTTTGTTGATGTATCCACTCACAAATTGACTTAGGGTCACCAGATGTGTAGACACAATGAGATTTTTATTGTTTATAGTCTTTAATGGAAGCGATGATAAAGGAAATAGATCTATTTTAAAACAAAACCAAAAAGCTATTTCTGTCTAGATTAAGAAGTGGCCCCAGGTGTGGGATTCACATTTTGAGTGGCTACTCGGGCAACCTCAATGATCCAGGGTTGGTCTATGATTCCAGCTGCATGGCTGCCCTTCTCTGCAATCCCAATAATCCATGCTTGGTGGCCTCCACCACATTTGGGGGAGTTTATCTCTGCACAGAACCAAGCTGCTTGCTCATGTGGTAAACAGATCAGAATGCCTCCTGCTGTCTCTGGACATGTTCCCTGCATGAGGCTGAACATGTTTCCACAGGCCTTGCTCATCACAGTCATCTTGGCCAGCACAGGGACCGTTGTGAATTGCAAAAAACCATTCCTCAGCTGCTTGGTCAGGTTCTGTGTATGACCCCAAATCCTAATGCCCACGATGTCCGTGGCTGCATGGGCACTGAACGTGTACATGATGAAGCTTTCCTGTTGAACTTCACCATGTTCATTATTGCTTCTTGGTATGTCAACTCTACATCTTCGTGGGTGACCACTAGTTTATTTCATTTTTCAGGAATATCCAGCCACTGCTATTTGATACAAGTGACAGTCGTGCACAGCCACTCCACTTGTGCCCCCAGGGGTTTTGTGGACTCCAGCACATCCCCTGGCGCTGTATTGTCTGGCATGATAAATTGATTGGCCTGTAGTTGTAGTGACTCCTCCCAAAACAATCCAGGAGGTTAGCACTGTTTGGCCACAAGTTACAGACATTCCTGCTTCCTCGGCTGCATCTTTAAAACCCTGCATAATCAGGGGCATCACTTTATCCCTTTCCCTGTCAGTTGTTTCATTATTGATGAAAGAAAAAATGTATTCAGATTGATTTCTTTAGTTCAGAAATTGTTTCTTTTATTGTATCTTTGGACATTTTTTTCTTTTATTGTTCTGTTTCCTTTTACTTCAAAAACACCTATTATGTATATACTGGATCCCATGTTCTACATATATTATCCTTCTTAAACTTATGAATTCTTTTTCCAATTTCATGTTTCTCATTTTAGTTGTCCAAAGCCTGTTTCAAATGTCCCTTGGCTGTTTTCAGTGGGTTCAATTCTACTTCATACTGACTACAAATTGTTTTCATTTCCATGATTTTTTATTATACCTTCCATTTATTTACTGATATCTGCCAGCTTCGTATTCATTTCCTTACTACACCTTATATTTCTTTTTTTGATTGGTTTATCTTTCATTTATATTCTGATTTCAATGAGGTTATACTTTCTATAATTTATAGAATGTCATAAAAATCTTTTAAATGTTCCCCTGCTTCCTGGTATGACCTTGAAGAGCAGTCTTTATATGCCTTCTGTTTGTTATTATTATTTTCATTCTTTTTACTTGTTGTCTATACTGAACCCTAATGGATTATAAATTATATTTGTGGTGCTCATTTTGGGGCTAGCTGTTGGAGCAGATATGATACAGGCTGGGGAAATGAACCAGCAGAAAGGCAGGTTCATCCAGGCTTGTTGTTTCTAAGCACCTCACCAACTCTGCCCCAGGGTGTATGTGCTCTGTGCTCTCAGAGTGAGGCTAGCAGGGCCCTTGAGGAGTCAGGAATCCCTGTGCCAAATTGTTCAGTCCTGTATGTCACAAGTCTCTCTCTCTTTCTTTTCTTTCTCTTTCTCTCCCTTCAGTATTTTATGTGTTTATTTTCCTTCAGCTGATTGTAAGAGGCAGCTGCAAGGCAGAAAACCTACCCAGGCCACCCTAGAATCTGGCCCCTTGAGCAGATAGATGCCTGCAGATTTCCTCATTTGTTCCTCTTGCCTAAACCTTACAGGGGTGAGAATTCAGTGCTGGGTCAATAGCTCCTCAAACCCTTGACCTTGCTCTCCTAAATAAGGGAATTGTACTTTGGACTCTTCAAGTCCTTGCTACATAATGTTAAAGGTTTTCTGTCATGCGAGAACATAAAGGTACATGTTATCATGTTTTATCCTTGTGTCTTCCATAGACTGTATACATTTAACATATGGATTGTGGATATTTTCTAACTTTAATGAAGATGGAACTCTTTTTCTCTCATCGTGGTGTTTTCACTTGGTGGTATATGTTCTTTATTTCACCATTTCTAACCATATGTCTTTCTAAATTTTAAGATATGTTTTTCTAAGTCAAGTGGGGTAGCATGTGCCTGTAGTCCCAGATGCTTGGCAGGCTGAGGCAGGATCATTTGAGCCCAGGAGTTTGAGTCCAGAAACATAGTGAGATCCCTCTCTTAATGAACAGCAGAAAAGAGAAGATATATAGGTTTTCCTAATTTTAGCAGTAACATACTCTATATAAGAAACTTGGAAAAAAACATTAAATCATACAGCTAAATAAGTAAATACATGAACAAACAAATAAATAACATGACCCATTACCTACCACCTAGATATATCAGTGCTTATCAGCTAACTTTTATTTCTTCAGTGAATTTCCATGGCCTTCAAAGTCGTCAAAGCCCTATAGACAGGAAACCCATTCAATTTTCTTTAATCAAATATCTAATTGTTTACCTGATGACAATAAAAACACAAAATACAACCAATTTCAAAAGTTGTTAGTTAAGTGATAAACCAAGAAATATTGATTAAGACTATTAGTTGGTGATATAATTATTATTAATAAAAACAACTGAAAAAGGTAAAGGTAGTTGCCTCATGTATGAGGAAGTAGGGAAGAGGAAGAGGTAATGTGAGATTTGCTTTTCAACTTAAGCTTTTATTATTTGATATTTTCTAACTATGTAAATGGGTTACTTTGAGATAAAAATCATTCATTAAAAATAAATCAAAATAAATTTATTTTGATTACATGTTTTTGATTACATGTTACTGAAAATGTGTTTTTTGTGTAAAATTTTTACATTTTGTTAAGTGATTCTCTTATCACAGTCTTTAATTTTCAACCATTATGTAATAGGAATTAAATAAGGAATAATACTTAGATCACTGTTTTGGTTATGTATGTAAACATCACATTTCTTGACTACTGACACACAATGCCTGTTTCCCTAATGCTTTCTGATTCTTTGAGTTCTACATCACATGACTTACGTCTTATGTGTTTGGTTATATGAGCAAAAATACACAAATTTGTCATGAGATCATATATATTTCATTGTCTCTTTCTTATAGAGTCTGTTAGGGGAACACGGAAAGCATCCTCATGCCCCCTGGGTGTTCTTGTTTCTGGATTTGTAACTCGGCTTTCAGAGTCTTCCTACTACTTCTCTCAGCAGCTATAAGAAGCAAGCTCTTGTCCTGCTCCTTGTTACCCAGTTGGAAGACTCCTGACTTAGGCAGGGAGAAAAAAGAGGCAAGTGACACACTTTCCAGGTCCAGATGTCAGATGAGCTTTTGAATCTCCTTGGGCCAATTTTTTCTCATCCACAAATCCAGGGTGTCAGACTGAGTAACTGGGAAGGTTTATTTGGAAACTAAAATGTTCAGATTCCACAAAAGGGTGGGATAATATCATTTGTGTCACATAATCCTTATCTAGGCAGTGATGTCAGATGATTGCAGGCCTCTATCTCATACCTCTGGTTGCCAAACACCTATAGGAGTTCACACAGATGAGCCCCTATGGAGCACTTGAAATGAGGGGGGCAAGCGGACCTGGGTTTCACTGAAGAGGGAAAATGCAGAAGCAAATGATTTGGCTACTATCACATTTTGAAATATAAAGATGTGAGAGTACGTGGGTGTTGCTGGAGTTGGAAAAATAGATGAGTTTTAGCTCACAAATCCAATCTCTTTAAATACCTGGAGAGACTCCAAGCTTCCTGCAGAAAACCAAACCAAAACAAAACAAAACCACTTTCTTAACCTCCCCTTCATTTCACGAGCATCATAATGAGAGCAAGGTATGCATAATGAGGAGCTCTGCGAGGTCAGATCAATCATAAAAGCAGGAGCAATTTAATCCCCTAGACCCTGCAAATAACTGTGGCAGGAGGCTGAGGCCATCTTTCCACAGGTTTAGAGAATTCATTTATTCTTTTGATCCGAATTTTAAGTTCAAAGGATTCCAAAAGCAAAATAAAACAAAAGGAAAAAAAAAAACCCTTGGGATTTGCATTACATTTGTTTTGTATGGTTTATTGATTTTATTTTGTTCTCTCACACACCATTTGAGGCAGGCACAAGAAGGATCATTTCCCCCATTTCATAGCCGGGGTGGCTGAGGCACAGAAAGATTGCGTGACTTGTTCAATATCACATAGTGATTTTTCAAAGGTAGGACTTAAACCTGAGGTTTCTGACTCTTTGGCAATTTCTCCTGCCTGCTCACTTTGCTGCTCCTCAAAGTCTTTCACACAGGTGGCTCAGGAGGTAACATATACTAAGTACCCTGTGTGGGGCCTAGCAGAGAGTAGATGCTTAAGAAATGGTAGCTACTCCCTTAGTTTTAGCCACTCCATGTTAGGCCCTACATTCTGTAGTGCAGGACCTTGTTTGGTAAAGTTTTTCTTAATGATCCCTGCCATGAGGAATGAAAAATTAGACTTACCAAGCACTGTATTT
Source organism: Homo sapiens (assembly GCF_000001405.40). Taxonomy (NCBI): domain Eukaryota; kingdom Metazoa; phylum Chordata; class Mammalia; order Primates; family Hominidae; genus Homo; species Homo sapiens. Next base: position 114,264,566 of record NC_000002.12, read on the forward strand.
GGAAAACATGTGGGTTATGAAGTCTGCAAAATTTGCACCCAGGGCTAGCACAGCTAACTCATTTTTTGCCAGGCTTTTGCTCTTTCTTTCTATTTCAGTAAAACTTCCGTCAAGTATATTCAAACAAGATATGACTACTGGCATTAACATTAGTGAAATGTGTTAAAATTTGTCTTCCTAAGTAAATGAGAGAACTCTAGTCATGATTCTGCATTGCTGGAATTTGCAGATAGTTTAAAATCACCTTCCAGTCATCTATGCTCTATATGCAGGGCACATGTTTGTTTTATTTTCTCTTTTTTTCCCTCAATTATTTTATGTTGGCTTTGAGGCTCAGGAGTCATAACACTATTGCGTGATTAATTTTGTGCCTCTATTATGATGGAGTTTTTGTGAAATTAACTGTGCTGTTTCCTTCCCAGTAATGTCCTCTGATGAATATTTTATTTCTCTCAATTGCTGTGTGGTCTGCCTTGCTTGATATTTTGAGGTACTTTTACAAATAACAAGAGCCTCTGCCCCTCAGAGTACTGTGCCTTTGTAGGCAATCCAGAAGTCAGCCAAGAAAGCTCTTCCCTTTAAGAGCACAGAACATGTCCAATTTTTGTGCCCACAGGAAAGCAACAAGATTTTCCTGACCTCCCAAAAGCCATCAATTAGAAATTACAACAGCATCAGCACAGAAAAGGGGACATAGTTGCATCTCGCCATCATGGAGATGTGTTACCAGGCCAGTCGAGTCCCATGTTTATCTGAGACTACAGAGAATTCCTTGGGTTTCCTATTTATTCTCCCCTGAGCACAGTGATGGCTCTTGAATATTCGATACAGACTCCCTCCTGGCAGCTCCAAGCCTTATGCAGCTGCCTGTTTTTCTAAGGAGGGCATAAGTTCAGGAACAAGAAAAAAAACATGCTGAAGGAGTGACAGGTGCAGGTGCAAGTCAAGAGAAAGGGAAAAAATGGAGCAGCTACTGATTGCCAGACACTGTGCTCGGTGCTTTAAAAATATTACCTCCTTAATTGTCACAATCACCTGGTAATGGGGTTATGATCTCCAATCTACATATAAGACCTCTGGAGCTCAGAGAGGTTAAGTAACTTGTCTAAGGAGCCTGGTGTCCAGCATTCAAATATTTGTTAAGTCAATCATGAATGAATAAATGTTATACAGCCAATGCAAGGAGTGAATGAAGAGAGCCCCTTTTAACTCTGTTTTATAGGAATAAATATTCTCTGTGGCAGTGGGAAGACCTAGCAGACTGGGCATGGGAGCTTATGAAGCAAAGTAGTTTGAATGAATTGCTGGCAAGATAAGGACAGTGATGTGTCTCTGTTTTCCCAGTGTGCACTCTGTAGTCTGTAGTTTTTGTACTGTAGTCTTTGTACGAAGTCCTGAGTGATGGCTCTGGCCATTCCATGTCCCACTCCATCCTTGATTTGCCAGAGTCATCAAGAGGTCCCCAGCGTTAGCTGAGCTACTTGATGTGATCTCGTTGTACATAATCCTGCGTATGGCAACTAAGAACTGGAAACAACCATCAAAGTCCTAAAAATTTTCTGCCTTTTGGGGCACTTGGAAGTAAGGTAAAGAATGAAGCACTTTGGGGTTAGACAACAAACATGATTTTCACATGTAAGTGACATGGGCTGTGCCCTGCAATCCTGCTCATGAACTTATGTCTTTCTTCAGGCCCTGTTTCTACTAAATCTTGTGATTTTCCAGATTTCACTGAGAGCAGATTTTATACCCCCTTTGAAATAATTTGGTTTCTGCATTCAAAACTTCTGTTATTGTGATGGTCTGGAGGGCAAGCTGCAGAAAATGCTTTCTTCCCCATGAATTAAATGCTCTTAGGCAAAAGGAAAGAGGGTGTGAGATTGTCGTGCCTGCCTGAAAGCAGGCAGGTATCTCCAGCATCCATATCAAAGCCTTCAGTGCTCATGGTGACATTAATAATAAATGACGAATTTCTTGCAGGCTTTCAATTCAGCAACATTGCTTTTCCTGTGGTTAGGTCAGTTCCAGTATGTTTGGCTCTAGTATTTCAGAAGTCTCCTGACAAACAAATGCAAAAAGAATTAGCAGCGTGCAATGATTTTGCTTTGCTCACCATAAACAGCCTTTTAGCTTAAAAAGAAATAAAGGTACAGTTTTTCAAGTGAATCTTGGTTATTAAAGCTTCTCTGAGGATTACTAATCTAAGTAACTGCTAGCGTGGTCTTGAGTTCTCTTTTCTGATATTGATGGGCCAATTAGATGGAACTAGGTGACAGAAATTGGGCTAGTTACCCAAGGTGGTACTAGAAACAGTGTTGGTGGGCTTCACCTCTCTGCCATAGCAGAGGGCAGTTGGAAAACAAAACAAAACTTCCACTAATTTCTCTCCATCCCCACTGGACCTGCCAAACCACCACTCTTAACTCTCAAATGACCACGCAGAAATCTCACTGCTCTTTATGCTTCCCCTTTCTGCTCCAATTTAGAAAGCCATGGTGCACTTTTGAAACAAATGCTATCTTAAGCAATTGATTCCGTGGTTGAAACCTTCCAATGACTTTCTATTGCACTTTGTATAAAATCCAAAATCCTACCATGGCTCCTAAGGGGCCCAGCAGTGTCCCTGGTCTCATGTCTGTGGCTCTGTTGCTCCATTACTTACTGTTATCTAGCCATGCTGGACTTCCAGAAAACCCTGGGACTCAGCGGGCTCTTCCCTCACTGCTGCAGCCTCTGCACATGCTATCTCACACCTCTGCCTTCACTGTCTTCCTCTGTCTCTGTCTCACCTATATTTTCCCTTCAGGTCTCAGTTTAAAGTTGCATCCCCAGAAAGTCTCCCTGATTAAAATAAAAATATACATTCATACTTAGGACTTAAGATGAGGACTGTTTGCTAGTGTATATTTTACTTGAGATTTTTTTAAAGCCTGCCTTCCTTCTGGTTTATAAACTCAGTTGAGCAATAATCAAGGCTGTTTTATATACCACTATATCCTTAGCACCTAACAGAGTGCCTGACACTTAAGAGGTGTTATAAATATTTATTGAATGAATTAAAAAATGGCATCTTGTGCCCTCTATCAATTTTATTTACCTTTATTTTTAAAGCCACTGTATGGGATATCCAGTTTCAGCCCTCAGGTAAACGGGCACAGCTTTGCTGGGTGTTCATACTGCTCGATGGGCTTGCTGGCTGCTGCCCCACAGCTGAGCATGTATTTCGTGTCCTAACCCAGGTTTGGCCCTTGCAACCTGACCTCAGACCCGTTGTTCTAAATTGGATCTCTGATTGCCCTGCCTAGTAGTCTGAGCCTGTGCTCAAAGCCTGTTTTAATGAAAGCTTTCAAATCTTCAGTTTTAAAAATCTGTAGTATCCTGATAGGTCTCTCTGTAGAATAGCTGTCACTCTTTATATATAGCTCTAAGAGAGTCAGACCAAGCCTAATTCAACTTCTTGTCTTGGCTTGTATAACTTTGAAGGCTAAGTGGAAATATTTATAAATTAATCAGCATTGAAAATATAGTGGTTGTTGGAATTTACAAGAAGTCAGGCCTCTGGAATTTCCTGAAGCCATAGAACTTAAGAATGTAAAATAACATACTTTGGGAATAAAAGTATAAATAGAAGTCTGATGGATATACCAACTGTGCCTTCATCTAACATTTCCCTTACTGCTACTGTCATGTGAAGTCAAGAGTAAGCCCATTGTTTTATAGAGATATCATTCCAAATTCTGTGAAGACTTCTCATATATTTCATTATACCATGTTTTATTTTATTTTGATAAGAACACAGCATGAGATCTATCCTCAACAAATATATAAGTTGAGTTGACTATAGGTATAATGTTGTACAGCAGATGTCTAGGGCTTATTCATGTTGTTTCAGACTTTTTATCCATTGATTAGTGACTCTCCATTTTCTTCTATTCCTAGGCCTTTGTCACCAATAGTCTACTCTTTGATTCTATGAATTTGACCATTTGAGACACTTCATGTAAGTGAAATCATGCACGCTTGGTATTCTTGTGACTGGCTTATTTTACTTAGCGTAATATCCTCAAGGTTCATCCATATTGTTGCACATAGCAGAATTTCCTTCCTTTTCTAAGGTTGCATAGTGTTCCATTGTATGTATATACAACATTTTCTTCATCCATTCATTCATCAATGTTTTCATATCTTGCTTATTGTAAATTGTGTTACAGTGAATATGGGACTGTCAATATCTTCTCAAGATTCCTATTGCAATTATTCTGTAGAAATACCCAGAGGTGGGATTTGTGAAAATTTAAAACATCTTACCCTTGACTCTCCAGACTTCTTACTTGACGCTGACTCTCTAGAGGAGTGCAACTGCATTTATTCCCGAAGTGTCTCACAAATACTGTAGCATGTTTAATACCGATACCCATCAAATATACTGATTCTGTGGCAAAGAATTCATCAAAATCTCAATGCATCATAAGGAAAGGGACAATGATACAGAACATCTAAGAATTCTACTTCAATATCTTCTCCTTTAAAACAACAAAAAAACCAATCCTCAACCTCTCATTAATAAATGCTATGTCCCTGATAGGAAAAAAGACTTTCGGGGCTGGGTACGATGGCTCACGCCTGTAATCCCAGCACTTTGGGAGGCCGAGGCAGGCGAATCACTTGAGGTCACGAGTTTGAGACTAACCTGGCCAACATGGTTGAAACCCCATCTCTACTAAAAATACAAAAATTAGCCGGGCGTGGTGGCATACGCCTGTAGTACCAGCTACTCGAGAGGCTGGGGTGGGAGAATCACTTGAATCTGGGAGGTGGAGGTTGCAGTGAGCCAAGATTGAGCCATTGCACTTCAGCCTGGGCTACAGAGCAAGACTCTGTCTCAAAAAAAAAAAAAAAAAAAAAAAGTCAAAAGACTCTCTGGCTCTCCTGATGGCATTTTTTTTAATCACTGTAAACAAAATATCAGTGAAAGGTCGAGTCTGTCTATGCCTTCCCTCTTACCAATTTACAAAATAAACACTTACTGATTTGATCGTTAGAGTTTAAACTATTAAACTGAAGACATAAGCTCTTTGAACAAATATTGAAGGGAAGAGACTGATTAGAAATTCTCATGAGGCCAAAATTTGATACACTGATGATTACAGCTTCTCTTACGTGTCAGGGTCTTTGGAAGAAAATATGGCTCTAGATTTTCTGAAGATGCATCCAGCGTACACCAGCCAGCAGACTTTGGGCAATCGTTTCCTTGAGTGTTCTTCCAGTTTATTAAACAGTAAATCAGTTTTGAGTTTTGCTTTGTAAACTGAACTTTCCAAACAAGGGTATTGAAGTGATGCATAACTGAAGGCCTAAGTGTCCGTTCATTTTTGGGATTCAATAAGCATTATTTTGAAAACAAACCAACTTAATCAATGTTAGCCCTACCCAAAATGAGTTTACACTAAAATCAAATTCTTCTTTTTTTAAATCCACCTGAAAAAAATCAGTGCAGAGAATTATTAGGAAAAAATTAGTGCAGAGAATGAGTTTTTTTTTTTTTTTTTTTTTTTTCCCCACTGGGGTCAAGCTCTGAATGCATTGAGAATCTCAGGAAAGTGTAAGATGTAGTCTGGGCGGTGATTTCCTTCGGGGCTGAGGGTCATACTAAAAAGCAGGCTTGGTTGGAAAGGTTGATTGCATACAGTGTGATTGTAAGCTTTGTGCCTCACCCTCACTGGTTACAATGAAACCCCACTCAATGTTAACACATTTTCAAACTCTCTTTGCATCTGACATTTCACCATAAAAGCCCATTACTTTGGGAAAGTCATTTCTTGGTAGTCATTCTGGTTGAAATCGCCTCCCTCAAAAAATCACAAACAGGATATGTAGGGACTGGTGAGACTAAGGTACAGAAACTGGAATAGGAGAAAGGGAGACAAAAAACTAGAGCTGTATCAACCCTATTTGGGCTAAGAGAGTGGGAAGGAGCAAAGGACTATGCCAGTGAGTCAAAGGACCCTGAGGGGTGGGCTGGAAGATGAGAGTGCACCATCCACAAGTCCTGCCTCTTTCCTGGCTTCATTTATACCAAAAACATCTATCTGGGTAAGGCAGAAAATTAATGACACCTTTGGTCCCCTAAATACGCTCTAGACAACCGACTATGTCAGAAGAAAACACAGAGAAGAGAGGTTACCTAAATGAAGGGTAACTGAATTTTTCATTTGGTATAGAGCTTTATACACAATTTTACCAAACATTTAATGTGAAATTTACTGTGTAAAATAGCAGTTTCTATTGAGGCCAAGGCAGACATTTTCTGGCCACATGTGTATAACTTTCAAAGGACCGTGAGAGACACAGAGAGAAGAGGGAAGAGACACAGTTAGACAGTGAGAGCAAAGGCCTACCTGTAGCTTTCTCTGAACCAGACAGAGAGTGGACAATTTGGAAAGAAAATGCAGAGCCAGGAGTAAAGACAAAAAGTGAAGTTTTATGAGTTTCCCTCTTTCTCTTGCTCTTCTTCCTTTTACTTCTGTGAATATTTGCAGAAAATTACAGTCCTGTTCTACGTTTTGAGAGAGGATGTAGATCTCCCAACTCTGAACTTGTCACAGCCGCCATTTCCCACTGCCAACCACCTATGGATTTCCTATAAGCAGAGTTCATTCATTGTGAAAATTAGATAATTGAAACAATCTATCTGCTTCAGGCTGCTGGCTTCAGGGGTGACACTCACCCGTTGCCATGACAAATAATTTTCAGAGTGAGATTTTAGCCACCATAACTCACTGAACAATATGTTGTTGCCCTGTTCTGTTTATCAGGAAGAGAGGATTTTTTTTTTTCCAAAATGAAATTAATTAATTATTTTTATTGGCTCCTGGAGATGATAAAGCAACCTCCTGCCAATTCATCTTCCAGTCAGCCTCCTCCCTTTTGCACTATGATCCTCTCCCTTGCTCCAAAAGAAGACATGATAAAAGAGTGCAAGGCTGTCGATGGTGCTTGTCTGGGTTCATTCAGTCACGCCTTCCGGGTGGCAGAATATTGATTATGGTGTGAATCCTGAAGGGATTAAATCAGATCAGGAGAGAAATCCATACCTCCTGTTGCCTCACAAATTTGCATGCAGCACCCTCATCCAGGGGTTAATTACATTTCTGTATCTTTCTAATCAGAAAAGTCTTCAAAGGAGATGGGCACAGGCTTGGAATAATCTTCCTCTGAATTTCATAGGATTAAAAGCAGTCAGCAAAGCTAGGGCTGTGAAGCCGAGACCTCAGCTTCTGTTGATCTCTACCTAGTCTCTATGTCTGGAGGGTGTGTGGCCCATCAGGTGCACTCAAGAAATAATTGCTGAACAAATAAATGAATGCCTGAGTGAAATGACTGTCTCACTTCACTTTAGACACGTTGAATTCCAGTGTCCTCCCCTTTTTCCTTTTCATCAAAATCTGCTCTTACAATTCTGTTTCCATTTATGCATAAGTGCTTGAAAGCTTAAAGAAGCATTTCCCAAAGCGTGAGCACAAGCACTTCTAACCTGTTCCACGGAAAGAAGGTTGTATGTTCACATGAGTTTGGGAAATTGTGCATGCTAGATTCTATTCTTGGTGATTGAAATACTTACAGGAATACTAAAGGCTCTTCCTCTTGCAGATAAAAAAAATCTGGCTGACTCTGAGGAACTCAAAATTTCCTAAACTTTATTAATTCACTTCACTTAATTTTATTCAATAAACATTAATGAAACATCTACAATATGTCAGGAAATGGTCTAGGTACAGAGAGGGAACAGTCAGATAAGTCTCTGCCCTGTGGAATTTACATGCTAGTGGGAAAGACAGTGCACAGTAAATAAATAAAAATCTGATGTATCAAATCATGATTAGTACAATGGAGAAACACAGAGAAGGATAGGAACGTTCTGATGGGGAATCACCCTTTAAGAAAATTTTTGAGATAGGGTCTCACTCTGTCACGAGATTGGAGTGCAGTGGTGCAATCATGGCTCACTGCAACCTCAAACCCCTGGGCTCAAGCAACCCTCCCACTTCAGCCTCCCAAATGGCTGGGACTATGGATAAGTGCCACCACACCTAGCAGGAGTTGCCATTTTAAGTTGAGTGCTTAGTGGTTACTCTAAGGTGATGTTTGAGCAAAGACCTGAAGGAGGTGAGCAAAGGATCCCCTAGGGGAAAAGACATTCAGGTGAGGGAAGCAGCAAGTGCAAAGGCCCTGAGGAAGGGACATTTCTGGAGCATGTGAGGAAACCAAGATGGCCAGCACAGTTGGTAGATCCAGGATAGGGAGAAATATAGGAGAAAGGTCAGTGACGTGACAGTGGAGGGGGCTAGGTTGCATAAACTGTATTTAACTACAAAAGTGTTTTCCTTTTTCTTCAAGTATAATCTCTTAAAATGCTGACTGAGAAGTGCTGCCCTTGCTCTGAATCCTCTTTGTCCTCCTGCCCAGTAAATCACACAATTAAGAAAAGAAAGAAAAAAAACATAAGCAAGAACCTATTTCCTCATCTGTAAAAAGGGGAAATATAATATTATCTTCCTCTCAAAGTTATTTGAAGGATGAAATAAAATAAATTTTATATGATGACAGATATGTGGTTGCAGCTCAATAAATGTTAGATCTCTGCATCCTCTCTCCTTCTCACTTCATCTCCCACAAACCTCATTGTCAAGCTGCTGTCATCTATAAGCACCAAGTGCAGAATCAGGAAAGTCATAGCAGGCCGGGTGTGGTGGTTCACGCCTGTAATCTCAGCATTTTGGGTGACTGAGGCGAGCGGATGTCAGGAGTTTGGATCACGAGGTCATTATCACGAGGTCAGGAGTTTTACCAACGTGGTGAAACCCTGTCTGTACTAAAAATACAAAAAAATTAGCCAGGCATGGTGGCACGCACCTGTAATCCCAGATACTCAGGAGGCTGAGGCAGGAGAATCACTTCAACCCGGGAGGCGGAGGTGGCAGGGAGCCGAGATTGCGCCACTGCACTCCAGCCTGGCAACAGAGCGAGATTCTGTCTCAAAAAAAAAGTCATATCAGAGCAACCACTGAAGGTGGACAGAAACAAACCAAAACTGTAGTGCACAATATGCAGTAGATTTCACTAATTAAAGATGAGGAGAAAAAAGTTCCAATGCCAAAAGAATGAAGAAAAGAGTAGATGAACCAGCAGGGATCAGGCCTGTGGGCTGTGCACGCAGCACGGTGTTTCAGAACAAGATGCAGGGGAGCCACAGGGCACAGAGAGTGAGGATGACGCCTGGCATTTCCAGAGAGACTTCTTGGAATGGTGAAGGTCAGAGGTGTCTGAGGGATTCATGGGAAGAAGACTGGGCATTTTTGACATCTCATGTTGAACAGTATTAAATGCCCTGGCTGAAAATGTGGGTATATATAGATTCTGACAGCAAAAGACTGGCAACCTCAGGTAAAATTAGAGTTTCTGTTTACTCATATCATAATGAATACATTATAAGACTCTGTCAATCTGATAGTTATGAAAATGTACCTCATTGATATTTTATGCGATATCTCCCCAATTAATGTCATTGAGCATCTTGTCATGTTTGTTGGAAATTGGTGTTTAATTCATTGACATTTATCGAGGTTACTTATATGCCTGCTCTTATTTCTTTCATGTAGTGCTTCCATTTTATTTCACTCTTGCTCTATTGATAATTATTTTTAGTGTTGCCAGTCTTATGGTATTACAAGCAATATTTCAATGAATAATCTCCCATCCATGTCATCACGTCCATGTTTGGGAATATTTGTTAGGTAAATCCCTAGAAGCAAATAACTGGAGCCAAAGTATGTGTATTTATAATATTTTTTAGGAAATGTATTTTATTCTGTAGTAGGCAATAGAAGAACATATTATATATTTTTAAAAGGATCAAAGGGTTAAATTGTGAAAATTAAGTCTTAAGTCAACCTCTTCTCACCTAGCCACCCGTAAATATTGCTACCAGCTTGTAAGAAATCCCTCAGAAATATTCCATGCATATATAAGCAACTGTGTACACTCAAGAATTTATTTCATCTTGGTGGATTTGTGTTTTCTTCTGCATTGTAGTTTATAGCAAAGCTATATAGCTCTTGCCAGGACACTAAATAAAGCAGAGACACTAGGCTTTGATGTGAATGTTTCTGATAGGAACATAATTCCTTGTTATCTTGTCATTTAGTATTAACCATTCACTGTCATCATGATGCATGTCACCAATAAAGTGATTGTTTCTTTAATTTCAGTGTGCCTAACACTTTACTCTGGAGGAAAAGCTGGCTGTCAAGATGAGGCCGTGGCCACACATTTTTTAACTTGCTTCAATCTGGATTGCTTACTTGCTGTATTTGGTACACTAAGTTATTCTGGGATCCTTTGTTGCCACCATTTTGGGAATTTTCTGTGCTTCTTACTTTCCTTCCTCATTTTCATGAAAACTTCTTGTAGTTTTCAGAGAAAGGTGTGTATAGGAGATAAACAACTTGAGATCTTCTTAGTTACAACATAGTTTCAATTTATTTTTATTCTTGATTGATAGTTTAGCTGGGTATTAAATTCTACCCTGGTGACTGTTTTTCTTCAGACTTTTGAAAGCATTAATACAGCTTCCAGTATCACTTTTGAGAACTCAGAAGACACTTGTCTTTGTTTCCTTTTATCTTGAAGTGTTTAAAATCTTTCTAATATCTCCAATAAGCTAAATTATCACAATGTTATGCCTTGGTTTATTACTCATTTGCTGGGTTTTTGTGAGACTTTTATTTTCTTTTTTTCTTGAGACAGAGTCTCACTCTGTTGCCAAGGCTGGAGTGCAGTGGCTTGATCTCAGCTCACTGCAACTTCCACCTCCTGGGTTCAAGTGATTCTCATGCCTCAGCCTCTGGTGTAGCTAGGATTACAGGTGGGCACCATCACACTCAGCTAATTTTTTCTATTTGCAGTAGAGGGTTTTGCCATGTTGGTCAGGCTGGTCTTGAACTCCTGGCCTCAAGTGATCCGCCCACCTCAGCCTCCCAAAGTGCTGGAATTATAGGCATGAGCCACTGCACTGGACCTTGTGAGACTTTTCAATATGAAAACTGTCTTTTAATTTGGGGAATTTTTTTGAACTAGTTTATTCATGATTCCTTCTTGTCTATTTTCTTTATTTTCTCTTTCAGGAATGGTTATAACTTAAATTTGTTTTTCTGGATTGAATCTTCCGTTTTCTAATCTCTTGTTTCTTAGTTTTATGTTAGTACTCTATTTTCTGGAAATTTCTTCAAGTTTATATTTCATCTCTCTATAAGTTTTGATTTCTGCCACCATACTTTTGATTTCTAAGAGTTGCTCTAATTTGTGTTCTGAATTTTCTCTTTTAGAACATCTTATTCTTGCTTCATTTGCTTTAGAATTAACCATCACACTCTTTTTTATCCTCTTTATAGAAAAAATGATCTCCAGATTTCTACTTGGTTTGTGAGGGGCCATAATTGAATGACGTAGAGTTGGAGATGATATTTAGAGACATGATTACTTTTTGACTTGATTCTTCCTCATTTTAAGTGCCCCCCTTTACTGCTAACTTCATAAATATCTGACGCTGTCAGTTCCTGTGACTTTTGAGGATTATCTGGTATAAATTAGGCTGATTCTTTACTTTCTTCACTGTAGACTCAGAACTTTGTTGTCTTTAATTAATTTTCTTTCCAGTTTCCAAAATATTTTTGCTTTTGCTAATTTTTTTATTCTCATTCTCTTTGTGGTTACATATCTTTTTATCCTTTTGTTTTAAATTTAGAGTTGTTTTAAGAAGGTGTTATGACTGAATGTTTGTCTTGCCTAAATTCACATGTTGAAGTTCTAACCTCCAATGTGATGGTATTTGGAGGTGGGAACGTTGGGAGGTAATTAGTTTTGGACAAGGTCATTAGGATGAGGTCCCAATGATAGAATTATAAAGTCCTTATTAAAAAAGGAAGAAAAACCAGGCCTCACTGTTTTCATGTGAGCATACAGTGTAAAGACTGCTATCTGTAAGCCAGGAACAGGTCCTCACTACTTACTAAATTTCTAGCACCTTGATCTTGGACTTCCCAGTCTCATAGTCTACCCAGGACTGTGATGAATGAATGGCCACCCAGTCTATGGAATTTTGTTATAGCAGCCTGAGCTGACTAATACAAAGGATGTAAAATTAGATTTGTATTTTTAATCCATCATCTTAACCTGGAACCTCCTTGACATCTTGGTTTTTGGGGGGAGAGCGGGAATTGAGGAAAGTCCAGAGCATAAGATACTGCTGAAAGGAGAACACTAAAATATGTTTAGGGTAGGTGCACCTGGGGAGTCCAGGGGAAGCATGAAGACCCTTGTTATCTTTTTTTTTTTTTTTTTTTTTTTTTTTTTTTTTTTTTTTTTTTTTTTTGAGATGGAGTCTCACTCTGTCGCCCAGGCTGGAGTGCAGTGGCGCGATCTCGGCTCACTGCAAGCTCAGCCTCCCGGGTTCACGCCATTCTCCTGCCTCAGCCTCCCGAGTAGCTGGGACTACAGGTGCCCGCCACCGCGCCCGGCTAATTTTTTTTGTATTTTTATTAGAGACGGGGTTTCACTGTGTTAGTCAGGATGATCTCGATCTCCTAACCTCCTGATCCGCCCACCTCAGCCTCCCAAAGTGCTGGGATGACAGGCGTGAGCCACCGCGCCCGGCCGACCCTTGTTATCTTTCAGGGATGAGAAAGAGCAACGGGACTCATTGAGGGTAAGCATCACCTGCTTCAGCCTTTGATTTCTTAGCATTCCAGAGCCAAGGTATGGCTTCACGACATTCAGAAAAGTGAGGGAGACAGGATGTTTTCTGCTGTGGAGATGCATCAAAGAAGACTCCATTGCCAGTTTTAAGAGTGGCTAAATTTAAAACGGGGTGTATTCTGTGTAGGCGTGTGCTGGTAATGAATGTCTCAGCATGTAATTGCACAGTTCCTTGTGGCATATTTTTAAGTACTGTATTTGCAGATGACCTTTTACAGAGGTAAATTGCATATAAGGGGCTGTAAGTGCCACATTTAATAATGCTTCAGGGACATTAGGAAGAAAGTAACAGTTATTATTCGCCAATAGCCTGCCATTATTAACTTACAGGCAGGTTACTGAGCAGTGACCAACACTCAGCAACAGATGTCTCCTTCTCCAGCTTTAAGAACTGATCACAACTAGCCAAGGCATATGCAAGATGTTAAGGGAAAAAAGTAGAAAAAATAAGATAGGAAAAGAAAAATGTCTGGACTAGGAAAATCTAAATGACTCACCTTAAAAACGTATACTGATAAATGTTTCACTTTTACAAAGGCACAACAATCTTTGAACTGGCCTGAGGTGTAGGGAATCCTAGGTCTGTACCTGAGTTGGTTCATTTCCAGTTTTCTCCATTACACACACTGAGGGTCATTTTTCTGAAGATTTCCTGTTTAGCCCATCTCATATACAGTAACTAAATTAAAACATCACTGTCATTACTAGTGAAAAACTTTGAAGTGGCTTTTTTTTTCTATCTAGAGAATTAAGTGAAAATTCTTTGATCTCATCATCAAGACCCCATAGTGTGAACTTTGCAAGACGACACCCCCGACTCCCCACTCCTTACTTCTAGGGGTTTCTGTTTAGGGCAGATTGCTCTCCTTTTTGTCTTTTAATGTAATATGTTCATTCCCAATTTCCTACTTTTGTTGTAATATTCTGACCTTCCTTCTGAATTATTCTACCCCAGGCATCAACAAACTTCTGTAAAGGGTCAGATAATAAGCATTTTCAGCTTTGTGGGCTACATGCTCTCTGTTGCAACTATTAGATTCTATTCTGCTGTTGTATGAAAGCAGCATAGATAACATGCAAACAAAGGGGTGGGGCCGGATTAGATTTTTAGTTCTTGTAGTTTACTGACCTCTGCTTTAGCCTCCTGAATCTTGCTATTCTTGCCATGAAAATCCCAAACTCCATGAACTCCATGAGACCATCCCAACACATCCTCTTGTCAGGTCCCTGAATGTGCCAAGACTTCCACATCATTGCCTTGAGAGTTGCTGCCCAGTCTCAGTCTGGCTAGTGTGCTTCTCTGACTTTCTTTTAAGGGGTTTCTTTTTCTCAGTTTCCTGGTCTTATGTCGGAAGCTGAACCACTACTGGAACTGAGGGTTCCTTTGTTTGTTTCTCTCTTGTTATCTTTCCTATAGTATTTTCTTTACCCTATCATGATACTTAAATATATCACACTAGATCAAATCAAAGACAGTTTAAGAGCTTGGGTCACTACCATCCCAAGTCCATTATTATTAGTTCTCAGTTCAGCATTCTTTCCTCACTTACATCAGACCCAGAGAGACACAGAAATAGAATCTCCTTGGGGTTGCCAAAGATTGGCACAGAGATCAAGTCAGAGATGGAGGTGGGGAAAAATTTAGGTAAAGATTTCTCTCTTCCTTTCATCATCTTTCAATTAAACACCACCAACAATAAAACAAATATGAAGTACACAAGAAAATCCTCGCTAATCTATTTTTGAAAGAATGCTTTTCTTCTATGCTTTCTCCTGCCACCTGAGAGATAAAATGATTGAATTAATGAATCAGTATAGACCAATAGTAATCATGGATGTGTTTAGTCAGATCTGGCTTCTTTGCAATTCTGGGTTTCTAATAAAATATTCAGGCTTATTTTCCCATTCTGAGTTCTCAAATTTTTATGTGACATCTTGAGTATTTGGACTCAGGTAGTAACAAATGTTATGTTTGCTGGGTGAGATGTTCAATGTGAGTAGTCATGGCCGGGAAAACCTTACGGTTCCATTTTTCCTGTTAGCAAGCTCTCCAGATATTCTATGAGAACTTACAGAAAGTAAATTTCAATAGAGACATCCACACCCACGAGGTTTAAAAACATGAAGCATAAACATATGAGAGTCAATATGATTTATTCTTCACTTTAGCTATTAGATAAAATGTGAATATGAAATTAGCAAATTAAATTAGATTGATATCTCATCTGGTTAGTAACATCATATTAATAGTTCAGTTAAGACCATTAATTATTTTTATACCCCATATGACTAGTTCTTGTTTATAAGATGGCCTCTAAGGAAAGGAAATGCAGAGCCATCCATTACCAGCAGGCAGAGAGTGTGTGACTTTTTAAGCACCCAGTGGTGTCTGTGGGCCACATGAACACTTGATTAGGAGTTCAGGTCATCATTAAAGTCACAGAGACAGGATGTGCTGTACAAGAAGGACAGCTGTTATCGTAATAGTTAGAACAAGGCACAAGAATCCCTCATCTGACATCCTCCTGGGTGTTTTCTATCACAACTCCCACCTGCTGCCTCACTTCTTATCATATCATTACTTAGAAAAATGATTGTAATGTGACTTGAGGTGAAGCCTTTTGAATTTTCATTAAAATAAAAAAAATCATTATAAAAGAAAAAAACACATTGTATATTCAGTGACACCTCTCTCACTTTTTCTTGAAAAGGACATGAATAATTTGGGAAAAATAAATTCATTATGTCATACTGGGATTTCCATATTAAATTATATTGTTTTGAAACCATATGGAACTGCCATTTAGACAGTCAAAAAGAGTTGAAAATTAGCAATTTCATATGGTTCAACTTAATAAGAGCTGTTACTCATTGATCATTGTTTGTGTCAGAAAATCTATGAAAAAATCCTTATTTCCTTATTAATCTTCATAATCATCACAAGTAGTGATAGTAAATCTCCATCAGTTCCCATCTTCCTACCTTTGCCAAAGCCGCCCCACATGGACCTTCTTAGGCAAATGAAGTTTCAAGATCTGTCCTCCATCCCATTCCCCGCCCTGCACTTCCTACCCTAGCCCACACTTAGAATTGCCTCTCCTAAACTCTATTTTATGGAAATATTTGTGATGGTACTGCCTAAGACACAGGCGTTGTTATCGCACACGCTTAACAGATTGGGAAATGGAGGCTTAGGGAATCAGGAAGGAAGACAATTGGAGCAGCAATTAGGTAGGATTTGAACCCAGGTCATCTTGGCTTAAAATTCTGAGCTTCTTCAACAATTGCCATAGTATCTCTATGCTTGATGACTCAATCACCTGATATAAAGCACTGCGAAGGTGACCTAACACATTTGGGCCAAATTGCTAGAATTAACCTTATTCATATAGTCATGACAGATCAATAGAAATATTACTTTGTCCTTGTCCTTATGTAATGTCAAAGATCGATGAAACCTCAGAAATGACCTGATGGTTCAGTGTCCCTAGGGGAATTTGCTACAAGTGAAATATTCCGGACCCCTTCTCCAAAGATTCCAAATCTAAGTCAGGGATAAGTCCACAAAGATTTACTTTTCTATAACCACCTCAGGTGAGCCCAGTGAGAAACTTCAGGAAAATCTTGGATAAATGTTAACCTAGTCCAGTTGCCTTATTTTATTTATTTTTAAAAAATCTTTTTCACTTAATATTTTTTTCTTCAGGTCAGATGGGTAATGTGCCCATTCGAGGGTGGCACATCTCACACACGTGCATGAACACCCGATCATCTATGCTCATGAAGTACAAAAGGATTGATTGCCTTATTTTATAGATGAAGAAAGTCACTTGAGATGTGAAGCTATTTAACTTACTGCTCTGTTGGTACCATTGGTACTAGGACTAAATTTAGGTCTCTGAACTCATAATCAAGTGGACTGATTCCTAAACTTTAACCACAGACCCCAGAAATGCAGGTGTGTGGTAAGCGTTATTAAAGGTTAAATAAATAACATGAGTCACACACACAGTATTTATCAACAAGCACAGCGATGGCCTTTTGATTGAAAGTGGATCTGTTATTAGGCCTCCACTTGCCAGCTAGCCTAGCTCAGCTGGGGACACCAGAAGTCAGTTCAGGCCTAAAAGTAATCAAACTGAAGACTGGTTGAAACTTCTAATGAAATCTTCAAACAGAACCTTCCCCAGAAGTCTAGTCTAGTTGTTCCAAACCAGACTAGTCTGGGTTGGAAATACCAACTTCAGGTTTTTAGAGTAAACATGTAAACAATGTCCTCTGTAGAAATGGACCTAAAAGAAGCCTGATCTTTGGACCTCCTAAGGGATGCTATGTGTTTGGACAAGGTCTTGGATTTATCCAATCAAATGCTTACTTGAGTGGTTTTGTAGTAATTCCTTGTATGTGGTGAAAAGGCGGAGTGAACAAGAATCTCCAGATCAGAGATATGGGGAGGGGACAGGAGAGTATAATGAATTCCCTCCTAATACACACTAGTACCATGTGGATGGCAGCTGTGAGCTCCTTGCACTTGGTGAAATGGTCACCTGGTGTGTGATGCAGTACCTGCACCTCCATGCAAGACCGTAGACGTGGGGAGCCTCTACTTCCATCTGGGAGCATGCTATATTGCCTCTGTCAATAACTATCTCTATAAATTTTAAAGTTTCGGTTCAGATATAACTTTTGCATCCTTTATCTGTGGCTGTTGGTGTCTTTCCATCAATCATGTCCCATGGCCCTGTTGTGATAACCATGCACCCACAGTCCTCAGTTCATGTAAGCATACACAATGAATAGTAATGAAGATGATGCTCTGGACATGCCACTTCTATTTCTGCAAGTCTCTATAAATCCAAGTCAAGGTCCTAAGGTGCCTGCAGGTGCCCCACAGAATTCTCTTCTGAAGCCAGTTCTTCAGCCTCCATATCTATTTAGTCTTTGTTTCATCCTTCTCTGCCCTCTTGATGTTGTTAGTCTATTTAACAGGCATCTATTATTTAGGCATCTAAGCCTCCATTCCATCTGGAAAGCTGTCTACGCTTTTGTGAAGACCTGGATGATCCCTGTCCACTGCCCACAGTCAAGGGTGAGGGGCGGCTCAGCAGGCATATCCCTGCTCTTACCTGCTGCCTCCCTTCCCTGCTTGTTGGTTGATTGTGCTCAGTGCCCATCGAGGTAGGGCTTCAGCATGCCCTGATGTCCGCAATTCTCTCTCAACCAAGACTTCAGCACAACACAAGGAGTGTTTTGTTTTGTTTTTTGTTTGTTTGTTTTTGAGATGGAGTTTTGCTCTTGATGCCTAGGCTGGAGTGCTATGGCATGATCTCAGCTTATTGCAACTTTTGCCTCCCAGGTTCAAGCAATTCTCCTGCCTCAGCCTCCTGAGTAGCTGGGATTACAGGTGCCTGCCACCACGCCTGGCTAATTTTTTGTATTTTTAGTAGAAATGGGGTTTCACCATGTTGGCCAGGCTGGTCTCGAGTTCTTGATCTCAGGTGATCCACCCGCTTCAGCCTCCCAAAGTGCTGGGATTGCAGGCATGAGCCACCACGCTCGGCCAGCACGAGGAGTTTTGAGGTATATTTAAAACCAGAAAGAACTAATACAGGTGCTCACAGAATCAACTGTAACATGATTTTATCTAAAAATCTGCCCTTTTCAATTCCAACATTTGATTTTCGGGCAAATCAGTTATTTCTTACGAAATTAAAAACTGAATTCTCATAGGATTTCAGAAATGACTCTGATTTCAAAGTGCAAACTGCTTGAAAGCCTGAACTAACCACTTAACATGAACTACATCCCAAAACTCTAATTCAGAAATATTATGTTATCTCCTTTGTAAAAATCTTCCTGTGGTGTGGTACTTAGCACTGGGGTCACTTCTGACCACCAATATGGAGAAATGAAACATTTTTTATGTGATTATCTTCTTTTACTCATCCTTGCTCTTAAACGCTGTTTCTCTTTGATGCCCTATGTTTATTTTAGATCATTTTCCAAGTCTTTTAATGTTTTCTAATCCTGCCCCTGCCCTCCTTATGTGACTATCTAAAACTAAGCAAAACAAAGCCCACCTAATTCATATTAAAATGTATTGCAGACCAATGACTTACCCATATATCAAGGAATTATTATAGAATAAAATATATAAACATAAAGAACTCAGATCAGATAGTCTTGGATGGATTATAAGGCATTATTTTGATTTTATGTGGCCTGACATGATTATTGTGAGCACTAATGATCATTTTTCTAATATTGGGTGACAACATGATTACTTGGTTTTGTTGTATGCATCGTAAACAGATCCTTTAAAAAGCAAAACCTTGCACTGACAAAGTGAATTAGACAGTTTGTAAGTATGAAAATAAAGAAACATTTATATAGCTTAAAATATCCCTAGTAAAGAGCCTATTTCTGAGAGAAGGGTAAAAATTTTTGAGAACAGAATTCTTTGAAAAACATAATCGTGCTAGGGAGGAAAGATGCCAGATTCTCTGGAATTTTTGAACTCAGATATAAACTGACTGATCTAAATATAGGGAGTTACTTTGTAAATTGAAAACGCATTAGGACATTTTACCCCCACTCCCATGGGAATGCCTTGTCTGGAATAGATGTGCATAGGGCCATATTTTGTTTGGTTTGAAAGGAGCGTGAAGATTGAAGGGCATTTTGGTCCTGCTTTGATTATTGTAATGCCAACACACTTTTGTTTGATGCAAGCCTGGTGACTCCTGGCGAGAAGGGAATTATGCTTGTGGAACGAGAGATTTTCTGGATGAAGAAAAGAACACGACAGTCTCAGTTTTCTGTCACATTCTGAATTAAATGTAAAAATACATGTTTGTCCTTCCTAGAATGCTGCATCAACTCTAGGTGATTTAGATACAGTTTAGAGAAGACCCTTCAAATGCCAATGACCTTCCAGAATGCATTACATCTTAATTTAGAGTAACACTAGCAGACATGGAGAAAAATTAGTTGGGTTTACAAAATAGCCAAACCAGGTTACTGGGATCCTGAGGGGCAACAAAAAGCCCTGGCTTTGCCTTCATCTTAGTTTACACAACACATTCCAGTTTCATGGATCTATAAATACCATTTGACTTTCTCAAATAATAAATTAGCGGCTCCCAAGAGGAAATGAAAATAAAAAAAGTCAAGTGATTCTTTTGCCTCAGCCTCCTGAGTAGCTGGGATTACAGGCATATGCCACCACACCGGGCTAATTTTGTATTTTTAGTAGAGATGGGGTTTCTCCATGTTGGACAGGCTGGCCTCGAACTCCTGACCTCGGGTGATCCACCCGTCTCAGCCTCCCAAAGTGATGGGATTACAGGTATGAGTCACTGCGCTTAGCCTGAAAATTAAAAGATTTTGAAGCTTCTCATGGAGAAAGAATTATAAAAGTTCAAAGCTAGAAGGGGAAAAAAGAAACAATACATCGATTAGATGCAACTAGCACAGATCAGAACCAATTCTTGTTTAATTCTCCCACCACCCTCCAGCTTCATGTTGCTATCCTCCTCTGGCCAATGAACCTGAAGGTCAGAGTAGATTTCCAAAAGTTGCAGAGCTATTAAGCATTCCAGACGACCCTTCATTTTCTACTACCTCTATCTGATAGGACACAGAATTAAGAGAAACTCCCAGGGCAGGGTCAAATATTTCCACCAGGACTGCCGAGAGCCTTGGTTTCCTCTAAAACAAATACACTGGCTTTTCACAGCCAAACAGACCTTGTATTCAGGGCTAAGAGATGAGTTCTAAGTATCTGTGTGGTCCCAAGCATACCGTTTTCTGGGTGGCCCACTCAACATGACAGAGCCTCCAGTGAAGTTTCTCTCCTTTAATTAATTTCATTAGTTTTGTCTGGTAGTCTAGTTCTACCCTGTGGACTATTTATGGGGTCCTGGTTCCTGTCTAACTCTTTCCCCTATCTCATCCCCCAGGGACCCAGGGCCTTTGCTTTGCTAATTCTCAACCACCCCCACATTTCCACTGAAGAGCTCAGAATATCTTGAGCCCTTGTCTGAGAACCTCAAATATCTGAATGTCTTCTCCTCCAATCTCTGTCATTTAGTCCACTATGCCTGAAAACTTCTTAATTCCTTTCAGAAAGTAAGACCATGCATGTTTGAAGACTCTGACCTTTAGAAATTGCATCCTTATATCAAACCCAAATCCTTCTTCCTGTGGCTATTACCTAAGTCGTCCTGGTTCTTAAATTGACTTTTTTTTTCTTTTTCTGAAGGCTCACAGCAAGTAGGTGACCAAGTTAAGCGCCATTTCTTACAGCAAATGAAAAATATCTGGAATTGATTCAAGTTCCTAGGCTCAAGATGACATTCATTCATTTATGCAAAATACATTTTTTTGAGTGACTAATAGTACCCACTGTCCACATCAGTGGGCAAAAGCCATGAGAAATAAGTCTGATCTCTCTTCCCTAGGAAAAAACCTTTAAATCGTCAAAGAAGACAGTTATCTTTCGACCACTGAGTCATCTCCAGGCTTACAGGCTTCATGTATCTAGTTCTTTCTGTCTGTGGTATGACCTCTTCTTTTAGAGGAGGTCTCATTAGAATATAAGTACCAAAAAGCTATGGACTACATTGTGTTCCTCTTTACATACACTGTGGCTAGCAAATTGTTAATGCTTAATACGTAGCTTTAAAAATAATATGAATACATCATGATTATTTCTGGAACTCTTCTAATCTGAGCTGAAATTTGAACTGAGTCTCTTTTAGCTAGAATTTACAAACTTACTTCCTGAATGAAATGGAATCAGTGAAATAGAAATCATTTTACATTGAAAGGGAAAAGATTGATCATAACGTGATGTTTTAAGCAAACAACAACAAAATTAGAACATAAATGGTCTAATCAGGTCAGAAGTAGGCATTACAAGAAAAAGTAAGCTTACAACTGCAGGCAAATCAGAGATTCTGGAACACATAGGTATTAGGCTGATTTTGCATTGCTATAAAGAAATACCTGAGCCTGGGTAATTTATAAGAAAAGAGGTTTAATTGGCCCACAGTTTTGCAGGCTTTACAAGAAGCATGGCACTGGCATCTGCTCAGCTTCTAGGGAGGCCTCAGGAAGCTTACAATCATGGCAGAAGGTGAAGGGGGAGCAGGCACCTCATACGGCGAAAGCAGGAGCAAGAGAGAGAAGTGGGGGCGTGCCACACACTGTCACATGACCAGGTCTCACGAGAACTCACTATTGTGAGGACAGCACCAAGGGGATGGCGTTAAACTATTCGTAAGAAATTAACTCCCACGATCCAATCACCTGCCACCGGGCCCCACCTCCAATACTGGGGATGACAATTCAACATGAGATTTGGGTAGGAACCAATACACAAACTGTATCAATATCTAAAATAATCAATGAATCCAGGAGCTGGTTTTTTGAAAAGATCAACAAAATTGGTAGACTGCTACCAAGACTAATAAAGAAGAAAAGAGAGAAGAATCAAATAGACGCAATAAAAAATGATAAAGGGGATATCATCACCCATCCCACAGAAATACAAAGTACCATCAGAGAATACTATAAACACCTCTAGGCAAATAAACTAGAAAATCTGGAAGAAATGAATAAATTCCTCAACACATACACCCTCCCAAGACTAAACCAGGAAGAAGTTGAATCTCTGAATAGACCAACAACAGGCTCTGAAATTGAGGCCATAATTAATAGCCTACCAACCAAAAAAAGTCCAGGACCAGATGGATTCACAACCAAATTCTACCAGAGGTACAAGGAGGAGCTGGTACCATTCCTTCTGAAACTATTCCAATCAATACAAAAAGAGGGAATCCTCCCTAACTCATTTTATGAGGCCAGCCTCATCCTGATGCCAAAGCCTGGCAGAGACACAACAAAAAGAATTTTAGACCAATATCCCTGATGAACATTGATGCAAAAATCCTCAATAAAATACTGGCAAACCGAATCCAGCAGCACATCAAAAAGCTTATCCACCATGATCAAGTAGGCTTCATCCCTGGGATGCAAGGCTGCTTCAACATACGAAAATCAATAAATGTAATCCAGCATATAAATAGAACCAACAACAAAAACCACATGATTATCTCAATAGATGCAGAAAAGGCCTTTGGCAAAATTCAACAGCCCTTCATGCTAAAAACTCTCAATAAATTAGGTATTGATGGGATATATCTCAAAATAATAAGAGCTATCTATGACAAACCCACAGCCAATGTCATACTGAGTGGGCAAAAACTGGAAGCATTCCCTTTAAAAACTGGCACAAGACAGGGATGCCCTCTCTCACCACTCCTATTCAACATAGTGTTGGAAGTTCTGGCCAGGGCAATTAGGCAGGAGAAGGAAATAAAGGGTATTCAATTAGGAAAAGAGGAAGTCAAATTGTCCCTGTTTGCAGATGACATGATTGTATATCTAGAAAATCCCATCGTCTCAGCCCAAAATCTCCTTAAGCTGATAAGCAACTTCAGCAAAGTCTCAGGACACAAAATCAATGTACAAAAATTACAAGCATTCTTATACACCAATAACAGACAAACAGAGAGCCAAATCATGAGTGAACTCCCATTCATAATTGCTTCAAACAGAATAAAATACTTAGGAATCCAACTTACAAGGGACGGGAAGGACCTCTTCAAGGAGCACTACAAACCACTGCTCAATGAAATAAAAGAGGGTACAAACAAATGGAAGAACATTCCATGCTCATGGGTAGGAAGAATCAATAGCGTGAAAATGACCATACTGCCCAAGGTAATTTATAGATTCAATGCCATCCCCATCAAGTTACCAAGGACTTTCTTCACAGAATTGGAAAAAACTACTTTGAAGTTCATATGGAACCAAAAAAGAGCCCACATTGCCAAGTCAATCCAAAGCCAAAAGAACAAAGCTGGAGGCATCACACTACCTGACTTCAAACTATACTACAAGGCTACAGTAACCAAAACAGCATGGTACTGGTACCAAAACAGAGATATAGACCAATGGAACAGAACAGAGCCCTCAGAAATAATGCCACATATCTACAACTATCTGATCTTTGAGAAATCTGACAAAAACAAGCAATGGGGAAAGGAGTCCCTGTTTAATAAATGATTCTGGGAAAACTGGCTAGCCATACGTAGAAAGCTGAAACTGGATCCCTTCCTTACACCTTATACAAAAATTAATTCAAGATGGATTAAAGATTTAAATGTTAGACCTAAAACCATCAAAACCCTTGAAGAAAACCTAGGCAATACCATTCAGGACATAGGCATGGGCAAGGACTTCATGTCTAAAACACCAAAAGCAATGGCAACAAAAGCCAAAATTGACAAATGGGATCTCATTAAACTAAAGAGCTTCTGCACAGCAAAAGAAACTACCACCAGAGTGAACAGGCAACCTACAGAATGGGAGAAAATTTTTGCAATCTACTCACCTAACAAAGGGCTCATATCTAGAATCTACAATGAACTCAAACAAATTTACAAGAAAAAAACAAAGAACCCCATCAAAAAGTGGGCGAAGGACATGAACAGACACTTCTCAAAAGAAGACATTTATGCAGCCAAAACACACATGAAAAAATGCTCATCATCACTGGCCATCAGAGAAATGCAAATCAAAACCACAATAAGATACCATCTCACACCAGTTAGAAAGGTGATCATTAAAAAGTCAGGAAACAAACAGGTGCTGGAGAGGATGTGGAGAAATAGGAACACTTTGACACTGTTGGTGGGACCGTAAACTAGTCCACATTGTGGAAGTCAGTGTGGCGATTCCTCAGGGATCTAGAACTAGAAATACCATTTGACCCAGCCATTCCATTACTGGGTATATACCCAAAGGATTATAAAACATGCTGCTATAAAGACACATGCACATGTATGTTTATTGCAGCACTATTCACAATAGCAAAGACTTGGAACCAAGTGAAATGTCCAACAATGATAGACTGGATTAAGAAAATGTGGCACACATACACCATGGAATACTATGCGCCATAAAAAATGATGAGTTCACGTACTTTGTAGGGACATGGATGAAGCTGGAAACCATCATTCTCAGCAAACTATCGCAAGGACAAAAAAACCAAACACCGCATATTCTCACTCATAGGTGGGAATTGAACAATGAGAACACATGGACACAGGAAGGGGAACATCACACACTGGGGTCTGTTTTGTGGTCGGGGGAGCGGAGCGGGGAGGGATAGCATTAGGAGATATACCTAATGTTAAATGATGAATCACTGGGTGCAGCACACCAGACTGGCACATGTATACATATGTAACTAACCTGCACGTTGTGTACATGTACCCTAAAACTAAAGTATAATTAAAAAAAAAAGAATTAAGGATATCAGGAGCTTTAGGTTTATTTATTCAAATGAAGAATTTCCCAGAAGGTGATTTGATTCTTAGCAGCAGCATAGCTTAAAGCTCTCACCAGCAGAACCCACCATTTTCCTATGGATATTTTTCAAATATGTATTTAGGTTTTTTTGGGTTTTTTTTTTGGGAAACGGAGTCTCTCTCTGTCGCCCAGGCTGGAGTGCAGTGGCGTGATCTTGGCTTACTGCAAGCTCTGCCTCCCAGGTTCACACCATTCTCCTGCCTCAGCCTCCCAAGTACACATTTAGGTTTTTACCTTTGAACTCCTAGTACTTTGTGCCAATGCCAATTAGTTGTGAATTTACTCTTGTACTATCCTCTGGCATCTCTTAAACTATCATTTCCTTTGTGATATTTTACTTTTCTTGCATGTATTCTTTGTTTCTTTAAGCAGAGTAAAGTCATTTTTTGTAAGAAGTGCAATGTCTTTCACTTCTTTATGTATCTCATGAAGTCTGTAAGAATGCTATTCTACTAATCAGACCGGGCAAACATGCTGTGACACATAGACTCACCGATACGTAATGGCTGAAATGTAACAGAAGTTTAGATCTTACTCACTTAACCAAGGCTGGCATTCTTGTTCCTGTTCATGAACAGCTTTTTGCCACGTGGAGACTCAGAGCCAGCTCCTCTCAATGTGTGGTTCTTCCTATCTTAGGATTTTGTTGTTTTCTACATCGAGCTTGGAGAAGCTGGAAGAGCCTGAAGAGCCAACTGGTCCTTTTTTTTTTTTCTTTTTTTTGAGATGGAATCTTGCAATCTCAGCTCACTGCAACCTCCGCCTCCCGGGTTCAAATGATTCTCCTGCCTTAGCCTCCCAAGTAGCTGCGATTACAGATGCCCGCCACCATGCCCAGCTAATTTTTGTATTTTTAGTAGAGACAGGGTTTTACCATGTTGGCCAGGCTGGTCTTGAACTCCTGACCTCATGATCCACCTGCCTCAGCCTCCCAAAGTTCTGGGATTACAGGTGTGAGCCACTGTGCCTGACCCATGGTCCTAGTCTTAAGACTTCGCTTACAAATGCAAACATTATTTCCAGTCAGTGTTATTGGAGAGATGAGTCATATGGTCACACTAGGGGCATAGGAGACTGGGGATGTGATATAGTCCTATCCTGGGCAACCATTTCCTAGACACAGATTTATACCCTGAAATACAAAACTGGATTCTGATGGACAGCTAGCTTTCTCTGCTAAGCACAAAGTCGAGTTTAACAAATATTTGTTGATCTATTTATATTAGCAGTAAAGATCAAATTGCTTTTATTTCTCCTTTGAACAGTGCTATTAAATATCTCGGAAATTTTAGAAAACTCTGTAATGATGTGCAGTAGATTATGCATTTCTTCAACAATGATTTGAAAGATTGCTGATGTTTATCTAGGGAGATGTGAAGCAATTTAATATTATTAATTACTAACAAATGGATAAGATTTACAAGAATTGTCAAAGCTTAAAGCTCCAAATAATCATTTCTCACACAAGAAAATTTATTATGCCATTATGCTTATTTCTATCAGCATTCCTAAAGTGCGATCACTGTTTGCTATTAAATTTTTATTGCACATTTAATTTATCTTTCCCTCTAGTGGGGAAACATACTAGAGAATTCATTTGACACTAGTATCATCTCCCCTTCTTTTTTTTCTCACCACTTCTGCACCCCCTGAAATAGATAGGAATATATTTGTATCTTGGTATTAAGTATACAAGAGCTGAAGAGAACAATGCCTACTGCTGCCGGAAGGGAATTACCCAGCCTGAATTAGCTTTATGAAGAACCAAGTGGACTTCTGTTATAAATACCCACTTTCGGTGGTTGATAAAGAATTCTGGGAAAAAATCCATTTATAAGCTAAAGCTTGGTTTTCAGCGATTAAAACAGAAAGCAATTTTGGTTTTCAAGTATTAAAGGCAGACTGCGTGTTAAAAGTTGGGGTTGGGGGGCTATTTAGTTTATAAAGTGCTGTATTGAAAATGACGTTTTATGTTTCTGAAGGTATGCGTTTTATGTGCAAAGCTTGACAAACTTGTTCCCCATCCCACTCCCTACCCTAAGAGTTGAATCAGGAGGAAAACAGTGATATAGGATCTGAAAACGCGTTTGTTGTCACCAAGGCCTTTCTCTTAACAGGGCCAGATTCAGTGGAAACACGATCAGCCCTGATACAGTGGAAGCCTTCTCTTGATTTTCAGAAAGATTTCTAGCTCTTGGGCCTAATTCACTAAGACAGAAGTCAGATTGTGTTATTGATTAATCTGAAGCTTTAGTCTCTCACAGGATTTGATAACACACTGCAACTGTTTTCTTCACACTGAACAACTACCAACGTTTTGTTTGTATTTTGGGTAAGAGGCTGAACTTGACAAAATATCAATGATCCCATTTCTAGTGCCTCAGTGAGGCTATATTTTTTTCCTTTGACTTAACAGTGCGGCCTGAACATCTGGTCTACTGAACTCAGGAGGGAGTGCATAGAAGTCTTACCTCTCCCGGGAAGAATCTGCGAATCCTTCAAAGAGTTGTCATTACAACTTCAATACACCCTTATTGTCTACTCCTCTAAGAGCACTTTTCCCCTCCATCCCACCCTATGTATTTCATCTACATATTTGCCAATGACTGTTTGTCTGTTTCCTTACAGACATTGACACGAATGCCCTGAAAGACAATGAAATTCATGCTCCAGAAGAAGTAGGATTTAGAGCTGACATTTACAGAGTTTCCACAGTGGATAGTAGATCAATCAGGGCTTTAGGTGTTGCTGAGTAATTTTTCCAACTTTCTGTTGCTACCTGGCTGTAACAGCCAGAAGAGGAAGAGTGACAGCCCCACCAAAATTGAGCTGCCTTCCTTACTCACCTTCTGACATCACCGTCCTGGAACCTCATGCATTACCCTCAGCCTTGGCACATTATCTGCCTGGCTTCTGCATTGGCCATGGCATACTCATGCAGCCATACGCTCTAAAGTCTCCTGTCAGCCTCGGAACCACCAGTGGGGCAAGCTCTCCCTTCCATTACTGATTGCTATAGTATTAATAGAATGCCCGGGCTCCTGGCATCCCTGGCCTAAGGGACTATACCTCTCTCCACGACCCGGTGCTTAGTAGGTGCTCAATAAATGTTGTCTCCATGTTGTTTAGCACTTGGATTGATCTGTTCCAAAGGCGCCAGCCCCTTCCCTTGAACTGATTTCCAAGTTTCCTCCGCTGTGTGAGAATTAACAATAGCAATGCCATTTTTCTACCTTGGTGACTGTGTTTCCTACCTCGGTGACAGTGTTCCCAAAAACAAAGCAAAGGTCAACCTCACTCATACCTTTAACAGAGCATAAGAACCCTGACCACAACAAAGCCTGACTGGCCCTGACTGCATCCCTCCCCAGCCCCTTATGGTTCCAACCTGCCAGCGCTTCCCCAACCCCTCCCCTATAGAAACTGGATTATAAAAACCTCAGCTTACAGGCAATCAGGATCTCAGCCAGATTCCTGGCTGGGAACTCTCACAGGCTTATTCTTGTAAATACACCTATTTGGCCATTGAGTTGCCTTGTCTCTCATTTCCTTCCTTTAAAAATCTCCCTAACACTCTGAGATTTTTCAAGACAGACAGACACACAAACACACACACACACACCCCACATCGGTCTTAAAACTTCCCACTGGTTATAAATAACTGCAGTGTATTCGGACTAGTTCAAAGTAAAGGCGATGATAGGGAAGGAGGTGATTGGTTTAAGAGGAGAAGCAGCCACACAAAGGGGCAGGAAGTGGTGCATCCGTAGCGGAGACTACTCTCTCCATCATTCATGGGGCCTGGGAACTCCCTTCTCAGGCTTTCTCAACACATTTGTTTCTTTTCTTCTCTGAAGACCAACTCTCTCTCTCAAGCACACCCTCTCTGCTTCTCAATTAATCTAACTTGCAAGTAACTTTGGTTTGTGTAATACTGCCTGAAGCCTCGACTCTATACATGAATGTATGGCTCAAATACACTTCATCAACTGTGTTCAGTTTTTATGTCCTTTTGTTCAAATGGTTAAATTCAGGCAATGCCGCAAATCTGTCACATGCCAACTGACAGTCTTCTGTATTGAGGACCAGTTAAAATTCATTGATATTATGAAACTAGTACTGTCATTTACTAGGAATAGGTGATTTACTTTATTATTTATTTATTTATTATTAAATTTAAATCATGAATAGTTCCATTAGTTTAAAATTTATAAAATAAAAATAATAAGCACAGAAAGCAGGAAAGATTTTTACCAATGTTTTCAAGTGGAAACAAAATAAAAGAATTTTTTTTCTGTTTTTCATGTTTCTGAACAATTTTCCTGGGTAAAATGTAATTTATATTCTGAATTTAAATTAGCTATACAATTTGTATAATAGAAAATGTTTTTCTCTTCTTTTCTAAATAAATGTAGAATAAATATTTAAGGAATATTGATTGGAAAGGCCATTGAATGACAACTGTTCTCAGAGTGCCTGCATCTCTTATGCTGGCCACGGCTCCCTTGACCCTCAGAGCAAGTTCTGCCACCACATTATCTCCAAAAGCTGTGTTCAGGAATTTGTCCAGCTTCCCAGGTAAGGGCATTTAACCTCGGCTGCACTGGACTGCTGGCTGCGTCTGTCCCCTGGTCAAGGGAAGCCTTGGATGGAAGAGCGGCTGTCACAAAGAGGGGCAGGACAGGCATCGGAAGCAGCATTTGTCTTTGCCTCTTTGTCTCTCTGCCAGGATGATAACTGGCAACCACGTAGCCACAGAGGACAAGAGACCCCTGCATCTGAGCAGAGGCTGATCCTTTACTAGGCTGTTTTGCTTTTTAATGTGATTTCCTCCCAGCAAGCCACTTCCCTGCAGTCATGTAATGCCATTCTGATTTGGTTTGGCAGCGTTAATCTAAGGAACATGTTTAATAGCTCAGGCATGGTTATTTGCATGAATTTTTTTTTTTTTTCTGATAGCCGCTGTTCCTTTTTAACACTGGGGTCCTTGAGGCTGCCAAGGCCTTGCTTTAGCCTGGAGCCCAGATTTCTCCATGGAGCTGCTCTGTGTCTGCCGTTGCTACTCACCCTGTATTGAGCACTTGGAGGTGTTCTAATTCAGGACAACTGTCTGCTGTCAGTGAGGAATTAGTGCATGTGGCCCGACAGTGGAAGGCAGCAGCACCTCTAGGCAAGCTGTTTTCCTTGCTAACTCATTGTATGCCTGTGGGTCAGATTCCTTCAGTCCCCAGGGCAGTGATTCTCCAGGCGGGACCTGTCTCAGTGTCTAAGTGATGGATTGCATTGTTTGAAAATTCGTGGCCGAAGCTGCTGTCAGATGTACTGAGAGCAACTGTCATTGTGGAGGGAGAGTGAGCAAAGGGCTCACCTTAGAAGCTGTACGCTTTCCTTTCCAGATTTTGTGTCACTTGCTATTAGCATCAATAGCCCATGTCCATAGAACCTCTGCCTCTCTTGACTTCCCTGATTCTGTCCAAGGCTTTCCAAGCAGCAGTTCATACACGCAGTCTTGCTGCCCTCTTTAATTTTCCCCTTTCCACAGACTTAGTACCCATAGTCACCCTCAATTTCTTCTGTACAGCACTACTCTCTGTACAGCGTTCCCTTCCTTAGCTAGAGTCTTCATCCCACCCAGCAAGCACTGAAATCTAACAGTGGGGAGCCAGGAAGAGGACATTTTTATGCAAATAAGTAAATATCTACACTTCATTTACAGTGTGACTCTGAAATAAAGTCTTTTTACCTAAAGGAAGAGAGTCAAACTATTTTCACAACTAGTCCTGCATTGATTTCTCTGATGATTTGCATGGGGGTTTCTCGGAGCACTGCTACTGGGTACAGAAGTTCTTATCACTTGTAATTCCTCAAAACATGAAGCATGCCGACGAGAAATTCGGTATAGGAGAATAAAATAAAACAGACAACAAAGAGAGGATCATTAAAATGCAAATCCCAGCTGCTCTACAGGGTTCATTTTGTCTCATCTTCTCTGTGAAACCTTCATCTACTGCTCTAGCTCCATACACCGATAGGGTCCTCTTTAATGTCTACAGATCCTACAACTGTTCTGTGAAATATGTGACTAAAATTTGTACAGTGGTAGGTCAGTTTCTGGGTCTTTAAAAACTGCCAGCTTTTTCTCTAAATTGGGATGAAAACCAAACTCTAAAGTATTTAAAGAGGCTTATTCTGAGCCAGTATGAGTGACCATGACCCAAGAAAGAGTCTCAAGCCATCCTGAGAAAGTTGCCTAAGGTGGTCGGGTTACACTTTGGTTTTATATAATTTAGGGAGACAGAAATTGTAGGTAAAATCATAAATCAATATGCAGAAGCTATATATTGGTTCAGCCTGAAGAGGAGGGATATCTTGAAGGGGCGGATGTGAGGTCATTAAGTGGATTCAAAGATTTTCTGATTGGCAGTTGTTGCAAGAGTTAAGCTTTGTCTAAAGACTTGAAATCAGTAGGAAGAAATGTTTTAATTAAGATAAAAGAGGGTGTCAAGGCCAAGGTTCTTGTTCTGAAGCCTCCAGTTAGCAGCCTTCGGAGAGAATAGATGGTAAATGTCTCTTTTTAGAACTTAAATGTGTCAAACTCTCATTTAATTTCTCCTAGCTCTGGGAAAGGTCCGGAAAGGGAAATTCTGGCTGCATTAATGGAGATTCTCTACAGATCCAAATTTCCTCCTAAAAAGATCACTTTGAAGAGCGATTTCAAAATATGTCAAAGAATATATTTTGGAGTAAAATATTTTGATTTCCTTTAGGGTCTGCTGTCTGTCACATGATGCTATACTAAAGTCATGATGGAATTTGGTATTGTATTTCTACAAAGAGTCTATGTGGTCAGTCTTATGATCTCTGTTTTAACGTTAATGCTGGTCAGTTGTACCTAAACTCCAAACAGAGGGGCTATAATGAGGCGTGTCCAACCTCCCCTCGCTGTCATGGCTGGAAATTTAGTTTTTTCAAGTTTCTCTTGGGTCCCCTTGGCCAAGGGTTCATTCAGTCATTTGGGGGGCTTCAGATTTTATTTTTGCTTTATAGGGTGTCAGGGTCTTTGGGGTGAAGGCCATGTCTTATCTGGAAAATGCCTAAAAATGGAGTAGATTGGGCCTTGAGCAGTTTTTCAGAGGTTCAGTTACAAACTCTAAAGCAAGCATGAGAAAAAGCACATTATTGGAGTAAGTATGATTGATGTTGTTATGAAGAGTATTATTGATTTATTCGCATCTCCAAATCATTCTAGAAAGAGAATTGAGACAGCTTATCTTATCTATCTTTCTATCTGTATGCATACAATGGGATAAATTGAGAAAATAAACGTGAGGAAATGGCAGCAACGGGAAAATGAAATCAGGAAAATAGGATAAATAGAGAGGTTTGATAACACATAATGAACACCGTAAGACACTATTCAACTGCTGGAGAGGAGCCCCAAATTTGGTTGTAAATTTACCAGCAGCCACAACAAAGGGGAAACACAATCTGTTGCAAAAATTATGGGGCCTGTAAAATGAAAACTCAGCTAAGGCAGGAAAACCTGTTCTTTCTGGTTCGGTGAGTCCAGTGACCCAAGACTCACAGACTCATGATTCCTGAGAAGAGGCACTGACCTGGTGCTGTGCACAATGTCATTGCCCACATTTTTAAAAAGAGCCAAGGTTCTCATAGCATCCCCCAAGGCAGGCTAGTGGCATGCACTTCAACAGATGTAGTTCAATGAGATTCAAAACTGTACATCATGCAGTAGTATTTCTCTTGAACTGAGAGTGCAGAAGTGCTATGTTGTTTGTATATCAGTGTTGCAGGACTTTCTCCTTAATTCAGCTAAAAACAGGGTCCTTGTCACCTGACCATGAAGATTAGGCTTGAAGACACGTTGAAGGGTGAGAAGGGCAGGGTTTATTGGGTGAAAAGGATAAAAAAGGGAAACAGGGATTCTCAGCAAAACGAGAGTCCTGATTGAATCCCAGGGACCACCTCAGAATGGGAGGGGCCAGGCTCCTCCCCATTTGCAAACAGCAGAAACTTCTGGAGGTTCCACCCCTGTGTGCACTCCTCTCAGTGTGTAGGCTGGTTGGAAGTTCTTCCAGGAAGCCCTTGTTACTTGGCTGTCTCATCAGTAAGCACTGGTAATCCATCCAGTGAAAGCAGTTTTGACAAACTGTCACTAAACTTACAGATGTGTACCTCAGAAGAAGATAATAAAATCTCTCTGAAAGAGGAAATCTGAATATGTAAATACATAGGTAGGAAAAATAGCTCATTTGAAATCGTAAATATTGTAAATATGTAGGTAGGAAAAATAGCTCATTTGAAACAACTAAAAAGTGATTATAATATAAAGATTCATGACCACATCTTTCATACTAGCAAATGAGAAAAACAGGATCACATTTTATCTGTAACTGCATATCTAAAATCTCAAAGGAAAGAATAAAGAGGAGAAAATGCTTGCAGGTGTCTGTGAATCCACATCTAGGAAATTAGGTTAGGAGTTGTATTTGTTTTGTGTTGATAATATCTTGGTAGTGGTAGTGCTGGGTGGCTCTCCCACCTCTCAGAATGCAGGTGTGGTAGGGGCTGGGAAAGGGGCACAACATGGAGAATGTTCATGAACCAGAGTGGGCTAAGGGAAATAGGGTATTTGCTAAAGAGAAGGGGGAATAAGCCTGATGACAGGAGAGAGGGAGAGAAGGAGAGTGGGGAAAAAGGAGGAAGAGAAGGAGAGTGGGGAAAAAGGAGGAAGAGAACAGACAAAAAGAACGAGAAAGTCATGGACGACTGAGAATACAGAGAGAAAGCAGGGAAGAAAAAAGACATTTCTGAACCTTAAACAGTAATTACCAACTTGACTTAATGGCAGAAAGCAGTTGAGAATAAGAGGCTTCCTTTTCAGAGAACAGGAGTTGAAGAGAAATGAGAGGACTTTTCCCTTTCTCTTCTTAGTCAGTCTTCTTTCTGCCTTACAGGTTTTTTCTGTGCCCAGAAACAGTCCTCCAGCAGAAGAGCAGGAGACAAGAGTTAGTGTCCCAGAAAATGAAGCTGAGGCCCAGAAAAGATAGATGACCCATGGCCTTATAAGGTCTAATAAAGACTAGGTTTCCTTTCATGATCGGTGTGGCTCCACTGTAGGCTTTTACGTAGGTGAGCACTAGAATTAGATTTTTATTTCAGAAATATCCCTTTGGAAGTATTATGGAGGGTTGATCAGAGAAGGCAGTTGCCTTAATTCTGCCTCCAGATTGTTGGTGATGAGCCCTCTGATTTCTGGTGTTTCATGCTACTCTAAAGTGGTTAGCACTCTCAGTCTGTCCACAATTTCTCCAAGAATGGTCTTATACAAGGTACAATGTTCACAGTGACAGACGTCAAAGAGCAACGTGCCAGGCTACTTTCTCTAATATACTTCTGACATCTCATTTTTATTGAGTTATTCTCTCCTTGAAGACTTTCACTCCTCATTCCCTGTAGGAGATGGCTAACTCGTTGGCCCGCTCTCCATGGCCTTCTCCCTCTGGTGTCATCTGTACTTGAAGAATTTCCCATCTATCTTTCTCTGACTCTCCTCTCTGTTCAAATTAATCTACTTATTTCCTAAACAGGCTTGTTTTATCATTGTTCTTTTCTCTTCTTGAAAGGGGCTCTCCACTCCTCTTTTCTGAGCCAAACACTACCTAAACTTTAAGGTCCACATAAAATGTTTCATGTCTAAGGAGGCAAAACATATTAAGGTCTGGTCCCTGGGTTCAATCTCATGCTTGCTGCTTGCCAGCTAGTAGTACAATGTCACAACCAGAATATTGACCCTGATGTAGTCAAAATACAGAATACTTTCATCATTGCAAGGATCCCTTCTGTTACCATTTTATAGCCATATCTATTTCCCTCCCACCCTAACTCTATCCTGGGATCTCTGGCAACCACTAATCTGTTCTTCATGTCTGTAATTTTGTGGTTCCAAGAATGTTATATAAATGAAAGTATACAGTATGTAACATTGTGGGGTTAGCTCTTTTCACTCAGCATAAGCTTCTGGAGATTCATCTAGATTGTTATTATGTCAGGAGTTCATTCATTCCTTTTTATTGCCAAATATGTATTGCATGGTATGGATGCACCACAGTTTGCTTAACCTTTGACCCATTAAAAGACATTTGTTTCCAGTTTAGCTGTTAAAAATAAACTACTGTGAACATTTGTGTACAGGTTTTCACATGAACCTATGTCTTCATATCTTTGAGATAAGTACTACCCAAGCGTATAACTGCTGGGTTGTTTAGTAGCCTGCTTTGTTGTTGTTGTTGTTGTTTAGAAACTGCCAAACTCATTTCCACAGTAGCTATATGCTTTCATTTTATTTTTATTTTTTATTATACTTCAAGTTCTGGGATACATGTGCAGAACGTGCAGAACGTGCAGGTTTGTTACATAGTTATACACGTGCCATGGTGTTTTGCTGCACTCATAAACCTGTCATCTACATTACTTATTTCTCCCAATGCTACCCCTCCCCTATCCCGCCACCCTCCGACAGGCCCAATAAGCCCTGGTGTGTGATGTTCTCCTCCTGGTGTCCATGTGTTCTTGTTGTTCAACTCCCACTTATGAGTGAGAACATGCGGTGTTTGGTTTTCTGTTCCTGTGTTAATTTGCTGAGAATGATGGTGTCCAGCTTCATCCATGTCCCTGCAAAGGACATGAACTCATGCTTTTTCATGGCTGCATAGTATTCCATGGCGTATATGTGCTACATTTTCTTTATCCAGTCTATCATTGATGGGCATTTGGGTTGGTTCCAAGTCTTTGCTATTGTGAAGTGCTGTAACAAACATTCTTGTGTGTTTGTCTTTATAATCCTTTGGGTTTATAAAATGATTTATAATCCTTTGGGTATATACCCAGTAATGGGATTGCTGGGTCAAATGATATTTCTGGTTCTAGATCCTTGAGGAATTGCCACAGTGTCTTCTACAATAGGTGAGCTAATTTACACTCCCACCAACAGTGTAAAAGCATTTCTATTTTTTCACACCCTCTCCAGCATCTGTTGTTTCCTGACTTTTTAATGATTGCCATTCTAACTGGCATGAGGCTGTGAATTCATCTGGTCCTTGTTTTTTTTGGTTGGTAGGCTGTTAATTACTGCCTTGGTTTCAGAACTTGTTATTGGTGTATTCAGGAATTCAAATTCATACTGGTTTGGTCTTGGGAGGGTGTATGTGTCCAGGAATTTATCCATTTCTTCTAGATTTTCTAGTTTATTTGCATAGAGGTGTTTATAGTATTGTTTGATGGTAGTTTGTATTTCTGTGGGATCAGTGTTGATATCCCCTTTATCATTTTTTATTGTGTCTATTTGATTCTTCTCTGTTTTCTTCTTTATTAGTCTAGCTAGGGGTCTATGTATTTGGTTAATCTTTTCAAAAAACCAGCTCCTGGATTCATTGATTTTTTGAAGGGTTTTTTGTGTCCCTATCTCTTTCAGTTCTGCTCTGATCTTAGCTATTTCTTGTCTCCTGCTAGCTTTTGAATTAGTTTGCTCTTGCTTCTCTATTTTTTTTTTATTGTGATGTTAGGGTGTTGATTTTAGATCTTTCCCACTTTCCCCTGTGGGCATTTTAGTGCTATAAATTTCCCTCTAAACACTGCTTTAGCTGTGTCCCAGAGATTCTGGTATGTTGTGTCTTTGTTCTCATTGGTTTCAAATAACTTATTTATTTCTGCCTTTATTTCGTTATGTACCCAGTAGTCATTCAGGAGCAGGTTGTTCACTTTCCATGTAGTTGTGTGGTTTTGAGTGAGTTTCTTAATCCTGAGTTCTAATTTGATTGCACTGTGGTCTGAGAGACTGTTTGTTATGATTTCCTTTCTTTTGCATTTGCTGAGGACTGTTTTACTTCCAAATTATGTGGTCAATTTTAGAATAAGTGTGATGTGGTGCTGAGAAGAGTGTATATTCTGTTGATTTGGGGTGGAGATTTCTATAGATGTCTATTAGGTCTGCTTGGTCCAGAGCTGAGTAAAAGTCCTGAATATCCTGTTAATTTTCTCATTGATCTGTCTAATATTGACAGTGGGGTGTTAAAGTTTCTCGCTATTATTGTTTGGGAGTCTAAGTCTCTTTGTAGGTCTCTAAGAACTTGCTTTATGAATCTGGGTGCTCCTGTATTGGGTGCATATATATTTAGAATAATTTGCTCTTCTTGTTGCATTAATCACTTTACCATTATGTGATGCCCCTCTTTGTCTTTTTGGATCTTTTTTGGTTTAAAGTCTGTTTTATCAGAGACTAGGATTGCAACCCCTGCTTTTTTTTTTTTTTTTTTTTTGCTGTCCGTTTGCTTTGTAAATCTTCCTCCGTCCCTTGATTTTGAGCCTATGTTTGTCTTTGCATGTGAGATGGGTTTCCTGAATATAGCACACCGATGCGTCATGACTCTTTATCCAATTTGCCAGTCTGTGTCTTTTAATTGGGGCATTTAGCCTGTTTACATTTAAGGTTAATATTGTTATATGTGAATTTGAATCTGTCGTTATGTTGCTAGCTGGTTATTTTGCTCGTTAGTTATGCAGTTTCTTCATAGTGTCAATGGTCTTTATAATTTGGTATGTTTTTGTAGTGGCTGGTACAGAGTTTTTCTTTCCATATTTAGTCCTTCCTTCAGGAGCTCTTGTAAGGCAGGCCTGGTGGTGACAAAATCAGCATTTGCTTGTCTATACAGGATTTTATTTCTCCTTCACTTATGAAGCTTAGTTTGGGAGGGTATGAAATTCTAGATTGAAAATTCTTTTCTTTAAGAATGTTGAATATTGGCCCCCATTCTCTTTTGGCTTGTAGAGTTTCTGCAGAGAGATCTGCTGTTAGTCTGATGGACTTCCCTTTGTGGATAACCTGACCTTTCTCTCTGGCTGCCCTTAACATTTTTTCTTTCATTTCAACCTTGGTGAATCTGACAGTTGTGTGTCTTGGGGTTGCTCTTCTCGAGGAGTATCTTTGTGGTGTTCTCTATATTTCCTGAATTTGAGTGTTGGCCTGTCTTGCTAGGTTGGAGAAGTTCTCCCGGATAATATCCTGAAGAGTGTTTTCCAATTTGTTTCCATTCTCCCCGTCACTTTCAGTTATACCAGTCAAATGTCAGTTTGGTCTTTTCACATAGTACCATATTTTTGGAGGCTTTGTTCATTTCTTTTCATTCTTTTTTCTCTAATCTTGTCTTCATGTTTTATTTCGTTAAGTTGATCTTCAATCTCTGATATCCTTTCTTCTGCTTGATCGATTTGGCTATTGATACTTGTGTATGCTTCACGAAGTCCTCCTGCTGTGTTTTTCAGCTCCATCAGGTCATTTATGTTCTTCTCTAAACTGGTTATTATAGTCAGTAATTCCTCTCACCTTTTATCAAGGTTGTTAGCTTCCTTGCATTGGGTTAGAACATGCTCCTTTAACTCAGAGTTGTTTGTTATTACCCACCTTCTGAAACCTACTTCTGTCAATTTGTCAAACTCCTTCTCTGTCCAGTTTTGTTCCCTTGCTGACGAGGAGTTGTGATCCTTTGGAGGAGAAGAGGTGTTCTAGTTTTTGGAATTTTCAGCTTTTTTATGCTGGTTTTTCCTTATCTTTGTGGTTTTATCTACCTTTGGTCTTTGATGCTGGTGACCTTTGGATGGGGTTTTTGTGTGGACGTGCTATTCCTTTCTGTTTGTTAGTTTTCCTTCTAACAGTCAGGCCCCTCTTCTGCAGGTCTGCTGCAATTTGCTGGAGGTCCACTTCAGACCCTGTCTGCCTGGGTATCACCAGCGGAGGCTGCAGAACAGCAAAGATTGCCGCCTTTTCCTTACTCTGGAAGCTTTGTCCCAGAAGGGCACCTGCTAGATGTCAGCTGAAGCTTTCCTGTATGAGGTGTCTATTGTCTCCTGTTGGGAGGTGTCTCCCAGTCAGGAGGCATGTGGTTCAGGGGCCTACTTGAGGAGCAGTCTGTCCCTTAGCAGAGCTTGAGCGCTGTGCAGGGAGACCTGCTGCCGTCTTCAGGGCTGGCAGGCAGGAAGGTTTAAGTCTGCTGAAGCTGCACCCACTGCTGGCCCATCCCCCAGGTGCTCTGTTCCAGGGAAATGGAAGTTTTATCTATAAGCCCTTGACTGGGGCTGCTGCCTTTCTTTCAGAGATGCCCTGCCTAAAGAGGAGGAATCTAGAGAGGCAGTCTGGCTACAGAGGCTTTGCCAAACTGTTGTGGGCTCCACCCAGTTCGAACTTCCCGGTGGCTTTATTTACACTGTGAGGCGAAAATTGCCTATTCAAGCCTCAGTTAAGGCAGACACCGCTTCCCCACCAAGCTCGAGCGTCCCAGGTTGACTTCAGACTGCTGTGCTGGCAATCCCTATTTTGGTAGGGATTGCAGTAGATCTTAGCTTGCTGGGCTCTATGGGGGTGGGATCCACTGAGCTAGACTTGGCTCCCTGGCTTCAGCCCCCTTTCCAGGGAGTGAATGGTTCTGTCTCACTGGCATTCCAGGTGCCACTGGGGTATAAAAAAGAAAACTCCTGCAGCTAGCTCAGTATCTGCCCAAATGGCCTCCCAGTTTTGTGCCTGAAACCCAGGGCCCTGGTGGTGTAGGCACGCAAGGGAATCTCCTGGTCTGGGGGTTGTGAAGACTGTGGAAAAAGCGCGATATCTGGGCTGGAAATGCAGTATTCTTCATGACACAGTCCCTCATGGCTTCCCTTGGCGAGGGGAGGGAGTTCCCGACCCCTTGTGCTTCCTGGGTGAGGTGATGCCCCACCCTGCTTTGGCTTGCCTTCCTTGGGCTGCACCCACTGTCTAACCAGTCCCACTGAGAGGAGCCTGGCACCTCAGCTGGAAATGCAGAAATCAACCACCTTCTGCACTGATCTTGCTGGGAGCCGCGGACTGGAGCTGTTCTATTGCCACTGCTATACCCTTTTATATTTCCACCAACAATATATTAGTGATCCCTTTTCTCCACATCCTCACTAGCATTTGGTGTTCTCACTGTTTTTTATTTTAGCCATTCTGATAGTGATAGAGTGAGATCTCATTTTGGTTTTAATTTGCACTCAGCAAATGGCTAATGATGTTGAACGTGTTATCATGTGCTTATTTTCCATCTGTATATCCTGTGTGTTGAGATGCCTCTTTATAACTTTAGCCCATTTTCTAACAGAATTGTTTTCTTTTTTTTTTGTCAAGTGTTGAGAATACTTTATATATTCGATTCGTTTGTCAGGTACGTGGTTTGGAAGCATTTTCTCCCACTCTAGTTTTTCTTTTCGTCCTCTGGACAGGATATTTCACAGAGCAAAAGTTTTTTTTTTTTCTTTTTTCCTTTTTCTGAAGTCTAATTTATCAAGCCTTTCTTTTATGGATTGTCCCTTTGGTGTCAAGTCTAATAACTAGCCCTAGATCCCAAAGATTCTGAAGTTTTTCTTACATGTTTTAAAACAAGTTTTATAGTTTTGCATTTTATATTTAAGTTCATGATTCCTTTTGAATTAGTTTTTATACAAGATTTGAGGCTTAAGTTGAGGCTCTCTCTTTGTTTTCTTTGTTGTTGTTGTTTGGTTTTGTTTTGGATCTCTAATTATTTTAGCAGTTTGTTTAAAAATCTATCTTTCCTCCATTAAATTGCTTTTGGACCATTTTCAAAAATCAGTTGGGCATATTTGTGTGGATCTATTTCTGAGCTCTCTATTCTGTTCTATCGATATGTGTGTCTATTCCTTCATCAATACCATATGCTATTGATTACTAGAACTATATATGGTAACTTGCAATCAAG
Organism: Homo sapiens; assembly: GCF_000001405.40. NCBI lineage: Eukaryota > Metazoa > Chordata > Mammalia > Primates > Hominidae > Homo > Homo sapiens. The sequence goes on from NC_000002.12 coordinate 114,305,620, forward strand.
TAGACTATTGCCATGCTATTTTTTTTGCTTTCAAAATTGTTTTTAAGCTAATCTAGTTTTTTTGCCATTTCATATAAATTTTGGAATAATCTTGTTTATGTCTATAAAAATATTGGGATTTTGACAAGAATTGTGTTAAGCCTGTAAATCAATTTGTGGAGAACTGACATCTTTAGTTTGTTGAGGCTTTCAATCCATAAACATGTTTCTTCATTTATTTAGATCTTTGATTTCTGTCAGTAGTACTGTGAAGTTCTTAGCCTACAATTCTTACACATGTTAGATTTACATCTAAATATAGTTATTCCTTTTTCAATGATTATAAATTGTATTGTCTTTTAAATTTTGTTTTGCACGTGTTTATTATTACTGTATAGAAATGCAATTGACCCTTGTGTGTTGATCTTGTATCTTGTGACTTTGCTGAACTCATTTATTAATTTCAGGAGTTCTTTTGGGGCACATTTCTTAGGATTTTCTAGGTAAGCAATTATGTCATCTGCAAAAATGCAGTTTTACCTCTTTGTTTCCAATTTGCATGCATTTTATTTCTTTCCTTGCCTTATTGTTCTGGGCAGAACATTCAGCACTACTTTGAATAAGACTGGCAAAAGTGTACATCTTTGTCTTGTTCCCAGCCTAAGGGAGAAGGAATTCACTCTTTCACCATTATGCACAACGTTATTTGTACGTTTTTAGAGATGCGCTTTATCATGTTCAGAAAGTTCTCTTCCATTTGTTTTTTTCTTTTTAAAAAATCAGTGGGTGTTGAATTTTGTCAAATACTTTTTCTGTATCAATTGATCCAATCGTGATTTTTTTTTTTCTGTTGGAATGGAGCGTTATACTAACAGATTTTCGAATTATCCATTATTCCACAAATATACAAACTATCCATGATTCCCCCAGTTTTGTTCATTTTGCTTAGGATAGCTGTGGTTACTTTGGGTCTTTTGTGGTTCTATATAAGTTTTAGGATTTTTTTCCCCATTTCAGTGAGAAATGTCATTGGTATTTTGATAGGGATTGCATTGAATCTGCACATTGCTTCGGGTAGTATGGACACTTTAACAATATTGATTCTTCCAATTTATGAACATGGAATATCTTTCTATTTTTTGTGTGTCCTGTTCAATTTCTTTCATCATTGTTGATAGTTTTCACTGTAGAGATGTTTTACTTCTTTGGTTTATTCCTAGGTATTTAATTTTATTTGTGACTATTGTACTGGGATTACTTTTTAAAATTTCTTTTTCAGATTGTTCATTGTTGGCATATAGAAATGCTACTAATTTTTACCATTTTTTATTTTTTTGAGACAGAGTCTCACTCTGTCACCCAGGCTAGAGTGCAGTGGCATGATCTAAGCTCACTGTAACCTCCATCTCCTAGGTTCATATGATTCTTGTGCCTCAGCCTACTGAGTAGCTGGGATTACAGACATATGCCACCACACCCAGTTAATTTTTGTATTTTTAGTAGATATGGGGTTTCACTATGTTGACTAGGCTAGTCTTGAACTCCTGGCCTCAAGTGATCTGCCCACCTCAGCCTCCCCAAGTGTTGGGATTACAGGCGTGGGATTACCTGGCACTACTGATTTTTGTATGTCGATTTTGTATCCTGCAACTTTACTGAATTTATCAGTTCTAATAGTTTTTTGGTGGAGTCTTTAGGTTTTTTTCCAAATATAAGATCATATTATTTGCAAACAAGTATAATTTGACTTCTTCCTTTCCAATTCGGATGCCCTTCATTTCTTTCTCTTGTCTAATTGCTCTAGCTAGGACATCCAGTATTACGTTGAAGAACAGTGGTTAAAGTGGGCATCTTTGTCATGTTCCAGATCTGAGGAGAGGCTTTCAGTTTTTCCTCCTTCAGTATCATACTAACTGTGGGTTTGTTGTACATGGCTTTTATTATGTTATGTTCCTTCTATACCCAGTTTTTTTTTGAGAGTTTTTATCCTGAAGGGAAGCTGAGCTTTATCAAATGTTTTTCAACATCAATTGAAATGATCATATGGTTATTATTCTTGATTCTGTTTTTATGATATATCATATTGATTGAGTTGTGTATGTTGAATCATCCTTGCTTCACAGGGATAAGGCCCACTTGGTCGTGATGAATAATCTTTTTAATGTGTTGTTGAATTTGGTTTGCTATTATTTTGTTGAGGATTTTTGCATAAATATTAATCAGAGATATTGGCCTGTAGTTTTCTTTCTTTGGTGTTTCTTTGTCTGGTTTTGGTATCAGGGAAATACTGGCCCTATACAATGAGTTTGGAAATATTTCCACCTCAGTTTTTTGGAAAAGTTTGAGTAGAATTGGTATTAGTTCTTCTTTAAGTCTTAGTAGAATTCAGTAGTGAAGCCATTAGGTCCCAGGCTTTTCTTTACTAGGAGACTCTTTATTATGGCTTCAATCTCATTGCTTGTTATTGGTCTGTTCAGGTTTTGGATTTCTTCCTGGTTCAATCTTGGTAGGTTGTATGTGTCTAGGAATTTATCCATTTCTTCTATTTTTTTCCAATTTGTTGGCATATAGTTGCTCATAGTAGCCACTAATGAGCCTTTGAATTTCTGCAGTATCAGTTGTAATGTCTCTTTTTTCATATCTGGTTTCTTTTAAAATTTGGGTCTTCTCTCATTTTTTCTTGGTCTAAGGGTTTGGCAATTCTGTGTATCTTTCAAAAAAACAACTTTTTGAGTCACTGATCTTTTATATTGTTTTCTTTATTTCAAATTCATTTATTTCTTTTCTGATCTTTATTATTTCTTTTCTTCTAATTTTGGGTTCAGTTTACTCTTGCTTTTCTAATTCTTTAAGATGCATTATTAGGTTATTTATTTACTTTTTTTTCTCTTTTTCTTTTTTCTTTTTTTTTTTTTTTTTGAGACGGAGTCTCGCTCTGTCACCCAGGCTGGAGTGTAGTGGCGCGATCTCAGCTCACTGCCTCCTGAGTTCAAGCCATTCTCCTGCCTCAGCCTCCTGAGTAGCTGGGACTACAGGCCCCCGCAACCACTCCCGGCTAATTTTTTTTGTATTTTCAGTAGAGACGGGGTTTCACCATGTTAGCCAGGATAGTCTTGATCTCCTGACCTCGTGATCCACCCGCCTCGGCCTCCCAAAGTGCTGGGATTACAGGCATGAGCCACTGTGCCCGGCCTTTTCTTTTCTTTTCTTTTCTGATGCAGGCACTTATAAATTTTCCCCTTAGTACTGCTTTTGCTATATCTCATAGGTTTTGGGTTGTTGTGTTTATATTATCATTTGTTTCAAAAAATTGTTTCAATTTCTTTCTTAATTTCTTTATTGACCCACTGATCATTCAGGAGCACACTGTTTAATTTCCATGTATTTGGATAGTTTCCAAAATTCTTCTTGTTATTGATTTCTAGTTTTATTCCATTGTGGTCAGAGAAGATGCTTGATATTATTTCAATTTTTTGAATGTTTTAAGACTTGCTTTGTGACCTAGCATATAGTCTATCCTTGAGAAATATCCGTGTGCTTAGAAGAAAAATGTGAATTCTGCAGTCATTCAATGAAATGTTCTGTAAATATCTATTAGGTCCATTTGCTCTATAGTGCTAATTAAGTCCAATGTTTCTTTGTTGATTTTCTGTCTGGGAGATCTATCCAATGCTGAAAGTGGCATGTTGAATCTCCAGCTATTATTGTATTGGAGTGTATTTCTCTTTTTAGCTGTAATAATATTTGCTTTATATACCCGGGTGCTCCAGTGTTGGGTGTATGTATATTTATAATCATTATATCCTCTTGCTGAATTGACCCCTTGGTCATTACATAATGATCTTCTTTGTCTCTTTTTATAGTTTTTGTCTTGAAATCTATTTTGTCTGATATAAGCATAGCTATGGTTTCCACTGGTATGAAATATCTTTTTCGTTCCCTTTATTTTCAGTTTATGTGTATCTTTATAGGTGAAGTGTGTTTCTCATAGGCAACAGATCATTGGGTTTTGTTTTCTCATTTGTTTAGCCAGTCTATGTCTTTTGATTGGAGAGTTTAGTCTGTTTACATTCAATGTTATTATTGATAAGTAAGGACTTACTTTTGCCATTTTGTTACTTGTTTTCTGGTTGTTTTGTGGTGATCTTCTCTTTTTTTAATTCCTTTCTGTCTTTTAGTGAAGGTGATTTTCTCTGGTGATATAATTTAATTTCTTGCTTTTTATTATTTGTGTATACATTGCATTTTTTTCAACTGGAGATTATCATGAGGCTTGCAAATACTATCTTATAACACATTATTTTAAATTGATGACATCTTAACATTAATTGCATAAACAAACACACAAAAAGAAAACTAGTAAAAATTCTACAGTGTGACTTAATCTCCCCCACTTTTTAACTTTTTGTTGTTTCTCTATATGTCTTTTTATATGGTCTATGTCTTGAAAAGTTGCTGCAGTTATTATTTCTGATTGGTTCATCATTTACTCTTTTTACTTAAGAGTAGTTTACACATCACAATTAAAATGTTATACTATTCTGTTTTTCTGTGTGCTTGCTGTTACCAGTAAGGTTTGGACCCTCAGATGATTTCTTCTTGCTCATTAACATACTTTGCTTTCAGATTGAAGAACTCCCTTTAGCATTTCTTGTATGACAGGTCTGGTATTGATGAAATCCCTCAGCTTTTGTTTGTCTGGGAAGATCTTTATATCACTATGCTTAAGGACATTTTAGCCAAATATACTATTCTGGGTTAAAGTATTTTCCCTTTAGCACTTTAAATATGCCATGCTGCTCTCTCCTAGCCTGTAAGGTTTCCACTGAAAAGTCTGATTCCAGATGCATTGGAGCTCCATTGTATGTTATTTATTTATTTTTCTATTGCTGCTTTTAGGATCCTTTCTTTATCCTTGACCTTTAGGAGTTTGATTACTGAATGTCTTAAGGTAATCTTCTTTCCATTAAATCTGCTTGGTGTTCTATAACCTTCTTGTACTTGAATATTAATATCTTTCTCTAAGTGTTGAAAGTTCTCTGATATTATTCTTTCGAATACACTTTCTACCCTATCTCTTTCTCTATATTCTTGTTAAGGCTATTAACTCTTAGATTTGTCTTTTTGAGGTTATTTTCTAGATTCTGTAAGTGTGCTTTATTTTTTTTTTGTCTTCTCTGTGTATTTTCAAATAATCTGTCTTGAAACTCACTAATTCTTTCTTCCTCTCAATCAATTCTGCTATTAAGAGACTCTGATACATTTTTCATCATGTCAATTGCATTTTTCAGCTCTAGAATTTCTGCTTAATTCTTTTTAATTACTTCAGTCTTTTTGTTGAATTTAACTGATACAATTCTGAATTCTTTCTCTGTGTTATCTTTAATTTCTTTGAGTTTCCTCAAAATAGTTATTTTGAATTATCTACCTGAAAGGTCATATATCTCTGTTTCTCCAGGATTTGTCCCTGGTGACTTATTTAGTCCATTTGGTGAGATCATGTTTTCCTGGATGGTGTTGATGTTTACAGATATTTGTTAGTATCTGGGCATTAAAGAATTAGGTATTTATTGTAGTCTTCACAGTTTGGGCTTGTGTATGCCTGTCCTTCTTGGCAAGGCTTTCCAAGTATTTGAATGGTGTGATGGTTAATACTGAGTGCCAAATGGATTGGATTGAAGGGTGCAAAACGTTGTTCCTGGGTATGTCTGTGAGGGTGTTGCCAAAGGAGGTTAACATTTGAGTCAACAGACTGGGAGAGGCAGACCCACCACCCATCCTTAATCTAGGTGGGCACTCTCTCTTTGGCTGCCACTACAGCTAGAAAAAGCATGCAGAAGAAAGTGAAATAAGCAGACTTTCTGAGTCTTCCAGCCTTCATATTTCTCCTGTGCTGGATGCTTCCTGCCCTTGAACATTGGACTTGAAGTTCTTCAGCTTTTGGACTTTTGGACTTGTATCAGTGGTTTGCCAGGGGCTCTCAGGCCTTTGACCATAGACTGAAGGCTGTACTGTTGTCTTCGCTACTTTTGAGGTTTTTGGGACCCGAACTGGTTTCCTTGCTCCTCAGCTTGCAGATGACCTATCGTGGGACTTCACCTTGTGAATGTGTGAGTCAGTATTCCTTAATAAACTCCCCTTCATATATACATCTGTCCTATTAGTTCTGTCCCTCTAGAGAACACTGAGTAATACAGATTTTGATACCAGGGTATCAAAATTCTGTTCTAGAGGAACAGAATTTTAAGGATGGATTCCTTTAGTTGGTTTTGGGGTTTCTGGAGTTGGCTGCTTAATCTGGGACTCTACTTCTAATAGTATGGAGGACAACTGATACTATTTGGCATGAACTGTTTAGAGTTATGTAAAATAGATGCATTTGATACTCCCAATTCACAGGCAAGGAGTTTAGTGACTCTATACATAATACCTTTAACCATATATGGATAACCAAGGAATATAATGAAGTTGGTTGGTTGCTCCTAAGTTTGCTGGACAAAGCGATGAAAGAAAATGATGAGCTCAGAGATTCTAACTCCCAGCTTCAGAACCACATACTGAGCCTCAAATCTTCTAAGATTGCCCTGAGTGAGAGTCTTATCTCCTGTAGACAAAGGGCTGAAATTGTGGAAAATCGGACACAAGCTCTTATCATGTGAGAAAGGTGCATGCACAAACACACCAGGTGTCTACTGTTAAAGTGAGGATTGATTGCAAAACAATGGGACCTGAAACTTAGAATGGGGACTTGTGGGAGGACGCTGCTGAGGGTGGAGGCACTGAGCTCCTAAGTTCTGATGAGCCCTTTTGTTGCCAGAGAAAACAGCCTCTCCATCCCCAGTAGTGGCAACATCACCTTCCCCACCCATGCTGCCATCAGCCTTTCCACCTTTGTGTGAGGAGATTAACCATCCACTGCCCGGGGCAACAGTGATGGCCTCCCTTGAGGCAGTTGCCAGGCAAGACAATGCTGATTCTCTTCAGGACCCACCCGCAATACCCCTGTTTGCTTCTAGACCTAAAACTAGACTCCAGTCCCAGCAGGCCCCTAGAGATGAGGTTCAGAGTGTGACCCATGACAAGGTGTAATACATTCCAGAAGAACTGCTTGTGTTTTTAAATTTATATAAGCAGAAATCTGGAGAACAGGCATGGAAATAGATATTATGGCTGTGGGCTAGTGGTGGAAAGAACATAAAGTTGAACCAGGCTTAATTTATTGATTTGGGCCCACTAAGCAGGGATTCTGCATTTAATGTTGCAGCTCAGGGAGTTAAAAAGGGTTCTAATAGTTTATTTGCTTGGTTAGCTGAAATACGGATCAAAAGATGGCCCACTGTAAGTGGGTGTAGCTGCCATAATGGACAGCAGAGACAAAGCAGCAAACACATAGTCTGACTTTTGTAGCGCTCTGGCATTGGCTAATCACAGTGTTCCTAGAAGTGAAATTGATAGGAAGCCTACTGCATTCTTACTTAATTTGAATAAGCAGAAAACTTCCAAGTAGAGTGGACAAAAGACTAATTTGAATTATATAAAAAGAGAATCATGGCCCCTCAATAAATTTCCAGACTTGAACCAGTTTATAGACCCAGAGCCCCTTGAATGAAGAGGAGGCTGGCTCCCCTTGAGAAAAAAATCCCACTACACTACTGACAATTATACTGTTAATTTTTCTCTCATCTTTCCTCAATAAGACACTCAGGCTTTTACCAGGGTAACTGCACTGGGGAAAGGGAAATGGTCAGAACCTCGGGGGACTACAGGACACTGGCTCTGAGCTGATGTTGATTCCAGGGGACCCTAAACGTCATTGTGGTCCTCCAGTTAAAGTAGGGGCTTATGGAGGTCAGGTAATTAGTGGAGTTTTAGCTCAGGTCTAATTTATAGTGGGTCCAGTGGGTCCCTGGATTCATCCTGTAGTCATTTCCCTAGTGGCGGAATGCATAATTGGCATAGACATACTTAGCAGCTGGCAGAATCCCCACACTGGCTCTCTCACTAGTAGGGTGAGGGCTGTTATGGTGCAAAAGGCCAAATGGAAGCCATTAGAGCTGCCTCTACCCAGAAAAATAGTAAATCAAAACCAATATTGCATCTCTTGAGGGATTGCAGTACCATCATTACTTAAAAGATGCAGGGGTGGTGATTCTCACCACATCCCCAATAAACTCTCCTACTTGGCTTGTGAAGAAGACAGACAGATCTTTGAGAATGACAGTGGATTATTGTAAGCTTAACCAAGTGGTGACTCTAATTACAGCTGCTGTACCAGATGTGGTTTCATTGCTTGAGCAAATTAACATATCTCCTGGTAACTGGTATGCAGCCACTGACTTGGAAAATGCCTTTTTCTCCATTCCTGTCCATAAGGCCCACCAGAATTAATTTGCCTTCAGCTTGCAAGGCCAGCAATGTACCTTCACTGTGCTACCTCAGGGGTATATCAACTCTCCAGCTTTGTGTCATAATCTTGTTTGCAGAGATCTTGATCACTTTTCCCTTCCACAAGATATCACACTGGTTCATTGCATGGATATTAACCTGATTGGACCCAGTGAGCAAGAATTAGTAAATACACTGGACTTACTGGTGAGATATTTGCATGCTAAAGGATAGAAAATTAAACCCGACTAAAATTCAGGGATCTTCTACCTCATTGAAATTTCTAGGGATCCATTGGTGTGAGGCCTGTCAAGATATTTGTTCTAAGATGGAGGATAAGTTGCTGCATTTGGCCCCTTATGCAACCAAGAAGGAGACACAATGCCTAGTGGGCCTATTTGGATTTTAGAGGCAACATATTCCTTATTTGGATGTGTTATTCCCACCATTTATCCAGTGACCTGAAAGGCTTCCAGCTTTGAGTGGGTTCAAGAACAAGAGAAGGGTCTGCAATAGGTCCAGGCTGATGTGCAAGCTGCTCTTTCACTTGGGCCATGTGACCCAGCAGATCCAATCGTGCTTGAAGTGTCAGTGGCAGACAGGGATGCTGTTTGGAGCCTTTGGCAGGTCCATATAGGTGAATCACAGTGGAGGTCTCTAGAATTTTGGAGCAAGGCCCTCCCATCTTGTCCAGATAACTACTCTCTTTTTGAGAGACAGCTCTTGGCCTGTTACTGGGCTTTGGTTAAAACTGAATGTTTGACTATGGGTCAAGTCACCATGCGATCTGAACTGCCTATCATGAACTGGGTGCTTTCTCACCCATCTAGCCATGAAGTTGGGTATGCATAGCAGCATTCTACTATCAAATGGAAGTGGTATATACATGGTCAGGCTTGAGCAGGCTCTGAAGTCACAAGTAAATTACATGAGGAAGTGGCTGAAATGCCCATGGTCCCCACTCCTGCCACCCTGCCTTCTTTCCCCCAGCCTGCACCAATGGCATCATGGGAAGTTTCCTATGATCAGTTGACAGAGGAAAAGAAGACTAGGGTCTGGTTTACAGATGGTTCTGCATGATATGCAAGCACCACCCAAAAGTGGACAGCTGCAGCACTATAGCCCCTTTCTAGGACATCTCTGAAGGACAGTGGTGAAGAGAAATCTTCCCGGTGGGAAGAACTTTGAGCAGTCCACCTGGTTGTGCACTTTGCATGGAAGGAGAAATGGCCAGAGATGTGATTAAATACTGATTCATGGGCTGTAGCCACTGGTTTGGATGGATGGCCAGGGACTTGGAAGAAGAATGATTGGAAAATTTGTGACAAAGAAATTTGGGGAAGAGGTATATGGATGGACCACTTTCAGTGATCACAAACTCTGAAGATATTTGTATATCATGTGAATACTCACCAAAGGGTGACCTCAGCAGAGGAGAATTTTAATGATTAAGTGGATAAGATGACTTGTTCTATGGACACCACTCAGTCCCTTTTGCCAACCACCCCTGTCATTGCAGTGGGCCCCTGAACAAAGTGGTCTTGGCAGCAGGGGTTATGGAGGTTATGCATGGGCTCAGCAACATGGACTTTCACTTACCAAGCCTGACCTGGCTAAGGCCACCACTGAGTGGCCAATTTGCAAGTAGCAGAGACCAACACTGAGCCCTCAATATGACACAATTCTTTAGGCTGATCAGCCAGCTACTTGGTGGCAGGTTAATTTTATTGGACCTCTTTCATCATGTAAAGGGCAGCAGTTTGTCCTCACCAGAATAGACACTTACTCTGCATATCGGTTTGCCTATATTGCACTCAATGCTTCTGCCAAGACTACCATCTGTGGACTCATGGAATGCCTTATCCACCATCATGGTATTCCACACAGCATTGCTTCTGACCAAGGCACTCACTTTGCAGCTAAAGAAGCATGGCAGTGAGTTCATATTCGTGGAATTCACTGGTCTTCCCATGTTCCCTATCATCCTGAAGCAGCTAGATTGATAGAACGGTGGAATGGCCTTTTGAAGTCACAATTACAATGCCAACTAGGTTACAATATTTTGCAGGGCTGGGGCAAAGTTCTCCAGAAGGCTGTGTATTCCCTGATTCAGCATCCAATATATGGTACCATTTTTTCCCACAGCCTGAATTCACAGGTCCAGAAATCAAAGGGTGGAAGTGGAAGTGGCACCATTCACCGTCACCCCTAGTGACCCACTAGCAACATTTTTGCTGCCTTTTCCCGCGACATTACATTCTGCTGGCCTAGAGGTCTTAGTTCCAGAAGGAAGAATGCTGCCACCCAGAGACATAACAATGATTCCATTAAACTCAAAGTTAAGATTGCCACCTGGCCACTTTGGGCTTCTTCTACCTCTAAGTCAACAGGCTAAGAAGGGAATTACAGTGTTGGCTTGAGTGATTGACCCAGACTATCAAGATGAAATCAAGCTACTACTTCACAATGGAAATAAGCAGTAGTATTTGTGGAATACAGGAGATCCCTTAGGGTGTCTCTTAGTAGTACCATGCCCTGTGATTAAGGTCAATGGGAAACTATAACAACACAATCCAGGCAGGACTACAAGTGGCTCAGACCCTTCAGGAATGAAGGTTTGGGTCACTCCACCAAGTAAAAAACCATGACCCACTGAGGTGCCTGCTGAAGGTAAAGGGAATGCAGAATGGGTGGTAGAAGAAGGTAATCATCAATACCAGCTGTGACCACGTGACCAGTTGCAGAAACAAGAACTGTAATTGTCATGAGTATTTCCCTCTCATTTTGTTAAGAACATATTTGTGCACGTATACACTTGTACTAAGAAAATATCTTCATTTTATTTCCTTTCTTTTTCTTTTATTATGTGACATAGATTGATTGACTTTATATAAGCATTTAAGTGTTGTTAACTTTATGTAATAGCATTTAGGTTAAGGATTAGTGCATTTCCAGTTGTATGAAGGATAGCTGTATTATCTTAGGTATAATTATGACATTATTGTCTTTATTTGAAGATTATGTATTATTTCAGGAGATGTGCAAAAGCACTCTTATAGCCTCTCCAGCTGGTGTTTTGCTAGGTCATGTGTGACCTCAGTTCACTGGCTCTAAGCCCAGCCTTTCACTAGGAGTTTCCTAGGAATTGCAGTCCTTGTGTCTTAGACTGCTTTTCAAGTTTACCTAGGACCCCAAAGTACTTCAGCCCATGCTGGCAAGGTTTGCTGAGAAACTCAAATTCTGACTGCTGGAATGGGGCAATTCCCCTCTGGCTAGGGCTGGTCCAACTTCTTCCATGCACAGGCACTGGCTGATCCCAGTGTGGCTTTATTCTCTACTGTGACAGGACATTACTGAGTTCAATGTAAAGTCCCCCAGTCGCTGAGCTCTCCTTCCCCAAAGGGCACAGATTGTCTTTCTGCACTGCACAGTCATTGTCCAGAGGTGGGAGAAAGGGCATTGGCAATTCAAGACTGTCTATCTTGCCCTCCTCAATGCCTCTTTTGACAATATGAAGTTAAAACCAGGTACTGTGATTGCTCACCTGATTTTGGTTCTTGTGATGTTGCTTTTCTGTGTGGAGGTAGTTGTTAAAATTTGGTGTTTTAGCAGGGGAGAACAATGGTGTAGGCTTCTGTTTTGTCATCTTGCTCCATCCTCTCTCCTTGGGTATTTTACATTACAATTTAATTTCCATAGAAATTATAGGGCTGTTCAGACGAGATCGGGCACATTCCGGGTGGTATGGCCGTAGGCTATAGGCCTATTCAAATGGTCTATTTCATATTGGTGAGTTGCGATAGTTTTTGTTTTTCAAGGAATTGATCCATTTTGTCTAGCTGTCAAATTTATTTGTCTAGAGTTGATCACAGTATTTCCCTTTTGATGTCTGCAGGGTCTGCCGTGATATCTCCTGTTTCATTCCTGCATCGTTAGATATTCTGGCATCTCTGGCATCTTGATGTTATCACGTATGAATTTTTTTTTGTCGTTTAATTTCAGATATTCCTGGTTCTTGCTGTGATGAGTAGTTTTTGATGGAAACTTTTCAATCATCAAACAATACATTTTCATATTTTGTTATAAGGTTCTGGATTTTATTTGAGCTTTTGGTTTTAGCTGGCTTTATTTTACTACACTCTGTTAGAGGAAGGGACACTGCCTCATTACTGCCAGGTGGAGGGACAAGTTCAGACTCTCCAAAAGGTCTGCATGAACACCATGGCAGGGGTGGCTTTTATTCTGGCTGATAGGGTAAACGTCCTTGCTCCTGCCTTGCCTTCCTTGACATACCTTTGTTATATCCTTCTGTGTGTGGAAGCCTAGACTCCCCATTTGGCCTTTGCTGGTGGATGTGGAGGTGAGACCACAACTTTTTTTGTAGTGTTTGGCTGGAATAGAGTGGTTATTGTCTAAAATTTTACTATCTGGCTAAGCTACTCTTTTCCTTCTTATTTGGCTAGAGGATTTTGAATCTTGGAGCTTTTGGTTGTTTTGTCTATGAGTGTTAATATTTCTGGGTTACTGACATTTTCATCTCCAAATTTCAGTTATTAAAAAAAAAGAAAAGAAAGGAAAACCCAGGAGACTTTCCACTGTAATGTTCCTTGGATTTTGAGGTCCTTAGGTGGTCTGTCTTATTTTCTCCATCCTTCAGTGTCTTCTTATGCTTGTTTTATATAAAATATCCAGAGATTTTTGTTGCACTTAGTGAGAAGACTAAGGAAAAATATATGTATTTTATCTTTCTGGAAGTGTATGTACTCTATGGCAATATACATGAAGTGTTTATCAAATAGGAGCTAAACAAAAATGTGGCAGAATCATTTAATGAAATATTAACTTGTATTTCTTTTTACTGTATTTCCTTTTTTCCCCTCATTTCTATCGGAAGCTTTTCTTGTCAGACCACTAAGGACCCCACAGCCTTTATATTTATGAACTGTAGTGTAAAATTCAGGATGGGATCCAGAAAGGTGTTTGTCTGGAAGCTGGAAGATTAACAACAAAGCACCAGACCAAATTATTAGAATGGGGCTTGATTTGCAGCGTCACATTTTTAAAATCACTAGATTTATTTGGTTAATGGCAGTTGGGGAAAACTGACATAGATTTGACTACTCATTTTTAAAAAAATTACCACCAAGTTTTCCCCATTCTCCTGTTTTCATGGTTTCTCTTGCCAGCTTTTCTAAAAATTTAGAAATGCTTTTCTGCCTTTTTTTAAATCTTATATGAATATCACCTTTGCTGCTGCTAATGAGAAGAGATCCTTTTCTGCTCCAGTATTGTAATTTAAAATTAATTGAGTAAACTGATTAAAGTTATAAAATTATTAGAAACGTATGAGATAAAGGACAAAATGTACAGGTTGAGTAATAGTGTTTTTTTTTAATGGCTTGTCTTTACTGAAGAGTTTTTTTCAGTAGAACAGATACAATTATGCAGGGCATTACTTATGCAAAAATCATATAAGCAGCATTTATTTTTGTGTGTATCTATTCTAATTCAGTATCTGCAATTTAAAAATAATATTATTTCTATTTAAATTATAGATACTGTATATGTTCATTGTGAAGGATATAGAAAACACACAAAGGTACAAAGAGAAAATGTGAAAAAAGTCAAATAATTTTACCAACAGAAAACCAATGTTAACATTAATGAAATTCCTTTCTATTTTTAAATCTCTGTGTATATATGTGTGTACACATGCATATTTTGTAGTCTAATTTCTGCTAAATTGGTGTGTGAATACATACACCGCACAGACATACACACTTAATATTGTATTGTGAGCATTTTCTTAGGTCTATAAACTTTTAAAAAATAATTGTATTATAGGGAATATACCATCTTTTTGTTCAACCATTTTCTTAATATAAATAACAATTTAATACATTTAATCTCTGTTAAAGTTTTTGATTATTTGTCAAGGATAGATTTTTTTTAAGGATATCAATATCTTGGAACATAGAAACTTTTTAAACCTTTAGTGCAGCATTACAACATTTATTAGCAAAAAGTTGTGCCAGTTTGCAAACTCGTGAAGATTTCAAGGCACCCGTTTACTATACCATCACTAACAATGAGTAGTATTTTTTTCAATCTTTGCTTTAAAATTGTATGCTAATATAGGTAAAAGATGATACCTTTCTTTTTAATTTGCCTTAGAAATCATTATTGAGATAAAACATTTGGCCATTTGCATTTCTACTTTTGTGACTTATGATTCACATCATGATTCTATTAGAGTTTTAATTTTTTATCTTACTCATTTTAAAGAAATCTGTATGTATTGAGGACATTAAACTTATGTCATATTTGTTACAAATGTACTGTTTATTACTTGGCTTCTAAGGTTGTTATAAGATTTTGACATTCAAAAGTTTTAAAAATTTTTTAGTGAAATTACCTTTGTTACTTCATCCATTTCTACTATGATTAGAAACTGCTTAGATCTGATAAATATCATCTGCCTTTCTTCTATATGTAAGTGGTTGTGTTGTTTATATTGAAATCCATATCTTTCTGGAGTTCATTCTTGATGTAGTGTGTGAGATAAGATCTAGTTTAATTTTTCCTATTAGTAAGAAATTGCTGTTAATAATATTTCCCTTTCATGTTTATTGAAATGTCAGTTTAAACTTATTTAATTTAGACATATATTAGTTGCTGTTTCTTAATTTTTATTCTTTCTGTCCATCTATGTTTATAGTAGAACAACTCCAATTGTAACATTTTAGTATTTTTTATTATACTAATAGATGGTACTAAAAATTGTTTTAAAATTGTATTAGCCTTTCTTGGATGTTAATTCTTTCAGATGAACTTTAAAAAATACTTTATTAATTCTTTGTCTCCCCCTTATAAAACAAAACAAAATGAAACAAAAATTAAAGCAAAGCAAGAAAACAAACCAAATCCCCTGGGGCTTATTTAATATAGTTGCACCAATCATATAAATTGTTTGGAGGAATTAATTGACATTGTGATAATACTCAGTCTTCATTTCCAAGATGATGACATCAATCTCTGTTTACTCAAGTCTTCCTTCATCTTTCAGCAATGTTTTAACTCTACAGGCAAAAGGAGAGGTTTGGGTGAGCAGAGGTGGCAGATGACTTCATGCAGAGGCCTGCAGGTTACTCTCAGGACCTCTCCCACAGTCTAGCCCTCAGCCTTGAAATGATAGGCACTTGGTTTTGTTAATATGCCAAGAATGGGTCTGTCACTCAGGAAGAAATTTAAATAAAACATTCTCAGAAATGTGATGGATAAAATCAGAATGTCAGTAGATTGATTTACAAAGATAAATAAATGTAGAGGAAATAGGCCCCTCATGCATTGTAACCAGAACATTGCCTCCCTGTTGGTTCCCATTCAGGGGAAGAAACACAGGAGCAGAAGATGGCTTTGTGAGCCTGGAGTCAGAACAAATGATTTGAATTATGTAATTTAATTACTGAACAAAATCAGGTTACACCAGTCTAAGTCCATCCTTTCTATATATGTACACCTGCAAGGTGGTAAGGAAAGCAGTTTTTTTTTGTTGTTGTTGTCTTTGTTTTTCTATATGGACTATCTTTCTGTGTTTTGTTTTCCTTTACACATTTGGGAAATATCATCTTAATAAATACTATGCTTTAACATTTTTTAATTTAAAAATATACTTAAGCTTCCCTCCTTTCTGCCACCTCCATTAAAATTATAGTAAAAAACAAAACAGGCATAGAGCCAGAAGAGCAAAGAAAGCAGCAAAGAGGTCCATCCACTTATGAGAGAACTGAATAAATAGCCAGAAGATGGAAAACAAGGGAAATAAATGATGACAAAGTAGAGAAAGAGACAGACCAACTACACGAAGAAGTTTGCTTCCAAGGTAAGCATCTTTCTGCCTGGCAGAATTCCAAGAAAGCACCATGTTTTGAGACTTGGGAGGTAAAGAGAAGTGAGGTGTGTTGACAACAGTGGGTTTGATGGCCAATCTATAGGATTTTAAAATTGGCATCCTTCATTCACAACTGGTGTTCAGAGTGAAGGCAAAACTTCCATTTCCCTAGGAAATCCTTCTCCAGTGACCAGAGGAATGACCAGCTCCCCACCTTCTCACTGTCCAGCAGTCCCTGCTAACCCACAGGTATGTGCTGATGCCAGTTCACCTACTTCCTCACCTGTGAGCACAGGTCACAAAGAGGGAAGATGTTGAGGAAGATTTGAAGCCTGAAGGACAGAGGGGGACAGCACATTAGGAATTCTAGTGAGTTAGTTTAAATTCCTCACTTTCTCAGAGTGAAGTTAACAAACAATACCAAATATTTGAAAAAAAGCAAGCAGTAAAAGTGTAAGCATTATAATTCAAAATACATAAGTTGAAAACAAGGAAAACAACATAAATGATGAAAAATAATTGCTCCTTCTCCTTGATATTGAGATCAGAGAGTGACAATAGGGTGATAAGACATTGCTTTAAAAAAATTCCTTATTTTTTTAAATACTTCTTGATTTAAAAAAATGTAAGTATTATTTGGGATTAAAAACAAAGGAAAACATTTAACATGCAGAATGAATTTATAAACAAAAGAAACTATGTTAAACCATTTTCATTTATATTGTTTTATGTTTTCAATTTTAAAAATGAACCACCTTTTGTATAAGGAGCACCCAACAAAATATCTGGCACTTAGTAGTTGCTCAGAAAGTACTTGTTGAATAAATAAACTTATTTGCATTTTTAAACTTTTTTCCTTCATTCGCCTCATTCTTAGTTTTCGTTTAAATAATTTAGAATTCTAGATTTACATTATTATTGTTATTATTATTCTGTTACACATACATCTTATAACTCATATTAGTGACCGTAGCCCATCCTTTTAAAACCACAATAAAAAACACAACTTCCTTATTCTTGAGTGTTTAATTTCAAATAACCTTTTTACCGGCTGGTCTACATCTTTCAGTAATTTTCTCAGAAAGAATATTTGGGAATTAGACTTTTTAAGCCCTTAATATCTGAAAATAACAATCTGTGGACTTCCCACACAAGTGATGATTTGAATGAATATAGAAATCTCTAGTTAACTGCTTTTGATCTAAAATTCTACATTGTCCTTTTTTTGTTGTTTCTTCTTCCATGTTGTGAAAGGGTAGTCTGATGAATTTGGCCAGAATTTGGTCCCTTTATGGTTTATCTGTTGATCCTTGGCTACCTGTAGAATCCTTTCCTGGATCTGAAATTTAAAACTTTTCAGGAAGTCTATTTTCATTAGATTTTCTAATTTTTTTGTGAACACTTTTTGATTTGTCGAAGTGAGGTAGAACAAAACCGAATATCACCAGCTGTTCATCTTCTTAACTTGGAAGTTCCTTCTTTTTTTACTCTAGAGAGAGAGTGTATTTTTGAGTAAGTAAAAGTAGTTTTCGAATGCATTTGGGGTAAAGCATCATCAAATGAAGGATATAAACTCCATAGATACATCACTATGACTTACTAACAGGACAACTTTTCCTTTAGTTAACTATCCGTGGGAGAAACCAATATGTGAAGAATAGCTATAATTTCTTGTTCCATGGAGTTTTTTCAAGTTACCCCAAAGAATTTGATAACATGTCATCAAGTGAAAGATATAAAGAACTCATGTGTAGTTTCACAGGACTGTGCTTAGGATACTCTATTTTTAGTTTGAGTACCCCTAGTGTTCTTGGTACTTTTCAGTTATCTTGCTGCCTCTCACTGAGTCAAAGATAAATTCAACAAAGGCAGAGACAATACCCACTGATTGTCTGCATCCCACATAGTGGGATACATAGAAAGTGCTCAGTTAGCTTTGATTGACAGATGTGCTAATCATCCACTTGGTTGGTAGTCTTACAGCTGTCCCTGCTTGAACCCAAGCTATATTTACCTCTAATTCAGACATGTTTTGATTGTTATGTGGGTAGATATGATAAGCCTTGCAGGCCTTTTTACATGAAGTACCTAGGGCTTTTCTGCTCAGGGTGTGGTTTGGGAACCAGGAGTATTAAGGGTATCTGAGAACCTGTTAATGATGTAGAATCTCAATTCCCCTCATGTTTACTGGTTTACATACATACATTTTGAGAAACACTGCATTTGGAGATTCCTGCACTAGATACAACCCAAAGAAATAACTGAGGGATATACAGGATATGGTCAGAGGGAACTCTGGACACCCTCTGGCTGTTCTCATGGGTTGAATATGATGAGCTTAATAAAACAACTAGCGGCTATTAAAATCTGTGTGGGCTTTGAGTTAGCAGTCTCCTGCAGCTTTGGTGCATGCAGCTTTGGCAACTACAGGAGATAGCTGCGGAACTCTTGGCAGTGCTGCAGTGCCCTTAATGCTGGCATTGGTGGCCTTGATGGCATCTGCACTGGGTATCATCTGCATAGCTGCCACTGGGCTTGCAGCAAGAGGCTTCAACCCAGCAAGCTGGAGCAGGAGAGAGGAAATGTGCTGTCAGCCTCTTATTGCCAAGAGGGCTAGTTTTTGGAACACATCTCACTTCATACCAGATGAAATGGAGCCATCAGATAGCTGGCCTGAACTTACAAAATTACTTTCACGGCATCCATTCTTTCCTTCTTCTCTTCTGTTACATTTAGGTTCTGCTTCTATAACTTCATGCTTTCTCAAGGATCACGTTATCATTTGTCTTTTTGATCTCCTATATCTTTAATGTCTCTTTTAATATGGACATCTTCTAATAAATCCTTAAATATGATCAACTATTTCTCTCTTAAAAAAGTAGCACCTCTGATGCCACCTTCTGCACCAGCTATGCTATCTTTAACCATCTCTTTAAAGATAAACTTCTTAAAAAGTTGTTTACAGTTATTGCTTTCATTTCTTTATCTTCCATTCATTTTATTGTCACAGATTTTTATGACAACTGTCACTGATTTTTTAAAGCTGTGAAATATAAATGCAGAACGATTACAGAAAATACCTGTGTATAGTTTAACAAATAGTTAAAAAGCAATGCAAGAGTAAACACCTCCCTTCTCGAGAAATAGAATATTACAACCACTCCAGAAGCCTTCATGCATCTTCCAATGTTATCATCTCCTTCCTCTCTAGGTATAAACATTTTTATCTTTTGTAAATCCTTTCTTTATAGTTTTATCCTCTTCATATGTATGACTAAACAATATAATTTTTCCTGTTTTTCAGTTTTATAGAATATAATCACTCTGTGTGTATTCATTTCTATATCTATATCTCTCTATTCAAAATCTTCTTTTACTCAATGTTATGTTTATAAGATTTATCCATAATGTTGGGTGCAGCTGTAGTTCATTTTCATGGCTGTATGGTATTCTGTTGCATGAATACATTGCAATTTACTTATCCACTCTACTCTAAATAGACATTCGGGCTGTTTCCAATTTAGAGCTATTATGAATAATGTTTTTACTTACATGTTTATTCGAGTATCCTGGTACACATATGTAAGCATTTCTGTAGGGTATATTCCTGGGAATAAAATTCCTGGGTTATAGGTCAGGTATCTTTAATTTACTAGATAATGCCAAACCTCTTTCATTCCATCAACCATGTTTAGTGGGCTCCTTCTCTTGACATCCTCAACAATATTTGATAGTGCCAGACATTTTACCCTTTGCCTATTAAGTGTGATGTGCAATGGTATTGAGTGTGTCATGGCATTTTAATATAGTTTTAGTTTTTATTTTCCTGAGTATTAATGTGTTTGGCCACGTTTTCACATATATATATATAGACTATTTAGAATTCATTCATGTAAGTTGCTATTAAACTCATTTACCTGTTTTAAAAAATGGATGGTCAATTTCTTATTAATTCATAGATATTTTTTATATATCTTGGATACTTGATTTTCTAGTTATTTTTTCTGCAAACACCTTTTGCCAATCTGAACTTGTCTTTTTATTATCTTTGTGATGACTTGATAAATATGAGGTCCTAACATTATATATATATATATATATATGTTTTGTTTTGTTTTGTTTTGTTTTGTTTTGTTTTGAGAGAGGGTCCGGATCTGTTGCCTAGGCTAAAGTACAGTGGTGTAATCACAGTTCACTGCGGCCTCAACCTCCCGGGCTCAAGTGATTCTCCTGCCTCAGCCTCCTGAGTAGCTGGGTGGTGCATGCCACCAGGCCTGAATAATTTTGATTTTTATTTTGTAGAGACAGTATCTCACTATGTTGCCCAGACTGGTCTCTAACCCCTAGGCTCAAGCAATTTTCCCACCTTGGCCTCCCAAAGTGCTGGGATTATAGGCATGAGCCACCATGCCTGGCTGAGTTCTTAATTTTAATGGAGCTCAAATTTTAATGGACTTAAAAATATTAGTAATTTTCTTAATTTATAGCACTTTTTGTGTCTTATTTAATAAACTATGTTTTTAATCAGAACTTCTGAGGAATTGTCTTGTATAATCTTTATAATTTATCTTTCACATTTAGGTCTTTAATTTACCTGGACCTGATGGTTGCGTATAAAGTGAGGAAACGGTCCAATTTTTTGTCTTTTTGTATGAATACTCAACAGTCTAAAAACTATTCATTGTAATATCTGTCATTTTTCCACTTGTCTGCAATGCCACCTCTGTCATCTATCACGTGTTCATTATAGGTAAATTTGTTTTTCTGTTCTTTATTCCATCTGTCTACCCACATTTTGTTACTATCGTTTAAAAATAAGCCTAACGTACAGTAAAGGGCGCTCTCCCAGCCTGTTTTTCTTCTTTGAGAATGTCTTGGCTATCTTTGGCCCATTTGCATTTCCATGTAAATTTTAGAATATGCTTTTCAAGTTTTGTACAAATAACCATAGTAGGATATTGTATGGCATTGCATTAAATCTATAAATCAGTTTTAATATAATGGACATTTTTAGTGGTGTTTTAATCCATAAACATAATATACCTCTCCATTTATTTAATATAGCTCAATAAAGTTTATATCAAAATATACAATATTTGTTAAAGCATTGCACAGATATTTTTGAATTTGCTTCTAGATTTGATACTACTATGAATGCCATCATCTTCAAAATTTTATTTTCCAATAGTTTGCTCTGATATATTGAATACTAGTTGTTTCCACAAATTTATTTTGTATCTGGCAATGTTGTTAAACCCACATATCATTTTAAATAATTTATCTGTAGACTATTTTTGAACTTTATACATACACAATCATGCCATCTGTGTATAGATACAGTTTTCATTTTTCTTTTCAAATTCTTATAAACTCGATTTCTTTTTATCTTACTGCATTGGTTTAGATCTCTGATACCATGCCAAATTAAATGGTGACAGTGGAAATCCTTGTCTTATTTCTGGTGATGAAGGTAAAGATTTTAAATATGACATTTGATCAAATATTTTTGTATATACTTTTATTTGGATTAAAGAAATTCCTTCCAATACTGGTTTCTAAAGCGTTTTTTTTTTCAATAAATGTGTGTTGAATTTTAGTGATCCTTTTTTTTCTGAAATCACTGAGATTATTACTCTGATCTGTTAAGGAAGTGTATTGATTAATTTTCTAACATTAAAAATGAAAACTTACCTTTTAAACCTGAATTATTTTCATAGTGATGTGTTTGCTTTGTTAGCATTTTAAGATGTTTGCATGCATATAAATAAGTAAGAGATCTGTAACTTTTCTTATTATGCTGTCCTTGTTAGGCTTTTATTTCAAATCTATGCTGTTCCATAAATGCACTGAGAGCTATTCCCTTATTTCCTGTGATTTTTAACTCCTCTTCTATACTTACTACATAACGTTTACATTATTGAAAATATGCTTAGTAGAATTCCTTGATAAAGTAATTAGGGCATTGTGATTTCTTTGTGGAAAATTTTAAAAATTACTGATTCATTCACTTTAAATGTCTATAGGGCTATTGAGATTTCCAAAGGTTTTTTGATTTTGTTTGATATGTTACTTTTTTTCCCTGGACTAGACACATTTGTTTTAATTTTTAAAAGATACTTGGAAGGAAGTTGATTTTGATATCTTTTTATTATCCATTTCATGTCTCTAGCCTCTGTCGTGATATTCCCTTGTTGGTTCTTTGTATTGCTAATTGTGTTTTCTCTCTTAATTTTTTCAATAACTCATACTAGAAGTTTACACAGTTTATTAGTCTTTCCAGAAAACTGTTAATCATCGCTTTGCAAGTTAGTTTTCTTCAGTCTTTTCTAGTCATTTTAAAATTATTTTCATTTATAACTTTATTGCATTTATAACTTTTATTTGCTTTGTGTGTTGTACTTTATCTAATTTGAGATGGTTTCACAGATTAGGTTCTTCAATGCGGACACTGAGGTGAAGTTGGTGGTGCAAGATGAGAGGAAGCTGGCTTACGGCACAGGGAGAAGCTGAACTTCGGTGCAACTCCCACAAACCTTAGCCAACTTGGTGGGGAGCTTTGGTGCCAATATTTCCTGTTGAAGTAGTCCTGTCTTGGACTTCTCAGCATTGTACTAGGCCCTTAAGCACCCTCTTCAATCAGTTATTAGATACAAGACAGCTCAGGAAGACCGTGGCATTAGGACAGGCAGCTCTCTGCAGCTGAGGCAGCCCCGGTAGGAGCTGACAGCTGAAGATTGTCTGGAAACTGTACCACCTACCACCAGGCAGTGAGTCCTTCTCCGAAAAAGGATCTGGGTCAGATGGATGCTCATTAACTTTCACGCACCTTTGTTTTCTCACATACACATCAAGTCTGTGAATGTCCTTCTAATCTCTGCTTTATGTGTATTACACAGTTCTGCGATGTGTTTTTGTTAGTATTCAGTACAAACACATTTAAAAACATTTGTCATTATGATTTCTTTTTTGACACATAGATATAGTTAGATGTATTTTTCTTAACTTCTAAAATGTATAGTTTTTGCCAGCTATATTTTTGTCATCAGTATTAGTTTAACTACAACATGCTTATAAATATAATCGGCATGATTTCATCATTTTAAACTTTATTGAGACTTGCTTTATGTCCCAATAGTCAATTTTGTAAATGATATTCTTCAAAAAAATGTGTATTCTGTAGTTGTTAGGTGTTCCTATTCGAGAGGCTGTAACCAGGGTCTCCAACCACCAGAAAGGAATGCTATCTGCTAGTGGCTACTGTGGATTATTTTTTCATTATCCTCCTTTAAAATGCAAATATCCTTTGGAGTGTTGAGTAATGAACGTCTTAAAATTGGGTATGAGAATGAACTGAATTACCGAGGGAGTGGGATTTGTGGGAAAGGACACACACACTCACACACACTCACACACACACCACTGTTTATTGCAGGCTTAGTAACATGCAAGTTTATTGTGTTCACATACATTATTTCACTGAATCCCCACAATAATTCTGAGAGAAGGGTATTCTACCCATTTTATACATAGGAAGCTGAGGCTCAAAGAGTTTAAAGAGCTTGCTAATATTTGAACTCAGAGGTATCTGATACTGGATTCCATGCTCTTAATTGCTATGTGCCTGTCTCCCCATAACTAGCCTCAGTTCCTTTAATACACTAATTTGGTCATCTGATTCACAATGCAGTTATCATTACATTTGTAAAGGTTTTCTCTGATTCTAATGGATATTGAAAAGATAAGTGATGGCAGAATCACTTATTCTTTAATTTTTAAGCATTATCAGTGAATCATTATGTAGACGGCTTAGGCTATGAGCTCAAGATTATGTTATGAGCTCAAGAAATGCAAAGGTAAAGAAAACACAGTCCAGTCCAGTAAGATTGGGAGACAGACATGTGTACACACAATGAGAAGTCATGAAGGGAAGGTGGGCTGGCTGTGGAATTAGTCACCTTGAAGTCTGTCTAAGGAGAGGGCTGGTATCAGGGTGTGGACATTTTACATTTCTATCACAGCATTGTAGTTGATCTTAGAGACTCCTACCGAAGTTTGGGGAGAAGAGAGGTAATACAGGGATTTATTTTAAATTTCTTCTTATAATTAGGTCAATTCCAGAATATGAGGAATGAATGACAGTTCAAACACAGTGTCTGAAAAAGGTAACCACATTTTGTAAAGATTCCTTAAATCAATAGGTTGAAATTCCAGTAATAGAGCTCCAAAATTTCAGGGGAGCCTATCCTATGGGAAAGCAGAGCCCTGTTGCTGGAAATCCACTAAGCCATTTACAAGGAGTAAAGAAGGGCTTTCTGAAATGTTGACTTAGGGACACAGAGCTTAAACTCAGAGCACTTATTTTCTTCTCTGCTCTCCGGCTTTCTGTCTCTGGCTGCATCATTATTCTTTATTGACTATTTCATAAACTCACATTCCCTCAGCTTGGTTAAGGAAGGCAGTCTTTAATCTTGGCGGAGCAGATAAGGACAATTAAATCCTGGGCCTGCTTCCTGACACAGATGACGGGGCTGCCTTCCTGGAACATCATCTTCATGTCATGGGTTCTGCTGTCACTTATTTTGTTCAGAATGTGTCAGGACAGCTAGCATGACCTCAGCATTCCCCTCAGGCTGGTGCTTCTTTAATGCTGAATAAAATGTTCTCCTGGACTCTTTCAGGGTGGATTTGAGACCCAGCCCTGTGGGCTGAAGGAGGATGGGTGCAGGTCTGTGAATCTCTTCTTAATCTTTCAGCTAGAAATAACTACTCCTTTCTGTGGTCCTTTTGCAATTTACTCATGGCTTCTTTTCTTTTCTTTTACTTCTTTTATTTTCTTTTATGATTGTTCTTACAATAGCCTGCTTTGATCTCCACTACGTCTGGTTATTGGAGAATACATCAACTGTTTTGTTGACTCAGCAATACTTAATCAATTCTAATTTCAGCACTATTTCTTTTGAAAATTCCTCTCACCTACTTTTGCCAGTATAGTAAGGCTATCAGTTTCAGCAGTAGGTTTCTTTGATCTCCAGAACAGGTTTAGGATCCAGGTTTGGCCCATCATAGTACACCATTATTTTGGCTTCAGTGATTGGCTCCTCAGTGAAATCATGATCCTAAAGTTGACCAATCAGAGGTTTTTCCTGGGGATTTTTATATATGGATACTGGGGACAGATGGTATTTTTTTCCTCTTGTAGTGCAAGCTGAAAGAATGTGGTTACAAATCTAATTATGGTGATGCCCTTTAACTTATGGATGGGCATAAGGGAGTGAGGCCAAAATGCAACTTTAAGCCAAGCGAGAGATAGAGAGATGGAGACTGCTAGTCGGGATGCTGTTTGAATCCCTGAATGCAGTCTTTCCTGAGACTAAATTATATTTAGTCTTTTAACCGTAACTGCTAAAAGTAATTTTTTACTTTTAAACTTAGAATATAAGTTCAAAGAGTGAAAGCAGAGATTTTTCTTTACATTTTCACTGCTATAATTCCAAATGCCTAGAACAGTGCCTGTCACATAGTAGGCAGTCAATTAATATTTGCTTAATGAATATTTGCAACTGAATGAAACAGGATAATCAGAGTATGCATGTCTTCCTAACTGTTTTAAGGGATTCTTGGGAAAAAAACCCAGGGAGCAATTATCATAGAGTTGTTGGAATTAAAGCTAGTTTGTGGGACTGTCCTGAGAATTTATTGTTATTGAAATTTTTTTAAATTTTGAAGTGTAACACACAGAAAAGTGCATAAAGCACAAATAAGCAGTGTAATGGGATTATTTATAAAGTGGACCCATGACCACTAGGTAGTTCAAGAAATAGAAGGCTTCCAGCCTTCCAGAAGCTTCTCGTATTTCCCATCTGGAATATTTCCCTCTGTACCAGCCAGAGGTAAACAACATGCTGAATTTTATGGTAATCACTTCATTGCTTTGTTTTATAATTGTAGCCCCACTATATGCATCACAGGACAATGCTATTTAGTTTTGAATTTGTGAACTTAATAAAAATAAATTTCACAATACATATATTATTTTGTGTCATGTTTCTTTAACACTACATTTTTATTATTCATCTAAGTTGGACATCGCATTACTTTATTTTCATTGCTCTGTTTTATAAATAAAACATATTCTGCTGCTACAACAATTTTTCCCAGTTTTGGCTGTAAAAATCTATGCTGCCATGAAAGTTCTTAGACATGTATCCTAGTACCTATGTGTCCCCATTTTCTATGGCATATTTACCTAGAAGCGAAATTGCTGAGTCATTGGGTATGCCTATTTTGAACTTTAGCTAATAATGTTTTATATTGTCCTTAATACGAGGCTTTCTCTGATTTTTATTATAGCCAATTCAATGGTTGTATAGTTTTATCTTGCTATAATTTTTATTTGCATTTTTCTGATTACCAAAGAAGCTGATCTTATTTTGTTTATTGGCCATTTGAATTTTTCTCTTGTATACAATAGCTAGTTATGTTTTTGGCCCACTGTTTATTGATTTGTCTTTTTCTTTTCAATTTTAGTTCTGTGTGTGTTCTGGATACAAGTCCTTTGAATGGTAATATGGCTAAAGATAGCTTCTCACATTCTGTGGCTTGTTTTCTTCTCTTTCTTTATAATATGGTTTAATAAATAGAAGTTCTTAATTCTATTGTTGTCAAGTACAACATAATTTTTTTCTATGAATAATAACTTCTGTGACTTTTATGACTTAATTACCAAAGTTTCACACCATCACTTTGCCATGTTCAATTTATTAGACAGAGTCACTAAATACAGCCCGCAATTAAGGGAAGAAGAATTAAGCTCCACATTTTCACGGGAGGAGTCCCCCAAAAATTTGCAGACATCTTTCAAAATCATCACACATGATAAAATCAGGTGAAGGTTTTTGAAGAGGCTGGGATATATTTAGAGCAAAGAAGGCTTAAATGAAATAAAGAAATCATAGATGTTGGAGAGAGGTGAGATTAGAATACGTGTGTTTTGTCTTTCATAGGTATTTTCTTTTTGTGCCCCAGATCTTTGCAGAAGCTGTGCTTAGTAGTGATGGACATTTAGTTGGTGTGTGCTAAGGACTTATTCACTGGCTGATTTGTTGTAATGGATAAATTCTCAACTCGTGACCAGATTTTTATGATTGCTTTCCCAGTTAATCTGATTAGTTATCTGATTAGTTCAAAATACTGGTTGCCTTGCCCTAAATACTGAATTTAGGGTCAGATCTTTTTTTTTTATTATTATTATACTCTAAGTTCTAGGGTACATGTGCACTACGTGCAGGTTAGTTACATATGTATACATGTGCCATGTTGGTGTGCTGCACCCATTAACTCATCATTTGACATTAGGTATATCTCCTAATGCTATCCCTCCCCCCTCCCCCCACCACACAACAGGCCCCAGTGTGTGATGTTCCCTTTCCTGTGTCCATGTGTTCTCATTCTTCAATTCCCACCTATGAGTGGGAACATGCGGTGTTTGGTTTTTTGTCCTTGCGATAGTTTGCTGAGAATGATGGTTTCCAGCTTCATCCATATCTCTACAAAGGACATGAACACATCATTTTTTATGGCTGCATAGTATGACATGGGGTATATGTGCCACATTTTCTTCATCCAGTCTATCATTGTTGGACATTTGGGTTGGTTCCAAGTCTTTGCTATTGGGAATAGTGCCACAATAAACATACGTGTGTATGTGTCTTTATAGCGGCATGTTTTATAATCCTTTGAGTATATACCCAGTAATGGGATGGCTGGTTCAAATGGTATTTCTAGTTCTAGATCCCTGAGGAATCACCACACTGACTTCCACGATGGTTGAACTAGTTTACAGTCCCACCAACAGTGTAAAAGTGTTCCTATTTCTCCACATCCTCTCCAGCACCTGTTGTTTCCTGACTTTTTAATGATCGCCATTCTAACTGGTGTGAGATGGTATCTCATTGTGGTTTTGATTTGCATTTCTCTGATGGCCAGTGATGATGAGCATTTTTTCATGTGTCTTTTGGCTGCATAAATGTCTTCTTTTGAGAAGTGTCTGTTCATATCCCTCGCCCACTTTTTGATGGGGTTGTTTATTTTTTTCTTGTAAATTTGTTTGAGTTCATTGTAGATTCTGGATATTAGCCCTTTGTCAGGTGAGTAGATTGCAAAAATTTTCTCCCATTCTGTAGCTTGCCTGTTCACTCTGATGGTAGTTTCTTTTGCTGTGCAGAAGCTCTTTAGTTTAATGAGATCCCATTTGTCAATTTTGGCTTTTGTTGCCATTGCTTTTGGTGTTTTAGACATGAAGTCCTTGCCCATGCCTATGTCCTGAATGGTATTGCCTAGATTTTCTTCAAGGGTTTTGATGGTTTTAGGTCTAACATGTAAGTCTTTAATCCATCTTGAATTAATTTTTGTATAAAGTGTAAGGAAGGGATGCAGTTTCAGCTTTCTACATATGGCTAGCCAGTTTTCCCAGCACCATTTATTAAATAGGGAATCCTTTCCCTTTCCCCATTGCTTGTTTTTCTCAGGTTTGTCAAAGATCAGATAGTTGTAGATATGTGGCATGATTTCTGAGGGCTCTGTTCTGTTCCATTGGTCTATATCTCTGTTTTGGTACCAGTACCATGCTGTTTTGGTTATTGTAGCCTTGTAGTATAGTTTGAAGTCAGGTAGCATGATGCCTTCAGCTTTGTTCCTTTGGCTTAGGATTGACTTGGCAATGTGGGCTCTTTTTTTGTTCCATATGAACTTTAAAGTAGTTTTTTCCAATTCTGTGAAGAAAGTCATTGGTAGCTTGATGGGGATGGCATTGAATCTATAAATTACCTTGGGCAGTATGGCCATTTTCACAATATTGATTCTTCCTACCCATGAGCATGGAATGTTCTTCCATTTGTTTGTATCCTCTTTTATTTCATTGAGCAGTGGTTTGTAGTTCTCCTTGAAGAGGTCCTTCACATCCCTTGTAAGTTGGATTCTTAGGTATTTTATTCTGTTTGAAGCAATTATGAATGGGAGTTCACTCATGATTTGGCTGTTTGTTATTGGTGTATAAGAATGCTTGTGATTTTTGTCCATTGATTTTGTATCCTGAGACTTTGCTGAAGTTGCCTATCAGCTTAAGGAGATTTTGGGCTGAGATGATGGGGTTTTCTAGATATACAATCCTGTCATCTGCAAACAGGGACAAATTGATTTCCTGTTTTCCTAATTGAATACCCTTTATTTCCTTCTCCTGCCTAATTGCCCTGGCCAGAACTTCCAACACTATGTTGAATAGGAGTGGTGAGAGAGGGCATCCCTGTCTTGTGCCAGTTTTCAAAGGGAATGCTTCCAGTTTTTGCCCATTCAGTATGATATTGGCTGTGGGTTTGTCATAGATAGCTCTTATTATTTTGAGATACATCCCATCAATACCTAATTTATTGAGAGTTTTTAGCATGAAGTGTTGTTGAATTTTGTAAAAGGCCTTTTCTGCATCTATTGAGATAATCATGTGGTTTTTGTTGTTGTTTCTGTTTATATGCTGGATTACGTTTATTGATTTGCATACATTGAACCAGCCTTGCATCCCAGGGATGAAGCCCACTTGATCATGGTGGATAAGGTTTTTGCTGTGCTGCTGGATTCAGTTTGCCGGCATTTTATTGAGGATATTTGCATCGATGTTCATCAGGGATATTGGTCTAAAATTCTCTTTTTTTGTTGTGTCTTTATAGACCTACAAAGAGACTTAGACTCTCACACAATAATAATGGGAAACTTTAACACCCCACTGTCAACATTAGACAGATCAACGAGACAGAAAGTTAACAAGGATATCCAGGGACTGAACTCAGCTCTGCACCAAGCGGACCTAATAGACGTCTACAGAACTCTCCACCCCAAAGCAACATAAAATACGTTCTTTTCAGCACCACACCACACCGATTCCAAAACTGACCACATAGTTGGAAGTAAAGCACTCCTCAGCAAATGTAAAAGAACAGAAATTATAACAAACTGTCTCTCAGACCACAGTGCAATCAAACTAGAGCTCCGGATTAAGAAACACACTCAAAACCACTCAACTACATGGAAACTGAACAACCTGCTCCTGAATGACTACTGGGTACATAACGAAATGAAGGCAGAAATAAAGATGTTCTTTGAAACCAATGAGAATAAAGACACAACATGCCAGAATCTCTGGGACACATTGAAAGCAGTATGTAGAGGGAAATTTATAACACTAAATGCCCACAAGAGAAAGCAGGAAAGATCTAAAATTGACACCCTGACATCACAATTAAAAGAACTAGAGAAGCAAGAGCAAACACATTCAAAAGCTAGCAGAAGGCAAGAAATAACTAAGATCAGAGCAGAACTGAAGGAAATAGAGACACAAAAAACCCTGCAAAAAATCAATGAATCCAGGAGCTGTTTTTTTGAAAAGATCAACAAAATTGATAGAACACTAGCAAGACTAAGAAGAAAAGAGAGAAGAATCAAATAGATGCAATAAAAATGATAAAGGGGATATCACCACCGATCCCACAGAAATACAAACTACCATCACAGAATACTATAAACACCTCTATGCAAATAAACTAGAAAATCTAGAAGAAATGGATAAGTTCCTCAAGACATACACCCTCCCAAGACTAAACCAGGAAGAAGTTGAATCTCTGAATAGACCAATAACAGGCTCTGAAATTGAGGCCTGTTATTGGAATTATCTGAAATTAATAGTTTTCCAACCAAAAAAAGTACAGGACCAGATGGATTCACAGCCGAATTCTACCAGAGGTACAAGGAGGAACTGGTACCATTCCTTCTGAAACTATTCCAATCAATAGAAAAAGAGGGAATCCTCCCTATCTCATTTTATGAGGCCAGCATCATCCTGATGCCAAAGCCTGGCAGAGACAAAACAAAACGATCTTAACCAATTAATTTCAAATTACTTTTGACTGTAGTCAGAATGATTAGAAGTTCATGTTTCTCCTGCCTTTAGACATCTTAATACATCCTCCAACTTTTTCTTACTTTTTTTTTTTTTTTTTTTTTTGAGACAGAGTCTTGCTCTGTTGCTCAGGCTGGAGTGCAATGGCCTGATCTTGGCTCAATGCAACCTCCATCTCCTGGGTTCAAGCGATTCTCCTGCCTCAGCATCCCAAGTAGCTGGGATTACAGGCATGCACCACCACATCTGGCTAATTTTTGTATTTTCAGTAGAGACAGGGTTTCACCATGTTGGTCAGGCTGGTCTCAAGCTCCTGACCTCGTGATCTGCCTGCTTCAGCCTCCCAAAGTGCTGGGATTACAGGTGTGAGCCACCACGCCTGGCCTACATCCTCCAACTTTCTCTTCTATTTCTTCCTTTTGAAAACTAGCCATCTTATTTTCCTATTCCCATCCTATCTGTCATATTTAGAGAGATCTGTCAAATTTATCCTTGATGCAGACTTATGCTTAATAGCTTAACAAAACATTACTACATCCATTTATTTTTTGCATTTTAGTAACATATTTTGGAGATAGAAAACTTTAATATAAAATAATTACTTTCTTATTAGTACAGGAACGTAGTGTTCATTCATTCATATACGTGCTAATACCCCAATAGTTGGCACAAAGGCCATGAAAAGACATGAGCTATTCTATCCACAAACAAGATTTCCCCATCTAACTATATCTAGCTCTGCCTGCTATACTTGTTTGCCCTTGAATTTATCCAGACCCGAAGCAGCAGCATATTGGCTTTGCACTTGTGTTTTTGTTCCTTCTGTGACTTTGCTTCTCTTCCCAATTAGCCACTGTTCTAATCAATTTAATCCATCTCTGACAGCACGCCATATTTTCCTATCTTGTTGATGAGCATGTCATGTGGAACAGAGTCAGAAGCCTCCCTGATGTCAAAATATACTATGTCTGTCCCTTCCTTCTTGCATACAACGTCTGACACTCTGTCAGAGGAGGCAATTGAATTGGTCTAACATGATTTGTTGGTCACAAAGTCAAGCTGATTATTACCTATCATTCTGAGCCCTTCAATGTGCTTGCAAATTGATTAGGCATCTTGATCTTGTGGTTAATGCACTTTTTGTCATTGTGTAGAGTCTGGGACACTTCAATGCAATCTTGGGCTACTGTGAGAATACATTTACCATCTATTCCACTTTCATTAAAGATAAAGAGCTCATTTGCTTTTATAGCTCAGAAATTCTAAGAAAATTCTTAATGCTCTCAAGGACTCTTGGGAATCTTAATAGTAGCCTAGATTTGGCATCACAAGAGTTAAAACGAAATCAAGTTTCTTATCCTTATTACCAGGAAAGACAACACACGTTTGTTGAGTCCCTGCTATGTAAAAGGCATTTCTGCTGCTTGGTTATGCGATAGATACAAAGTTGTATAAGACGGTCTGAAATCTTGTGTTGTCTGTAGAGAACACGGACACATGAGAAACTAATTGACACCAAAATATTTTATGTGAACAATGGGGAAAAAAAGACCATACAGCTTTTTGGTTGGTTGTGTGTTATTAGGAATCACAGTTTCTTTGTGCCTGCTTGTCTAGCTAAATCATTTAAAATAATAATGCAGACATATTATTTGCATATTTCTTTTTTAATTTAAAATTTTAAATGATCCATAATAGATGTACATATTTTTGGTGTTCATGTGATAACAGGTACAACCATATAATGTGTAAAGATCAAATCAGTGTAACAGATACCCATCACCTTATATTTATCTTTTCTTTTTGATTTGACTGCTTCCTAAATTTCGACTCATCTTTTATTTATCTACATCCTCAAAATGCCTAGTGGCAGTGAGGCTGATTTATTTATATTCTTGGTGTCATTACATGTTTCCTATTGTTTTCTTTGTCTTTTTCTTTTTATCAGCTTTGTACTTATGCCTAGTTAAGGGCTTGTAGGTATGTTCTTTCAAGGATGGGAACATTTTCCCAAGATTCTTGATCGTAGGGTCTCTTGAGAACTCTCACTGTTACTGTTCTAGGGTCTCTTGAGAACTCTCACTGTTACTGTTCAATAAAGGCTTGGTAATAACATATTATCACCATCAACAAAATATAAAAAATATAACTCCTTGTATTTATAAGCATATTGATAAGAATCAAATTATTAATGAAAGAATAACAAAAATGCTTGGCAAAAAATATCCAACGACCACCTTTTTTATTTTGCTTTTTTTCCAAACAGATTTATTTTAAAATACAATTCTGAATTAAAAAATTAAAATATTCCAGGACAAAACATTTGTCACTATACTCAGCTACAATCCTTTGAGGAAATACCTTTTCTATTGCTTATTGATAGGCTTCTGTCATTACAAGTTTCAGGTCTCAAGAGCTGGGAAATATTAGGATATTGGATGATACCGGATGATATTAGATAATTATTGATAATTCTATTAGGTGTGCTGAGGTACTTAGGAAATTATTAGTTGTCAGAGAAGGATACTGTTCTACTTAAAGTGTAGTGCTATAGGTAAATTCCTTGGAAATGTTTGGCAATACATAATACATGTACATAAATACAATACATATATGTGCATATACATGTAAAATATCTATTTGAAGTCTCAGGTCTTGAGCCCAGAAGAAGCTTCTTGGAAGCTCTTTTCCCCCTGCTTCTTCTGATCACTGCATTTTTTCATGGCTTTATGACCCCACAACCATCACCTTTACTTTTTCTCTTCTATGCCACTCTTACTAGTTCTAATGTATTTTCCCAGTGTATGAAAAGGGAATCTTATATTATATCATCCAGTCAATATTTTGAGCCTCACAGTGTTCTGCAGTCTATTCTTTTTAGCCAAGTGAAAATGAAAAGGAGGCAACAGAGAGGGATGCCCATGTCTGCATCAAAACCTGCAATGCGCACACACTCCTCATCTGCTTGTCTCCTCCCTTGAAACACACGTAGGGTGTGACAATGAAGATCTGATAAGCAAAGTAGTAAAAAAAGATCAATAAATAAATTTTTCAGACAAGTGGCCCTCAAGACAAGTTTGCTGAATCTGTAACTTAGACATTTAAAAATCTGCCAAAGTCTCTCCTTGCTAAAGAAATATCATAAAAGGCTCTCATAAAAAGGCTGATGTTTTCTCCAGACATAAAAGGACAGAAACATTTCAAAAGAGTTATGATACAACTTGGCTTTTTTCTTGGCATAAACAACATTTCCTTGAGGTTAAAGGGTTGAAGTAGATCTAGTAACTTTAGAATTTTATTTCAATAAAGCAAAATCAATCAATAAGATGTATGCTGTTGAAATCCAAGCAAACTCTGGCATAGTGTAATTGCACAAAAGTGTCTGAGAAAAAAGAATGTAGATCAATAATTGATTTTCTCTCATTTAAATTTTTTATTCTCTGTCGGTCAGGATACAGACTAAAGGGAGTGAAGGCCTTTTTAAGCTCCCTGCTTATTTGAAGTGTGCAATAGATGGATAAAAGCAAGCTTCTTCCAAACACAGTTCTCTTGCTTTCTCATCATTTTGAATCTGTGGATGCAAAGAACAATTTTTGAAGTACATTAAAAACAACGACTACAGAAAAGATCAAGCTCACATTAATAAAAGGAAGTATGGGCTAGTGCATACATTTGCTGCATAAAGCACATGGAATATACTTTTTCTGATTCTCATTCATTCAAAATTTTGAAGCAGCCTAGAGCTGTAAGAACTTTGGAGGTCTTTTATTTTGGCTTTCCATTTTTAGAACTCCTAAGTGGTGGTGACCATCTTATCTCCAGGTGCTGGGAAGACTCCCACTGCATGAAAGCTGGGCCTTTCTATTATTGGGCAGGTTAAATTCTAAGAAATCTTTCAGTTTTATTGGATACAATCTATTTTTCACTGATGGATTCTGACTTTGTCTTTTGCAGCTATGAGTAATAGCTAACAAGGGAGGCAATAGATTGTAGAAAAGTGCCTCTCAAGTGTGGTTCCTTCACTACCAGCATCAGCCTCATCTGGGAAGTAATAACAAATACAATTACAAGGTTCTACTCCAAAGAGATCGAATCAAAAACTCTGGGGGTGGGACCCAACCGTCCATGTCTGAACAGCCCTCCTGGTGATTCTAAAACATGCTAATGTTTAAGAATCCCTGCTTTATCTATTCGTCTTATAAATAATGAGTCTCATTCTAGGACAGTTTCTAGAACTGCCTATTACATTCCTCTGAACAAGGTATGGGTTGAATAAGCAAACCCAAGTGTACCCCTTTTTTGAAAACAGTCTAAGTCAAACTATCCAATCCAATTCAAGAAGCAGCAAGCCCCTACCTTGATTGATCAGATCAAAGAACACGAATAAAAAAATAGGTTTGTCATATCTGCAAGGTAAGTAAAGATGCATTTTTTGATTATTAGCACCATGTAACAGAAGCTGCTAGATGGAACAATTCCAAACAACAAAAACAAAAACTGGTGGTGAAATTTTTCTTTTTCTTTCTTTTAAAAATAAATTTGGATTTATCATTTCTTTTATGATGCTTTAAATGTCAGGGAAAGCCTATCCACAGTGTGCACAAGTCTAATTAGGATTATAATAAGTAACTGCTGGAATGATTTTGAAATTGGCGCTAATCTACTCTTGTTACTCCGTGCTTGAGGAAACTGAGACTTAACGTAGATCAATAATCCATCCTCATAAAATTTAGTTACATGCAGACAGTTAGTAGCAGATTCTGCACTCGGAAACAGTCTCTGGATTCCCGATCCTCCAGGCTTTCTCATCCATGTCCGGCTGCATTTCTTTTCTTATTCTGGATTTATTCTTGTTACCATGGAAGCTACAGATATAGAATAGTATAATATAGGACTTTCAGATTTAGAGCAGTTCAGGGCTGTGAATGTAGCTTAGCACATCATGGTGCAAACATAAAATTAAAAACAAATAAAAACAGCCAGGCACGGTGGCTCACGCCTGTCATCCCAGCACTTTTGGGGGCTGAGGCAGGTGGATCATTTGAGGTCAGCAGTTTGAGACCAGCCTGGCCAACATAGTGAAACCCCATCTCTACTAAAAATACAAAAATTAGTCAGGCGTGGTGGCGCGCACCTGTAATCCCGGCTACTCGGGAGGCTGAAGCAGGAGAATCTCTTGAATCCAGGAGGCGGAGGTTGCAATGAGCTGAGATCGTGCCACTGCACTTCAGCCTAGGCGACAAGAGCAAAACTCAGTCTCAATAAATAAAATTTAAAAAACATGAATACTTTAAGGACACAAAAATGCATCGTTCCTCAGTTCATTTGTTTACTTATTTATTTACTCATTCGGTCATTCACTTCCTGTGTTTAATAATTTATTTCATAGGCTTTTTCTTGGGACCCATTCATTATGTGCTCTTTTTTTTTTTTTTTTTCAGACGGAGTCTCGCTCTGTCTCCCAGGCTGGAGTGCAGTGGCCTGATCTTGGCTCACTGCAAGCTCCATCTCCTGGGTTCACGCCATTCTCCTGCCTCAGCCTCCCGAGTAGCTGGGACCACAGGCACCTGCCACCACGCCCGGCTAATTTTTTGTATTTTTAGTAGAGACGGGTTTTCACCGTGTTAGCCGGGATGGTCTCGATCTCCTGACCTTGTGATCCACCCGCCTCGGCCTCCCAAAGTGCTGGGATTACAGGCGTGAGCCACCGCGCCCGGCCATATGTGCTCAATTTTTACCTGGTCACTGTGTGAATATTGGGTATTATTTACAGTTGAATGCCACTTCTATGAAGGTAAGGGCTGGGTTTTATACAATTTATAAGCTTAATAGTGATTAGTTTACTGTCTTAAAAATGTCAATATTTATTTGGTCAATCAGTGCAGAAAGCACAATCAAGAAAAAGAATTTATAATAAATGTCCTTTCCCCACCAGAAAGTGGAAAAGTCAGGAAGAGCTACCATGATCCAGAGAAAAGGGAGCAGATGTCAGCAGAGGCATCAGGACTGGGAAATCATGTGATGAGGGGGCATTTGAAGGAATTTCGGAATCAGGGAAGTGATTTTAGGCTGCAGAGCACGAGTAAAGGCTTCTTGTTCAGAAGAACCAGTGAGGCATTTGGGTGATATTGAAGAAGAAGGTATTATTCTTCTAACATTATAATTTGGGCTCCTTAATTTTCTTTAAGTAATAAAACCTAGAAAATTACACAACTGAATTTTTTTTTCAACTTAGAAGTGGCATGAAAACTGGATTCACGGGTGAGGAAAGTATTTGGGTAGGAAGAGAGGATTATTATGATATTTTCCAGGCTTCTCCCTGCCAGAATACTTGGCTTTCTGGTTTCCATTACTGTACACTGCCCAGTGTGTTTATCTGTAAAACAGTCATCCACATTCATTTTCTGAGCAACTATAATGAACAGGAAATTATGTGCTTAGAATGAGAAACAAGATAATTGTAAAAACTGTTGACTCAATTATTTCCCAGGCATAACCCCTCCGGTAGTACCTACCCATCTTTATGTCTAAGTGGTCTGCCCTAATTAGATGTATGTTGGTAGATTATGGAGAGCTAATTAAAATGTTGATGAGACCAGGCCAGTAAAGCAAGAGAATGAAGCAGGCGTAGGTGGATATTCTTGTATTGAACACCTGGAGAAGGTTTGCCTTTGTAAACAAGACACCTGCTTCCAGAGACCAAGCTAGTCACTGCCATAATACAAATGTTAGTCAGTTGCTATAAATTCTGATATTTTCTATGAAAAGCCAAGAGTACCATCAATTGATGAATGGATGAAGAAAAGATGATATACATACCCAATGGAATATTATCAAGAAGGAAAAAGAAAAAAGGAAATCCTGTCATTTGTGACAACTTGGGTGAACCTGGAGGACGTTATGCGAAATAAAATAAGCCAGGCACAGAAAGAGAAATCTTACTTAAATATGGAGTCTAAAAAGTCAAACTCATACAAGTAGAGAGTAGAATAGTGGTTACCAGAGGCTAGGGATGGGTAGGAATGGGCAAATGGGAGATGTTGATGAAAAGATATAAAGTTTGAGTTAGACAGAAGGAATACATTTTAGTCATGTTTTGCATGGCATGGTCACCATGGTTAGTAATAATGTACTGCACATTTCAGAAATAAAGGGGTAGATTTTAAATACTCTCACCACAAAAAATAGTAAGTAGGTGGGGTGATGAATATGCTAATTAGCTTGAGTCAATCATTCCACAATGTATACATGAAGTAAAACATCACATTGTGCCCATAAATATATACAACTATCATTTGTCAATTAAAAATAAAATAAAAAGAAAAGCTAGAGATATGAATTTCATGCGAAATCACCCAATTTTTAAATAGTTATACAGCACTTTCAGCCACACAGAACAAGACAGCAGCCCTCATTTGGACCTAGGCATCAGTTTGGAAAGTTGACAGGTAGATAAATCTCAAGCACTTCCAGGAGGCAAGTCTGTAGAGGAAGAGCTGGATATTTGGTCTGGAATTTTGTGATCTTTCCCACATATTGTAACTAGCCCCTGACTTCTTAGGAGCTCTTGTGTCTGAAGGCAAACAATACATCACTAACTCGATGCTGTACCAAGTCTGATTTGCAAAATTTATGTCAAATAAGCCTCCTGTTAGGGAATTTGATTTGGCATATAGCTCCTTCCAGACCTCAAACTGTCTTTCCAGCCAGATAATGTACTCATCATACCCAAGATGTTCACTAATGCTGCTCAAAAAGTGTGAGGATCCATTGAGGTTTGAATAAAAATGCTAAGCCTACTGTTATGAATTGGGAATATTTACCAGCTCTGATCCAGATAGTAAAAGGAACCAGTTGTGCATTGTGAAAATGCTAGAATGAAATGTAAGCCTGGCATTTTGTGGCAGCAGCAGGATGAGACCTCATACAGTGGGCCCTTCTGCAGCTTCTGGAACCTGTGTGGAAATCACAGCAAGAGTATTTATAATGCATTGTTTCTTTATTATATATTTGTGTCTTTGGGTTAGGCTGATTATAAAGACAGTGGTCTTATGGTTTACAAAATGATCATTTCCTGCAATGTCTTTAGAGTGGTGTTTCTCAAATGTTTTGAACCATGACCAAACATGAAATACATTTTTCATTGCTACCTGGTATATACACACACACACACACACACACTCAAGCAAAATTCCAGGAAACAGTGTTTCTCTTACTACATAAAATCCACTGTGGTATTTTATTTTCTTTTTATTTCCCTTCTAGACTAGCCTAGGCGAAACTAATTTATTCTATTCCACTTAATAAAATATGTAAAAGATGTTACAATCCATTAGTGCGTTGCAACCCACAATTTCAAAATCACTGCTCTAAAATATGTTAGAGTTTATAGAGATCCTTGGGCACTCAACCTGACTGCCCAAGTCTAATGATGAATATATCCTTAAATTCCCTGTAACAGCAACAAGAAGAGAGAAAAATAAAAAACAAAGAGAAATAAAGGAGACAGAGAAAGAGAGAGGGAGGAAGGGAGGGAGAGGGAGGGAGAGAGGGAGAGGGAAAGGGGGGGGAGAGAAAGAGAAGGAAAGAGGGGGAGACAAAAGGAAAGAAAAGAATCAATTTCAATTGATGATTCCAATTCTTTAGTTCTTTCATTTATTATCTGAATATCTATGATTAATGGAGGACATATTAAGTGCAAGATGGGAGTAGTATTAGGTGTCTCCAGTGCAATGTTTAACAAAGCACTCAGGTTCTTAGAGATGCCCCAAAAGTAAAACTTAGCTAGTCCAACAAACAAATAAATTGTAAATTGGCAAGAGTCAGGGCAAAATCGACAGAATTGTGTTCTGTAAAAGAAGATGGTATAAGTAATTTCAGGGATACGAACTGTAGAGTATTTGGGGCAGGCAGAGTGTTATACTAGGATTTGGTATAGAATAAGAATGCAGTGTCTGGTTCTTGAAACCTGGAAAGTCTAAATCATAGTGTGATTCATTTCTCTTTTTGTGAGAGTTGTTTTAACTAGATCAATTCTGGATAAAGCTGATGTTTTTGCTATTGTTGATGATGCTAAATATGATAAATATGGTAGCATTTATAGTGCCAGACACTAGACAAAGGAATTTGAATGCATTCAATCATTTAGTAGCTTGTAT
The DNA here is from genome assembly GCF_000001405.40 of Homo sapiens. Taxonomy (NCBI): domain Eukaryota; kingdom Metazoa; phylum Chordata; class Mammalia; order Primates; family Hominidae; genus Homo; species Homo sapiens. The sequence goes on from NC_000002.12 coordinate 114,345,977, forward strand.
CTTCATTCTTCCTTCTCCACTTGGCTGGACTATTCTTCCTTCACATGCAGACAGCTCTCTTTCCACTTGGTCCTGAATGATCCTACAACTAGTTTCTTTGTAACTGACTTCGTCAAGTGCTCATTGAGGGCTGGTTGATGGAGACAGAGTGAGTAGTGCCAGGATTATGCTTGCTGTATTCATTTTCGTTGACCATCTATATATTTCCAATCTTTGTACAGTGCACTGTAGGAACTAAAGAGCCAGGGGCATACTTAGCTACGTATTTCCAAAATGTTTCAAATAAGTACTGTGGATTATCTATAAGCATCAACACATAATCCGGCATCATTTCTCACTCCTCATGTAACTTGAGTTATAGTTTATAAAACATTTTCTTCGTTTCCAGGATGGCTTAGGGTCCTGCTCATCTTATTTTTCTACTTCTACCTGCTTAGCAGCTTCTTGTTTCTTTTTTCTCCCCTCGTGTACTTGTTCCTTCTTATCTCTCTGACCTCTAAATGTTAATGGGCCCCAGAGTTCGGTTTGTGAAGGAGACCTTAGCTAGTCTTATTACTAAGTACCATCTTTATGCTAATGAATCCCAAATGCATATCTTCAGCCCAGGATTTTCCCCTGAATTAAAAATGTGTATAGACAACTTTCTACTTGATATCTACACTAATATGGCTAAAGGGTATTGTGTAGAAAAGAGTTAAAACAGCAAACCCGAGACAATGATCTTAGAAAGGTTTGCTTGAATGGTTGACCCTTGGTTGTCACTGGAAGTTGGCTTTCGAAGTGTTCCCAGTCCTCAGTTAACTGATAAGAGTGACTCGCTGTGTCTAAATTGTTTGTACAAACAGTGTGGTTTATACTGAACACGTAATTTCCTTTTGGGAGTCTAGGATTTTGGTACGTGCCAGGCAGAGGGTGCCTGTATGAACAGCCTTCAGTACAAATGTTGGGCATTGAGCCTCTAATAACCTTCCCTCATAACACAACATTTTGCAAATGTTGCCGCAACTTGTTGCCAGAGGAAGGAATTAAGTTTGTCCTGTGGGTTTCCACTAGAAGAGGAGTGGTGTTGATGACGGATTTTTTTTTTTTTAATAGACAGAATCTCACTCTGTCACCCAGGCTAGAGTGCAATGGTGCGATCTCAACTCATTGCAAGCTCCGCCTCCTGGGTTCAAGCAACTCTCCTGCTTCAGCCTCCCGAGTAGCTGGGATTACAGGCGTATGCCACAACGACTGGCTAATTTTTGTATTTTTAGTAGAGACGGGGTTTCACCATGTTGGTCAGGTCTGGTCTCAAACTCTTGACCTCGTGATCTGCCCGCCTGAGCCTCCCAAAGTGCTGGGATTACAAGTGTGAGCCACCACGCCCAGCTGAAGAGGAGTCTTAGAAACTTGCACCTAGTTGCCTCTGGACTTCATTCCACGTCCCTTTTCCTTTTGTTTACGTTACTTTGTATCCTTTTGCTGTAATAAATCCTAGCCATGAGTATAACTATATTCTGCATCCTGTGAGTTCTTTCAATGAATCTTTGAAGCTGGGGACAGTCTAGAGGGCCCCCGGCACAGCCATCTTAACAATAAATGTCCAAAACTGAGCTCTTGATATTCTTATCACCAATCAAGCAAATAAAAAAAAAACCATCTAAACGAATAAAACAAACCAGCAAATAATAATGATTTTTCCTACATTTTTTATAATCTTCCCTATTTCATTAATGGCAATTTTATTCCTTCATGTTACCCAGGCCAAAAATCTTATCTTTGATATTGTCTTAGTCCCTTTTGTGCTGCTATAATAAAATACTTAAGACTGGGTAATTTATAAAAATCAGAGATTTATTTCTTACAGTTCTGAAGGCTGAGAAGTCCAAGGTCGAGGGGCCCATAATTGGCAAGGGCCTTCTTACTGTGTCTTCCCATGGCAGAAGGCAGAAGAGCTAGAGAGCATGTGTGAAGAGAAAGGAAAGGCAGAGGGGCTGAGCTTTTATCCTTTTATCATGAACTCACTCCTGCAATAATGTCATTAATCCCTTCGTGGGGAAGGAGCCCTCATGACCTAAACACCGTTTTAAAGTCCCATCTCTCAACACTACTGTACTGGAAGTTAAGTTTCCAACATACAAATTTTAGGGGACCTATTCAAACCATACCAGTCTGTTTCTGGCCCAATTTTTGTCCTTCTCACAGGCAAAATATATTCATTGCATCCCAATAGCTCCAAAAGTCTTAACTTGTTCTAGAAAATAAAAATTAAGTCCAAAGTCTAGAGTCTCATCTAAATCAGATATGAGTAAGATCAAGGTATAATGCATCCTGAGGCAAGTTTTCTGTAAGCCCATGAAACTAAACAAGTTTCATATATTTTCAAAATACAACAGTGGGACAGGCATAGGAAAAACATTCCTGGCTGGGTTTGGTGGCTCATGCCTATAATTCCAGCACACTGGGAGGCTGAGGTAGGAGGATCACTTGAGGCCAGGAGCTTGAGACCAGCCTGGGCAACATAGTGAGACCCTGTCTCTACAAAAATAAAAATATAAAAATTAGCTGGGTGTGGTGGCACATGCCTATATATGTCCCAGCTACTCAGGAAGCTGAGGTGGGAGGATTGCTTGAGCCCAGAAGGTCAAGGCTGCAGTAAACCATGTTTGTGCCACTGCACTCCAGTCTGCTAAGTGACAGAGCAAGGCCCTGTCTCTCTAAAAACAAAACATTTCCATTTTAAGAGGAAGAAATAAACAAGAAGACAGGAATAACTCATCTCCAGTAAGTCCAAAACCCAAGAGGGAAAACAATATTAAATCTTATGACACCAGAATAATCTCCTTTGACTCCATGACCTGAATCCTGAGCACACTGGGGTAAGAGTTGGGCCTGCAAGGCCTCAGGAAGCCTTGCCCCTGTGGGTTTTCTTGGCTCAGTCTACCGAGCACCTCTCACAGGTTAGAGTATCATGCCTGCAGCTTATCAAAGCTGGAGTTGCCTGCTGGTGGCCCTACAGTTCTGGGATCTTGGGGGCTGCCCCACTCTCATAGTTCCACTAGGCATTGCCTTACAGGGGACTCTTTGTGGTGGCTCTGTCCCCATGACAAGTCTCTGCTTGGGCTCCCAGGCTGTCCAAGATATCCTTTGAAATTTAGGTGGTGGTTGCCATGGCCCCACAGCTCTTGCATTCTACAAAACCTGCAGAATTAGAACCACATGGATACTGCCAAGGCTTTTGGCTTATACCTCCTAGAGTGGTGGATTGAGCTGCACGTGGGCCTACTTGAGCCACAGCTGGGGCAGCCGAGGAGCGCTGCACTGGAATTTGGGGAGCAGAGTTCCAATGTGCAGGTCCTCGAATGCTGAGGTCCTGCAGATGTCTCTCTGGAAACCTTGACCTCAAGGTTTTAGCTTGCCTTGAAAATCTCTGAAATGCCTTTGGGGTCATTCTCCTATTGTCTTGATGAACAGAACTTGGCTTCCTTCTAGTCATATTAGCGTCTTTAGCTAATGGTTGCTTGGCTACACCCTTAGTGTCCTCTTCTAAACAAAATTTTTTATTCTTACATGGTCAGGCTGAGAGTTTTCCAAATCTTTCCATTCTGCTTCCCTTTTAATTATAAGATCTGCTTTTAAGTCATTTATCTTTTATCTCATTTTATTGTAAGTGGCAAAAATAAACCCTGCAGCACCTGAATGCTTTGCTGCTTAGATGTTTCTTCTGCCAGATATTGTAGTTCATTGCTCTTATGTTCTACTTTCTACAAAGTCCTAGGACATGGGCATAATTCCACCAAATTCTTTGCAATTCTATAACAAGGATGGCCTTTACTCCAATTTTCAATACTTTTTTTTCTTATTTTTATCTAAGACATCATCAGAAAGGCCTTTACTGTCTGTATTTCTACCAAAATTCTGATCACAACCATGTAAGTAATCCCTAAGATTTAGTCTCTCCCTATAGCCTTTGTCTTCTTCTGAGCCATCACCAGAATCACCTTTAACGCTCTGTTTATGGCAACCTAGGCTTTTTTCTAGGCTGCTCTTCCAAATTTTTCCAACCTCTACCCATTACTCAGTTCCAAAGCCACTTTCACATTTTCAAGTATTTGTTATAGCAACAACCCTCCTCTTAGTACTAATTTTCTGTCTTTTTCCCTTTTGTGCAACTGTAACAGAATATCTGAGACTGGGTAATTTATAAAGAATAGAGATGTTTTTCTTCACAGCTCTGGAGGCTGGGAATTCCAAAGTCAAGGGGTCTACATTTTTTTGAGGGCCTTTTTAATGTGTCATCCCACGGTGGAAGGCAGAAGGGCATGAAAGCACGTGAGCAAGAGAGGGAAACCACTCCTGTGATAACAGCATTTGTCCATTTGTGAGGGCAGAGCCCTCATGACCTAATTACCTCTAAAAAATCCCACCTTTCCACATTGTTCCATTGGGGAGTATGTTTTTAACACATAAACTTTGGGAGACATTCAAACCATAGCAACATCTATTTTTATCACAACCCACACCTGCTCTGTCAGCACAGCCTGTAGGGCCAGGTTCTAAATATAACTAGAATTCATTTCGTTTTCACCAACCTCACTAGTACAACAGGTCCTAACTGTTCACCTAGGTTACTCTCAACCATCTATTTTGTTAAAGAAGTCAGGAAGCATGAATCAGATTATTTAAATCCTCTGCTCACCAGCCTCTAATGCTTATTCATTGCATTTCTGAGTAAAAACCAAATCCTCACTATGGTCTGTCTGATCTGGACCACTTTAAACTTCACCCCACACTCTAATGCTCTCTCTGTTGTCAGGCCTTTCCTGCTATGCCTCTATGTAAACCAGGCAGACCCTTCCCTGGGGTTCTTTGGGGCTTTTTAAATTATTGTTTCCTCTGCCTGAAATGTTCTTCTCTGATAGTCACATGGCCAGATCCACCCTTCAAATGTCATGTTCTCAATGAGGAACCTCCTGGCTATTCTATCTAAAGTTTTCCACAGCCAACAGTTTTTATCTCACATCCTGTGTTTTTCTCTTAGTTATATTTTATTATCTAATATACTGTATGGACTGAATTGTGTCCTCTCCCTGCCAAATTCATATGTTGAAGCTCTAATCCCCAGTGTTAAAGATAGGACTTTAAAGAGATAACTAAGGTTAAAATAAGGTCATAAGTGTGGGATTCTAATTCTATATAATTGCTGTCCTTGTAGGAAGAGGGAGAGATACCAGGAGCACACACACAGAGAGAGAACACCACTTGAGGACACAGTTGAGACGATGACCCTCTGCAAGCCAAGAAGAGAGGCCTCCCCAGAAACCAAACCTGCTGACACCTTGATCTTGGACTTCCAGCCTCCAGAACTGTGAGAAAATAAGTTTCTAGGTTTAAATGACTCGTCTATGGGGCTTTGTTCATGGCAGTCTGAGTTGACTAATGCATACGCTAACCATTTCATGTACTTATTTTGCATACTGCCTGTCTTCCTTTTAGAATGTAAACTTCACCTGGAGAGGAATTTTTATCTGTTTTTTTCACCACTGGAATTCTTAGTACTGATAAGGTGCCTTAGCTGTAGTAAGAATCAAGTACTACTTATTGAATGAATAAACAAATAGGTGAGAAAACAGTCCTGGTTTACACTGCTTTCTTTTTATCTCTGTGGTAGACTAATTGCAAAAATGGCTCTAACTGTTCATTGCTCTTTTACATGCCCTTTGCCATGTGTCTTTGCAGCTCTTCCTATACAAAGGTAGAATCTGTTTTTTTTTTTTTTTTTTTTTTTTTGAGATGGAGTTTCACTGTTGTCACCTAGGCTGGAGTGTAGTGGTGCCATCTTGACTCACTGCAACCTCCGCATCCCGGATTCAAGAGATTCTCATGCCTCAGCCTCCCGAGTAGCTGGGATTACAGGCGCCTGCCACTATGCCCAGCTAATTTTTGTATTTTTAGTAGAGAGATGAGGTTTTGCCATGTTGGCCAGGCTGGTCTCGAACTCCTGATTTCAGGTGATCCACCTACCTCAGCCTCCCAATGTGCTGAGATTTCAGGCGTGAGTCACCATGCCCAGCCCAAAAATAGAATCTTTATCCTCTTCCTTTGAATGTGATTTGGCTTTTTGACTCACCTTTGCCAATAAAATATTGCAGAAGTATCAGTGTGTCAGTTCCAGACCTAGGTGTCCAGAGGCCTTACCTGCTTCCATTCTCCTTCTTAGAACTCTTTGTCATAAAAGCAATCCTAGGCTAGCCTATAGAAAGACAAATGACCATGTGAAAAAGAGAGAAATTATCCTAGCTAAGATAATTCTAAACCAGTCAGCCTCCCTGCTAGTTGACCACAGACATACAATGAGACAGGATTACCTTAGCCAACTTTAGCCAAGACCAGTAAAGCTGCCTAGCTGACCCACAGATTGGCGGGCAACAATACATATTTATTATTTTAAGCCAGCAAGGTTTTGCAGTTTTAGCTATTACAGCATTATAGCAGCAATAGATAATTGTATCTGACAGTGGTCCCAAAAAGTATTTTGTGTTTCAGAGATGTCTCTTCTCTTTAAGTGGCAGACTAACTTAAAAGAAAGCTTATGGGCTCTGGAACCAGATTGAATTGGGTTCAAATCCTAGCTGCAATCACTTACCATATGACCTAGTGCAAGTTACTTAACCTTTTGACCTTCGCATTATTTGTAAACTAAAGATAGAAATACTTGCTCAGAGCTTTTGTGAGACTTAAAAGAACTCTCATGTGAAGTACCTGATACAACTACTGATATTGATCTAAAAAACATCACAAATTTTCCCTTATAACTACTCTGTGGCTGAATCATCAATAGATTAATCTAAATGCCTGTAGAAAGTCTACTTTTTGTCTTATTAGACAGAAATTATTAGGCATCAGCCTGGTATACTTGCTATTGACTCTTCAAAGCTGTACTTTCTTTTAGTCATTCTAACTGACAGTTTTCAACTTTAAGGGATGGCCTTAAAGCCGATAAAGTCCAGGTTTTAGTGACTTGATTTATTTCTACTGTATTTGTACCCTTCATGATGTCATTGAGTTAGGCCAGAAGGCTTCTCAGTTTTCTATATTTGAACAAAAGAGGCCTAATTTCCAAACATCAACATAGAGGAAAGTGAATGCTCTTGATTCAGTGCCATATACCTGGAAAATAACTGAGGTATTCCCAGCAGCTGCTGGTAGCCTCCGATAAGTCCAAGTGAAATATGGGCATCTAAATGCAAAGACAGAGGCCCTGTCCATTCAAAGTCCCACAAATCAGCCTGTAAATATGTAGGCAGCTATGTGTTTGAATATTTATTCTTGTATTTTATGCAGCTTCTTCAATAAGAATTAGAGAAGCAGGTTAAATTTGATGCAATGTCTTAGGCATTAGATTCAATTTAGAGAAATACATGCTAAAGAGAAATAAGGTTTTTTTAAAAAAATTTACTTTATTTTTTAACAGGAAATTAGCTTAAGCACTGCTTTCAGGTAAAACCATTCTATAACTGACATCATTTTTAAGTGCTCTATATTGATTAAACACTTTAGCTAGATTTGTAAGTCTGATCAGAAAATATGAGTTGTAAATCACGATGTGATTTTTCCTTTGATCCCATTTAAACATTTTCTCCTTTGGATCACATGATAACTTCTGATAAAATTCTGGAAACTAAAATCCATTTAATTGGTAATGATGTTTCTTGTGAAAACGCTTAACACACAATTTTGTTAAAATGCAGGAACATGAATGTATTGGTATCTGCTTTTCTCAAGAATAAAATTGATTTCTTCATACTAATCATCTCTTCAATAAACTGTCCCTCTTCTAGTCAAGTCATTAAAATGATTCTTTCTCAGACACTTTTTGATCTAAGTTATAACTGTCATTTTAGAAAGAATTTCAAAATGATTAAGATTTTTTGTTTGAAAGGGGCTTGATTTCTCCTTAACACTTTACTAATAGAATATGAAGTGAGGATCCCAAGGCAGCTTACATATTTCTGCAGTTTTGTTTATTATATTTTCTGAATTCAGATAAATCTGAACAGGCACCTATAAAACCTTTAAATATAAGAACATTCAGTATTTGGAATACAACACCACATTTTATTGTGGCAATGCAGACATTGTAATGGTTTGGGTTTCTATCTCTCCAGGCCTGGTGGACAACTGAGAAGAAGAATTGATCGTAGAGTGGATGAGTGCAGAAAGCCATTTCGTAAGGTGATATTTGATGCCTGCATTACATGGGACTCTACATTATTTCTCTCTTCTGGGTCTAGATTTCATAAGCCACTGCTTTCAAGTAGACTGAAGTTGGGAACATATTATCGACTATTATGAAGGCTAATATTCTACTAAATATAAGTACCATCTAAAGATGTGGAACACAGGTGAAAAGTTGGCATTCATCCTTTTAAGTGTCCTCCTTTCACAGGTGAAGTGTGTAGCCTAAGGTTATGCAACTACGCAGTAAAATTAGCAGTAGATCCCAGGTGTTCTTATTCCCTGGACTGGTGCTTTTTCTACTCTATGAAAGGAAAGGTAGTTTTGCTAGTGGGTAATTTGGAGCAAGGAGACTCCTAAGTGAAGGAGTAAAGAGGTTGGAGGGAGAGGCAGGGCAGTCTGCTCTTCTCCCACCCCTAGTGTTGCCTACGTTTCTGCTCTAGGGATGTATGTTTAACAAAAACATCAAAGGTGGACTTGATCAATGGACTAGAGAGCTGAAAGTTTTATAGAACTTTGGCAACCCAAGGGAGCTACAGAAAGAGGAGGGTTTGTAAGCTAATGGCAATTCTGTTTTATCTCTATCATCTTACCTCACAGCAGTCATAGGCTTCTCTCTAGCCCATCCACCAACCCCACACACATGCAGTATAACTGGACAGCCCCAAGGTATCTATAACTATGCCCTAGGTAGCCCACTCCCAAGCTTGAATTTTCTTTGGGAAAATATTACCAGTTAGAACATTTTGGATTGCCCTTATCTTCAGCAGGTCTCAATCCCAATGTCAGTTCAAAGTATCAGAGATAATTAGCAGAACTCAGTTTAGGCATGTATAAGGAATGAGCAATGGACAAAGGGCATTGTCTAAAAATAATCCTATTTTTGTCAGAGAAAGATAAACCAGATGGAACAAATTGGGAGGCAAGTAATATTTTAAAAATCTTTATAACACATATAGTAAAAATAAAGTTCAGACTATGATACAATTGTAAAATAAAAATGAGTCTTTTTCTTACCCTGCATTCCAGAGGTAACCATCATTTACTTTCTTAGGCATCCTTCACCAAATGTTCCATGTGTATTCATGCATCTATGTATCATCTTTCTGTCTGTCTGTCTGTCTGTCTATCTATCTATCTATCTATCTATCTATCTATCTATCTATCATCTATCATCTTTTCTTTTTTTTTTTTTTTTGTTTTAAGATGGAGTCTTGCTCTGTCGCCCAGGCTGGAGCGCAGTGGCACGATCTTGGCTCACTGCAAACACCCCCTGCAATCTCTGCCTCCGGGTTCAAGCAATTCTCTTGTCTCATTTGTGCCTCAGCCTCAGGCATAGCTGGGATTACAGGCGCAGTTCACCATGCTCAGCTAATTTTTGTATTTTCAGTAGAGACAAGATTTCACCATGTTGGCCAGGCTGGTCTCAAACTCCTGACCTCAAGAGATCCACCCACGCTGGACTCCCAATGTGCTAGGATTATAGGCATGAGCCACTATGTCTGGCCCTATTTTTTTAAAAAATAAAAGCAAATGGGAGCTTACTATTCCCATGTTTTTTTTTTTATTATACTTTAAGTTTTAGGGTACATGTGCACAACATGCAGGGTTGTTACATATGTATACATGTGCCATGTTGGTGTGCTGCACCCATTAACTCGTCATTTAACATTAGGTATATCTCCTAATGCTATCCCTTCCCCCTCCCCCTACCCCACAACAGGCCTCAGTGTGTGATATTCCCCTTCCTGCGTCCATGTGTCCTCATTGTTCAATTCCCACCTATGAGCGAGAACATGCGATGTTTGGTTTTTTTGTCCTTGCGATAGTTTGCTGAGAATGATGGTTTCCAGCTTCATCCATGTCCCTACAAAGGACATAAACTCATCATTTTTTATGGCTGCATAGTATGACATGGGGTATATGTGCCACATTTTCTTCATCCAGTCTATCATTGTTGGACATTTGGCTTAGTTCCAAGTCTTTGCTATTGTGAATAGTGCCGCAATAAACATACATGTGCATGTGTCTTTATAGCAGCATGTTTTATAATCCTTTGGGTATACACCCAGTAATGGAATGGCTGGGTCAAATGGTATTTCTAGTTCTAGATCCCTGAGGAATCGCCACACTGACTTCCACAGTGGTTGAACTAGTTTACAGTCCCACCAACAGTGTAAAAGTGTTCCTATTTCTCCACATCCTCTCCAGCACCTGTTGTTTCCTGCGCCATTCTAACTGGTGTGAGATGGTATCTCATTGTGGTTTTGATTTGCATTTCTCTGATGGCCAGTGATGATGAGCATTTTTTCATGTGTCTTTTGGCTGCATAAATGTCTTCTTTTGAGAAGTGTCTGTTCATATCCTTTGCCCACTTTTTGATGGGGTTGTTTGTTTTTTTCTTGTAAACTTGTTTGAGTTCATTGTAGATTCTGGATATGAGCCCTTTGTCAAGTGAGTAGATTGCAAAAATTTTCTCCCATTCTGTAGGTTGCCTGTTCACGCTGATGGTAGTTTCTTTTACTGTGCAGAAGCTCTTTAGTTTAATGAGATCCCATTTGTCAAGTTTGGCTTTTGTTGCCATTGCTTTTGGTGTTTTAGACATGAAGTCCTTGCCCATGCCTATGTCCTGAATGGTATTGCCTAGGTTTTCTTCTAGGGTTTTGATGGTTTTAGGTCTAACATTTAAGTCTTTAATCCATCTTAAATTAATTTTTGTATAAGGTGTAAGGAAGGGATCCAGTTTCAGCTTTCTACATATAGCTAGCCAGTTTCTCCAGCACCATTTATTAAATAGGGAATCCTTTCCCTATTGCTTGTTTTTGTCAGGTTTGTCAAAGATCAGATAGTTGTAGATATGTGGCATGATTTCTGAGGGCTCTGTTCTGTTCCATTGGTCTATATCTCTGTTTTGGTACCAGTACCATGCTGTTTTGGTTATTGTAGCCTTGTAGTATAGTTTGAAGTCAGGTGGCGTGATGCCTCCAGCTTTGTTCTTTTGGCTTCGGATTGACTTGGCAATGTGGGTTCTTTTTTGGTTCCATATGAACTTTAGAGTAGTTTTTTCCAATTCTGTGAAGAAAGTCATTGGTAGCTTGATGGGGATGGCATTGAATCTATAAATTACCTTGGGTAGTATGGCCATTTTCACAATATTGATTCTTCCTACCCATGAGCATGGAATGTTCTTCCATTTGTTTGTATCCTCTTTTATTTCATTGAGCAGTGGTTTGTAGTGCTCCTTGAAGAGGTCCTTCACGTCCCTTGTAAGTTGGATTCCTAAGTATTTTATTCTCTTTGAAGCAATTGTGAATGAGAGTTCACTCATGATTTGGCTGTCTGTCTGTTATTGGTGTATAAGAATGCTTGTGATTTTTGCACATTGATTTTGTATCCTGAGACTTTGCTGAAGTTGCTTATCAGCTTAAGGAGATTTTGGGCTGAGACAATGGGGTTTTCTAGATATACAGTCATGTCATCTGCAAACAGGGACAATTTGACTTCCTCTTTTCCTAATTGAATACCCTTTATTTCCTTCTCCTGCCTGATTGCCCTGGCCAGAACTTCCAACACTATGTTGAATAGGAGTGGTGAGAGAGGGCATCCCTGTCTTGTGCCAGTTTTTAAAGGGAATGCTTCCAGTTTTTGCCCATTCAGTATGATACTGGCTGTGGGTTTGTCATAGACAGCTCTTATTATTTTGAGATATGTCCCATCAACACCTAATTTCTTGAGAGTTTTTGGCATGAAGTGTTGTTGAATTTTGTCAAAGGCCTTTTCTGCATCTATTGAGATAATCAGGTGGTTTTTGTCTTTGGTTCTGTTTATATGCTGGATTACGTTTATTGATTTGCATACATTGAACCAGCCTTGCATCCCAGGGATGAAGCCCACTTGATCATGGTGGATAAGCTTTTTGATGTGCTGCTGGATTCGGTTTGCCAGTATTTTATTGAGGATTTTTGCATCGATGTTCATCAGGGATATTGGTCTAAAATTCACTTTTTTTTGTTGTGTCTCTGCCCGGCTTTGGTATCAGGATGATGCTGGCCTCATAAAATGAGTTAGGGAGGATTCCCTCTTTTTCTATTGATTGGAATAGTTTCAGAAGGAATGGTACCAGCTCCTCCTTGTACCTCTAGTAGAATTTGGCTGTGAATCCATCTGGTCCTGGACTTTTTTTGGTTGGTAAGCTGTTAATTATTGCCTCAATTTCAGAGCCTGTTATTGGTCTATTCAGAGATTCAACTTCTTCCTGGTTTAGTCTTGGGAGAGTGTATGTGTTGAGGAATTTATCCATTTCTTCTAGATTTTCTAGTTTATTTGCCTAGACGTGTTTATAGTATTCTCTGATGGTAGTTTGTATTTCTGTGGGATCGGTGGTGATATCCCCTTTATCATTTTTTATTGCATCTATTTGATTCTTCTCTCTTTTCTTCTTTATTAGTCTTGGTAGCGGTCTATCAATTTTGTTGATCTTTTCAAAAAACCAGCTCCTGGATTCATTGATTTTTTGCAGCATTTTTTGTGTCTCTATTTCCTTCAGTTCTGCTCTGATCTTAGTTATTTCTTGCCTTCTGCTGGCTTTTGAATGTGTTTGCTCTTGCTTCTCTAGTTCTTTTAATTGTGATGTTAGGGTGTCAATTTTAGATCTTTTCTGCTTTCTCTTGTGGGCATTTAGTGCTATAAATTTCCCTCTTCCCATGGCTTTGCACCTTGGTCCAGCGTCTGGCTTGTGAAAGACACTCAACGATGGGCCCGGCGAGGTAGCTCACGCCTGTAATCTCAGCAGCTTGGGATGCTGAGGCGGGCAGATCACAAGATCAGGATATTGAGACCATCCTGGCTAACATGGTGAAACCCCGTCTCTATTAAAAATACAAAAAATTAGCTGGGTGTGGTGGCAGGCGCCTGTAGTCCCAGCTGCTCGGGAGGCTGAGGCAAGAGAATGGCATGAACCCGGGAGGCAGAGCTTGCAGTGAGCCGAGATTGCGCCACTGCACTCCAGCCTGGGCGACAGAGCAAGACTGCATCTCAAAAAACAAAACAAAACAACAACAACAACAAAACACTCAATGATGTTATCCATCACTATTACCTGTGGATTTTGGCTATGTGTCTGAATCTTCTTTCTGATCTAAGACAGCCGTTGTGTCCTGTATTGTGTTAATTTCTCTCAGTCGCCTGTCCATCACTTACTTCCAACAGTCATAGTATTCGACCCTTTATAAAAGCGAACCTTGGCATGCTTTAAAGCAGTGGTCTCAGCCCTGACTGCACTTTAGAATCACGTGGGGAGCATTTGAAAACTACTGATGCCTGGGCCCTAACCCAGATTAATTAAATTAGAACTTCTGAGGGTAGGTCCCAGGCATAGCTGGTCTTTTAAAGCTCCCCAGCAGATAGTAAGGTACAGCCAGGGTTATGAAACACTGGTCCAGAGATTCAGCTTGTAAGAATCACTTTGGATCCCAATTCTGGTTTGTAGTGTTTTAGCAGTGTTATGCATAAATTTGATAACCATGCCTGCTGATTTCTTCTTTCTTGTCATGGGCAAGAAAATCTCTGTTAATTGTTCCTTTTTGTTTTTTGTTTACTTTGTAATTCAACTATTTTTCTCTAAAATTAAATATTAGAAGTTCTAGTCAAATTGAAGGTTTTGGGGTGAATTTCATTCTGTACAACTGAGGCTTTATGTATTAAGAAAACAGCATGATTTCAGGTGGTCAATGTGCTTCTATGGCCATAGCATCAGTTTCATTTACAATGATTCCTCTTGATCTCTCTTTCTCCTTCTCTTGATGAAAATTTCCATGCTAGGTTTCCATCTTTTCACTGTTTTACTCTGTCAGACATATGCCTGCATAAACATTACCCAGCCATGATAACCAAATTAATGAAATCCTTACCAGGGCTTTGGATCATTGGTCATTTTTCTAGGACTAATAGATTTACTTGCAGTGTATATTGTCTGTGTATATTATCTGTGTAATACCAGGAAGACTTTCCATGGGCAGCCATTTAAAGTGAGTTAAGAATATTTAACATGATTTTTTTTTTTGAAAGAGAAAGTATTTTGGCAAAGTTGTTCCTGGAGGAGTCACATAGACAGTATCGAGGCTTCATATCTCCTTTATCTATGATCTCATGGGAAGTCTTGAAATTATAATAGAGCAAGTTCTGACTTTCACAAAATGCTGTTTCTGACCATAGTCATTTTGGCAGCATATACGTGAATGTTTCACAGTGGTATTTCAAGTCAGATTGGTGAGCGGCTAAGGGTGACTGACAAATTATCCCTAATTGCAGAGGAATTACTAAGGCACTGTTCATACAGTGCCATGTACTCTTTTGGACTGATTTGGAAGGGACAATGAAAAATGTGGCAGATGACAACTGAGGCCTGAAAATGGATGAAGGGGCTGGGTCTTAGCATTAGACTGGATTTTTTTTTCCCCAAAAATACTAATTCACAGGATTCCCTTGGATATCAAGTTTTCTCTCACTTCTTTACCTCCAAATGATTTACAATCAAGGGATCAGTTTTATTGGTTGCAGCAGAGATCTCAGCCCTATCAAATCAACGTACCATTTTTCTTTTACTTTTAAAATTGACATATAATGATTGTACATATTTATGGGTTACATAGTAATGTTTTGATGTATACAATGTATAGTGATCAGGTCAGGTAATTAGCATATCCATCATCTTGAACATGTATCATTTATTTGTGTTGGGAATATTCAATATCCTCCTTCTAGCTATTTGAAACCATATATTATTGTTAATTAGAGTCATCCTGCAGTGGTATAAAACACCAGGATTTTTCCCCTATATAGCTTTAATACAGCTTTAATTTTACATCCTTTCACAAATCATGCCATTTTTAATAAGAAATATTGTGTAAAGTCCTCTTTACTTTCCTGAAATGCATATATGTGTGTATATGTGTATATGTATGTATAAATAACTACACATTAATTAAAAGAATAATTATAATGTCTTAGATGTCCTACAAAAAGAACAATAAAAGGAAAGTAATTTGGTGAACTTCTAATGTCTTTCAATACATAAATCCTCAGGCAAACTCAGGAATAGATCTTAGCATACAAAATGAATAGTCATTCCTATAGTCATTTCTATCCATGGAAATACTCTGCATGTAGCAAATGCAAACTAGTACAGGGATGTTGGTTTTGTTACAGACTCAAAGACCAAGAGTGATGTTTCTGTCTAAGTGAACAACTCTTGGCAGTTTAAAATATAATAGAATCCAGTCTCCCCTTTGTTTATGTAATGGTTGGATTCCAGGAAAAAACAATCATGAATATTAACCTCTTGCAAACATATTACTGTTTATGAGCAAATGCTTAGAATTGAGTGTATCCACCCATAAGAATGGTTAAACAAAAACCCAAACCTAACAATACCAAGTGATAATATAGTACAATAGAATTCTCATACATTGCTGATGGGAGTGTAAATTGGTGGAGCAAGGTTGACTAAAGCTGAATATTTGCCTGCTCCATGATCTAACAGCCCTACTCCCAAGCATGTACACTTAGCAGCAAGCAGCATACATGTTCACAGAAAATATGTGGAGAAATGTTCATAGCATTCCTAAATGAAGGCAAGTCATTGTGTCTATCACTATTAGAATAACAATTTGTGGTATATTTATGTAATATAGAATATGCTATAACAATGAAAATGGACCAACCATACCACTACATGCAGTAACATGGGTGAATCTCACAGAAAAAATGTTAAACAAAAAATAATCACAATAGAATACATAATGAATGATGCCATTTGAACAATTTAAAAGAGGGAATCTAATCTGTTGTGAGAGAAATAAAAATAGTGGTTAACTCTAGGGGGAAGAAAGAACTTGGAATGTTTCTAGAGTGTTGGTCATGCTCTATGTAGTGGTCTGGGCGGTGGTTACACAGGTGGTTCCATTTGTAAAAATGTATTTGGTTATGTAATTAAAATATGTAAATTTTACTTTAAAAAACATTTACAAAAACAAAACAGAAGGTTCATCTCTGTACATGTCTAGTGGGACACTCTTTTGAGGTAGAAATATTACTTCGATTGCAAGACTTCTGTCACCTTGATTTCTGCATACTAAACACCTGTATTATTACAACTAAAATGTTGGCACAAAATGTCCAGCTGTGTCCTAGGAGGCAAACTATCCCTGCTGGACACTAGGTTTGAGACGTAGTCTAAAGAAAACTTCTCAAATTTATTATTTTCTCATCTTTAATATTTGATTTGCCTTTTAAATTTAAATAAATATATTTTTAAACAAATGTTATTGTATGCAAGTCAAAAAATCAGTCTTATTTGGCACAAATAGATATAAATTTTAAAAACAAATGAAATGACACAACAATAAGCCAGTACTGTCACACACACAGCCTCCTAGTTAGCTTTTTTTTTTTTTCTGGAATAGTGTTAACCAATATTAGGATATTGATGGCAGAAAGATTCATCAAGCTGAGACTTTCTAATTGACATAACCAAAAGGTTTGAAAAATAATTGCAAGAATTCTCACTACAGGACTTTTTAAAATATTACAATTTGTTATGTGGATGGTGAGCTGCTATACTTGTATGTATCCTCAGCCATCCTGCCCTTTCTGGGATCTCTCATGACTATTAAACCATTAACCTTGGTGTCTCTCCCTAGGTAGATAGATTTATAATCCCCTACCCTAGCTTTGCAGAAAATGATCTGATTATTTTCTAAAGAGTGAACCAACACACTGTTAATTTAGTAGTTATACCTGGTTGGCATGAGTGAGTATACGCTGGGGGATGAGTGCTGTAGACCCAAGTCTGCCTGCTAACGTGGCCACTGCAAAGAATGCTAGGAAAACTAATACAAAGAAATAAACAAGACTTCTCTAATTCTGTGTTGATTTCAGGTAAGAAATCACAATCAAGAACTTCCTCCATAGAGACAAAGGTTATAAATGACCATATAGAACACTGATTCACCTGCTCTCATTTTTTTTTTTTTTTGGTGCTCCCAATTTCAGAGATGTATCTCAACATAGTGACATGATTCAATATGATTTAATCCTGTATATGGATACCATAAAAATAATCACATGAATTATCAGAATCAGGTGTAATACTTCTGTAACATGTTGGAAAGTATGACTCTAGAAAAAATGGTCTAAGTTCCTGTTATGGTTTAGATCTGTGTGCCCATCCAAATCACATGTCAAATTGTATTCCCCATTGTTGGAGGTGGGTCCTGATGGGAGGTGATTGGATCGTGGGGGTGAATTTCCCCCTTGGTGCTGCTATATTGATAGTGAGAGAGTTCTTGTGAGATTTTTCTGTTTAAAAGAGTGTAGCATCTCCCCTTCTCTCTCCTGCTCCTACTTTGGCCATGTAAGACATACTGGCTTGTCTTTCACCTTCTGCCATGATTATAAGTTTCCTGAGGCCTCCCGAGAAGATGAGCAGAAGCTGTTATGTTTCCACTTCCTGTGCAGCCTGCAGAACCATGAGCCAATTGAACTTCTTTACTTTATAAATTACCGAATTTCAGATATTTCTTTGTAGCAGTGTGAGAACAGACTAATACAGCTCCAAAACATATGGGAGAAATTACTTCAGTATTAGGTTAAACTACATACAGTTGGAGTTTCTGAAGATCAAAAATATTCAACTGTTGGCAATTTCATATTTTTCAAAATAATAGCAGCAATGGTCACAAATTTATTTATATACAACCATAATGCAGTGTGGTCCTGCTGATGGAAGGAAAATCAGACTATGTGTCATGATCCAGGAACAAGCTCTACCGTTAAAACAGTGTAATATTGGGCAAATTAGTTCTCCTTGGGTACAGTTTACTCTTGCATGTGGAGAAAACATTAACTCGATTTATGTTTCCCAAATGTGCACTATCAGCCCCTGTGAGGCTGTGGCATTAATTAAATAGGTTATTGAATTTGTGTGCTCATCAAATATTTTCTGTAGAAATAAATTATATCTTGCACATGTATATTTGATTCCATGATGATAAATGAGTATAAATCAATGCATTCAATTTATAGTAGAATTTTATAATATCATTATCTATTTTATAATTTATAAGTTTTAAAAGTATAACTATGAAATTTAAAGAATAGTCTCACTTTGTTGGGGGTCTGTTTTCAGCGTTAAAAGATGTTTAACGCTGAAAACAGACCAAATGCATGCCGGGCTTAAAAACACGAAAACATTAAAAACTTAAAAACATGAAAAACATGAAGATGTTTTTCCCATCTTCATCTGATAAAAAATAATATTAAAAAATACTTTGAGCAACAAGGGCCAATTGGAACTCAGAAGAGGGAAAGAACAAATCAAGGTTGAAGCCAGAAGTCTCTCTGTTTATTGATATGATGCCTGGTAAATACTTTCATTTGGACAAAATGGATCATGGAAAATAGACTAGGGTTATACTCTCATAGAAGTTGGATAAGCTCAAGGTGACTGAGATTAAGTCTAGAGAGACAGAACAAGGCCAATCTGGAAGATAAACATAGGTGTGGCTTTTTGAATTTAGGATTGAATAGAGTCAAATGAAAAAGAAGTCAGTTCATGCTTTGAGAATGTTATATGGCCAAAAGAATCCCCAGTTTTGATTCAATATGTTTGTGAAT
Organism: Homo sapiens; assembly: GCF_000001405.40. Classification (NCBI taxonomy): domain Eukaryota; kingdom Metazoa; phylum Chordata; class Mammalia; order Primates; family Hominidae; genus Homo; species Homo sapiens. The sequence continues at coordinate 114,364,871 of NC_000002.12, forward strand.
ATTTAAAACTTAATATGATCTTTGGAGCTTCAGTATTCTACAAAGTACATAGCAGACTGAGAAGGTTTTTCAGCCTTTTATTAAGACTCTAGTGTTGTCTTCATTTGGAATCAAGGATAATAAAAAATTAAGGGATTACCAGAGAGAAGAGCCAAGAATTCCCACTGGGGCCTTCTAATTCCCAAACCCTAGAATAGTGGGTTTTTGCAACATGATTTCAGAATTGTTTTAGACAAGTGACGGTGGGTGCCTCCAATTCTTTCTGTATAGGGTTGTTTATTGCAATTCTTCTATCCCTCTTCTACCTTGTCTGTTGGTTGTATGAGGAGCATACAACTTGTCTCTTTAGTTCAGAGATTTCCAAGAGAAGAGAAACCACATCTTCAGTCCAGATAGGACTGAAGGTACAGGAAGTCACAGGATTTGAGTCTTATACTGCAATTATATGAGACTTTGTCTTTTTTTTCCAGGGAAAATGAATGAATATATTTTAGGGACATAAGGGAAGAAAATGTATATTTATGATGCAGAAAATGATCTTTGGCAGATTGTATATTTCTTTCAATTATCTGCTGCTCTCCTGCGAGATTATTATCTTTTCTTCTCCTTTAGAGTCAGGCTTAGTCATGTGACTTGCTATGAGTGTTATCCTGTGAGTGTGCCATTTTTTTCTCTGCTACCACAAGAATAGCATAGCTCAGATAGAAGCTGTTGCTTAAGCCTGTCTATCATTTATCCAGCCTATCATTGACGGGCATTTGGGTTGGTTCCAAGTCTTTGCTATCATAAATAGTGCTGCAATAAACATAGGGAATATCATACACTGGGGCCTTTTGGGGGGTGGAGGTCAAGGAGAGGGAGAGCATTAGAACAAATACCTAATGCATGCAGGGCTTAAAACATAGATGATGGGTTGGTAGGTGCAGCAAACCACCATGGCACATGTATACCTCTGTAACAAACCTGCATGTTCTGCACATGTATCCCAGAACTTAAAGTAAAATAAAAAAGAAAAAAAACTCATTGGCAGGACACACATTAACATTATAATATTAAGATATTTGCATAGTCCATTAAGCTATACTTAGGACTCATCTACACAAGCAAGTCAAATAGAAAATGGAAGCAATTGCCTAACTAACTTCTGATATCCCTTGCTTTAGTTATCTAGATATTTAAAGGGAAAAAATTCTTAAATTATTCATTTTTACTTTCTTGGATTTCAAGCTTACTTAGGTATGGACTTAATTTCAAAGTTTCCTAATTTCCACAAAAGACAATTTGAAGTAAGATAACTCTTGGAGTGGAACACCATATAAAAATGGCCTCTTTCTTTTCTCACCTGAGAACAGTATTCCAGTGAAATCCTGACTAACTAGAAATCCTTGCACAGGGTTCAAAGCCACAAATACATCATTTCATGAAATAGTCTTAAGTTATCACACATCACTGCCAACTTCTGAAATAATACAGCAGGACCATGTTGTAGTGTCTGACTTGGAGATATCATTTAATCGCTTTTATCTCCCATATGAATTGTCTTGTTTGGTGGAACTACCATAACCACTCTTTTCTCTATGAGTTAATGAGCCTGATGTACCAGGTTTTTTTGTTTGGTGGTAACTGTAATTTGAGCATACTCAAACTCAACTGCCCTTTATTAAGGCAGAAGGTCTCTGCTCCACAGCTGAATCTGAAAGCTGTTTGGGATGATATTCTGTCCTTATAATAACTTCTGGTATACAGAAATTGCCACTTGGCCCGTAAAATGTTTATTGGAGGAAAAATGTAGACACACGTATCAGTTTTTTTTCCCATCATTCCTATTCGATTATTTTAACTTAATTGTCCCACCCCCTAAAAGGTAATTTTCTTTCTGTTTGCTTCTTCACATTTTAAAATAAAGTTGTAGCAAAATATGTTCAAGAATCCCTGGCTGTCCAGAGAACAAAGTTTTTATGACTTATTTTCTGAATGAGAAAATAAGAGAAAGAAAATAAAAGAAAGAAGGAAAGCATATTGTGTCTCAAAAACAGAACAAATTTTCCCTAGTGTTTGAGTATAATTTTTTTTATTATAGTTGTGATTCAAATGGTGATGGTGAAAACAGGGTCACTGAGCTTCAAGAAAGCCAAGTTCTGCTTTGAGTTTCTCAACTAGCTAAGGGCATAACCTGGGGCAAATCTTTTCATCTTTTAATTTCTTTATGTACAGATTAAAACCTCTAGACCAGTACTGGTTATCCCTGTTTTTAGGTGCAGCATTAGTTATCTCTGTTTTCTGTTTCAGGTCACCTAGGTTTCAAAAGAAATCACTTCAGGAAGAGGTATCATTCAGTGTAAACAAGGGGCTTATCCAGTGTATGTACCAAGAGACAGACTGTCTTCATGAGTATCAGAGGTGTTTCTGTCAAAACTGCCAAAAAATTTAGAATATAAAGAAAATCTAACTATTTTCTAAGTATAAGGCAGTGTTGAATGTTCCAAATGCTGCTGGGAGTACATTGTTACTTTAATTTTTTTTTTTGAGAGCTCAGCAACCCTTGTTGGAAACCTCTTAAATAACCTTTTCCTGGCTCCATTTTAATTTTGTTTTTCTCAGCCCTAGAATTGTCAGCCACCAAGCATGAAATGTAAGGGTTCTTTTTTTGTAAAACATTTTAAAGGAAATATACCCATTCTGAACATTTCTGGAGAAAATGACCTCTTACCTACAGAATTACCAAGGCATTTGTGGTAAAGATGTATTCTTTTCTCCTGGAGCCAATTTGGTATATTTTGATTTATGCCTTTGACATGTTTTAAAGGTTAGGAAAATGTTCAATGTGTTTCTGCTTCTAAAGTTAAAGTAGTCACTTCCTCAGATATGGCTGCTTAATGTTCAATCCTCTTAAAAAATAATTTGAAGGCTGGTGTTGGTGAAGGAACAAGTGCAGTTTTTGCATTAAGTGTATTAAGCAGAGCTGCTGCTGACACAAATAAAATATTGTTTGGGGAGGCTGAGGCAGCTTTAGGGAAAGAAGTAAGGCGAGGGTGGGAAGTGCTTGAAAAGTCAAGTCCTTTCTCTTTTTCCCTTCTCCCTGTTGGGCTGAGGATCTTGTTTGACATTCAGAAGATGGGTAAAATAAGGATGCACTCTGTAAGCCACAGCTTTATCAGGAATTTTCATTATTCACTTGTGCAAATCAGGAAGAACCAAGCAGGAAGAACCAAGGAGCCTAAGTGAGAGCTGTGCTCTTGGATTTTTAACTTCCTTACATTATGAAAATCAATGATGAGTTTAATTGAACTAACATCCAAACTGTACCTTGAGTTTGACTGGCATTGAGTCCAGTTATGAAGATGTGGTGACACAGAAGAGAAGAGCACTAGACCGTGCTCTGTCCCTTTGGGCTAATCCACACTAGGCAAGCTAAGCCACTTTAGTTTTTTCTCTCTCTCTGGCTCTCATTTTCCCACTCTGAAAATGAAGGTTTTGGACTAGTTGTTTTTTAGGGTGCCTTTTGTGCCACTTCTCAGTTTGTTTTTGTTTCTTTACTCAGCATATTCTTCTTGTTTTCTTGACCTCTAGAAATTTCCTGACATCCTGCCCTCTCATGTTGGAAGAACCATCTAGTGAATGGTTACTTATCGCTACTTTCTTAAGGTACTTATTTTTTTGTCATTGTTGTGTATTCTATTTTTAATTTCACTTTTAAAACCATAAAATTTTGTAATTATCAATTTATGTCAACATTAAGCTAGATTTACCTACATTTTTATCATGTCTTTGCTCTTTATTTCTTCTTATATTTCAAGCTGTCCATCTGTAATTATTTTTCTTCTGCCTGACATCTATGCCTGTAAACAATTTTCTTTAGCTAGGCTCCGCTACAAGTTTTAGCTTGCTTGAATATGTTTCTAGTTTGTCTCACTTTTCAAAATCATTTTTGGATATAATAATCTTGATTAGTAGTTTTCTTTTAGGACACTTGAAGAGATTCCACTGTCCACTGTCTTCCATTGTTGTTCTAAATGTGTCATCTGTCACTTATAAATGCTGCTTCTTTGAAGTAATACCACTTCTCTCTAGCTGCTTTCTCTTTGTCTCTCTCCCTCCCCTTCTCTCCTTCTTAATCTGCATTTTCATGACAATGTGTTCAGATGTGGGTTTCTTTTTATTTATTTATACTTATCGGGTTTCACCAGATTTGTTACATTTGTGGATAGCTATTTTTCATCACTCATAAACTACCTGAGCTCTCAGCTCTTCAATCATTTTTTCTGCTCTAGTTTCACCTCTTTACTTCTATAAATATGATTATTTGTCTGACAGCAACTTTTCATTCAATTCTTCATTCTTCATGCCTCTTAATCTCTTTTGTCGTATTTTCCATCTCATTGTCTCTCTGTGCTCCATCCTGGGTAATTAATCCTGATCTGCATTTCAGTTGTTCAGTTAACTTCATAATTGGGTTAAACTACCATGACTTAATTAATGTGAACTGTGCTATAAATATTTATGCATTGGTTTATGGTTACATCTTTCAGAATTTTATTTTTTATTTAGGTCTGTTCAGTGCCGTCTCTCCTGAAGGGGAATAAATGGTTGAGGAGAATTTACTTTTGCATCAGACTTTTGTGGAACACTTTGGGATTCCAGCTTTATGGGTGTTGAAATTGTTCTACTAGGCAAAATTGTTTTAGCAGAGCTAGGGCTTTGTTCCTCATGACAAAAACTAAGGTTCATATTTACCATGTTGGGCAAAATCCTGCAGGGCAAAGCAGTTTTGTGTTTCCATTTACCTTTCTTTGTTCTTACTTTTCTTAAATTTTAGTCATTTTTAGATATTGTCTGGTCTCAACACCTTAAAGAATGTGTGTGTGTCTGTGTGTGTGTGTGTCTGTGTGTACATCTTTATAATACTATCTTATGGTTTTATATTGTATCTTTCACTTCTAGTTGTTTTTGGTAGAGGATGAAAAAAGATATCTAGCCCACCATATTTCTTTCCAAAATAATTTGTCTCTCATTTGTTGTTTGTGACTGGTCTCTACTGAAAGTCCTCCTGACTCACTAGCCTGGCTTTCTTCATTTCCACTTCAGGCTCTACTTTCTATTTCTGGCTACAAGGCTCAGTCGTCACCCTACCTCTTCATCTGCCTCTGCTTCCCAGGGAATTGTATCTAATCCCAAGGTCTTACATATCATTCATATGCTAATAAATTCCAATTTTATATTTACAGTCTAGACTCTCGCTGATTCTCAATTATATTTTTAATCATTTATTAAACAGTTTCATTTGGGCATTTATTTGTTTTCTCAAATTCAGAATGTTTAAAATGAAACTCTGTTTTATTCATTCCAATTTTATTTTTTCATCTTAATTCCCCATTTCTGAAAATGCTGCCACCATTTTCTAGACTTGATTAGCCCTAAGACCTGTAAGTGAGCCTTGATTTTTCCTCTTATTGATAACACGTCTAGATCCATCTGGAAATGCTCTTGTTCCACTTCTCAGATAGACAGGTGCTCCTCAACATACAAGGGATTATATCCTGATAAAACCACTGTAAGTTGAAAACATCAATGTCAAAACACATATACTACCTCAATAAAACCATATTATAGTTGAAAAATTATAAGTCAAACCATTGTAAATTCAGATGCTAAACTTACTATGAGGCTACTTCCTGATAAAACCATTGTAAAATCAAAAAATTGTAAGTCAAACCATCATGAGTCACGGATCCCCTGTATCTGTAATCTGATCATTTTTTACCATACCCACTCCTAACATCTTCATCCAAATCATTGTGATTTCCAGTGTGATCCAGTGTGAATTCTGCAATAGTCTCCCACCTCTGTCTTTGTTATCTCACTTCCTTACCCACCAATATAAATAAATAACATAATCAGATATAATATAATAATATATTATAAATGATATAAATCAGATTGTTTCTGTCCCGCATTTATAACCTCAGATGGCTTACCATATCATTAATATATATATTTATATGTATATATATTTTTATATATATAAATTTTATATATAAATATATATCTTATATATATTTATATATAATACATATATATCTTATATATATAAAATATATATACATATTTATATATAAAATACATATGTATTATATACATTTATATATAATACATATGTATTATATACAATTATATAATACATATGTATTATATACAATTATATAATACATATTTATAAATATATATATTTATATTTATATATATTTATATATAAATAAATATATATTTATAGATTTATTTATATAAATATATATTTATATAAATATATATTTATATATATTTATATAAATATATATTTATATATATTTCTATATATATATATAAATATATGTATAAATATATATATTTATACATATATTCATATAAATATATATATTTATACATGTATTTATATGAATATATATTTATACATGTAATTATATGAATATATATTTATACATGTAATTATATGAATATATATTTATACATGTATTTATATGAATATATATTTATACATGTAATTATATGAATATATATTTATACATGTATTTATATGAATATACACATTTATGCATGCATTTATATGAATATACACATTTATACATGCATTCATATGAATATACACATTTATACATGCATTCATATGAATATACACATTTATACATGCATTCATATGAATATATACATTTATGCATGCATTCATATGAATATATACATTTATGCATGCATTCATATGAATATATACATTTATGCATGCATTCATATGAATATATACATTTATGCATGCATTCATATGAATATATACATTTATGCATGCATTCATATGAATATATACATTTATGCATGCCTTCATATGAATATATACATTTATGCATGCATTCATATGAATATATACATTTATGCATGCATTCATATGAATATATACATTTATGCATGCATTCATATGAATATATACATTTATGCATGCATTCATATGAATATATACATTTATGCATGCATTCATATGAATATATACATTTCTGCATGCATTCATATGAATATATACATTTCTCCATGCATTTATATGAATATATACATTTCTACATGCATTTATATGAATATATACATTTCTCCATGCATTTATATGAATATATACATTTATACATGCATTTATATGAATATATACATTTATACATGTATTTATATGAATATATACATTTATACATGTATTTATATGAATATATTTATTTATATATGTATTTATATAAATTTATATATTTATATAAATATATTTAGTTATATATATTTATATAAATATATTTTTATAAATATATATTTATCTTTTTATTTATATAAATATATTTATTTTTCTAAATATATATTTACATTAATCTATTTGTTGATATAAATATATTTAAATATATTTATTGATATAAATATATTTATATAACTAAATATAAATATATTTAGTTATATAAAGATATATATATTTATATAAATATATATATAAAGAGATATATTTATATATTTATTTATATAAATATATTTCTTTATATAAAGATATATGTAAATATATTTATTTATATAAATATATTTATATATGTAAATATATATTTATATATTTATATATTTATATATTTATTTATATAAATATATATATTTATATATTTATTTATATATATAAAAATATATAAATATAAATATATATAAATATATATAATTATAAATATAGAAATAAATATAAATATAAATATATAAATATATATAAATATAAATATATATAAATATAAATATATATAAATATAAATATATAAATGTATAAATATATAAATATAAATATATATAAATATGTATAAATATATAAATATATAAATATATAAAAATATATATAAATACATATATAAATATATAAATAAATATATATAAATACGTATATAAAAATATATATATTTTTTTACCTGCAACAATATGCCAATTCAACCACTTAATAGCTTTCAAAACTCTGACCAATTATGTAATTTCGATGCTCTTAGCTTTTTTTCTTTTTAAAATTGTAGTAATGATAGCAACTATCTGGGGTGATGTGGGGGGAGTTGCATGGTGAAATTAACTTATACATTTGAAACAATTAGAAAAGTCACTGGAACGTGGTAAGTGCCCTATTAATATTTCATTGCTATTACCTGAAAATATTGAATTTGTTTACTTATTTGTTTAATTTCTGTATACTTCACTAAAATATAGGTCAGTAGCTCAAATTATGATATTCCTCATTGTCCTCTATTGTCATATCTACTGCATAGCAAATTGGAGGTTCTCATTTAAGACTTAATGCCTGAATAAATTTGATCTCCCACTCATTCTTTTATTAGACACATGTTGAGTAAGTGTCCACTATGGGCAAGACGTTGTGCTAGCTTTTGGAACTACAAAGATAAATAAGTCTCCGTCTTTGAACTAGTGGGGCTAATTCTGTCTTGAAAAGACAACTAAGCAGAGATCTCATTGAGGTGCAATGTGGTAAGTGCTCTATTAGGAGAAATCTCTGGTAATTCCTGAAGTCTGGTGATATGGAACACCATTTGGAGAAATACTTGTGCTTTCTTTTAGATAATGCTTTACATTATAAGATCGACTCAACATTTTGGCTTCTGGAAGTTATCATGGATAGGTTAGAAAGAGATGTAGAATCTTGGTTATCTAGCTCTCCTGGATCTTATCAACTTTCTGCAATGAATGGAAGGTGAATTGGTGAATCCACAGACATAAGACTATTCCACTGAATTTAATGAATTGGAAAAAATAGCCTGAAACAAAAGGAACTGCTATTTTGAGAGTGGCTGCATTGTCCTCCACAGCATAATGATCATGGAAGGTCAATACTTCAGGTTATGATGAAGGTACTTTTAGTTAAGCAGAGACAGAGCAATATCCTTGAGAGAGTTTTTCTTTAAAGATGAAACACCTTACTGAACTTCCACTGGAGGGACTTTGAAACATATTTTAAGTAAGAGGAAGAGGACAGCAATCATGGTGTGAAGAAACAAGCCAGAATTTTGAAAAAAAAAAAAAAAAAAGGAAGGATTGACTTCTAGCTGCTTGTTATATCAGGATTCTCCAGAGAGACAGACCTGATAAGATGATAGATAGATGATAGATAGATAGATAGATAGATAGATACATACATAAAGGGGTGCTATAACAGGAAAATTTCCTCATGTTATTATGGAGGCTGAGAAGTCTCACCACAGGCCATCTGCAAGCTGGAGACCCTAGGATGCCAGTTGTGTGGCTCATCCAAGTCTAGAAGCCTCAGAACCAGTCAAGTTGATGGTGTAATTATTGGTTTGATACTGAAAGCCCAAGAACCTGGAGAACCAAAGGGACTTCTGGTGTTAAGTCTTGCAATCAAAAGGCCAGAAAACCTGAAGTTCTGATATCCAAGGACAGGAGAATAAGAATCTCCCAATTTCAAGATGGAGAGAGAGGAAAAAAAAATCACATTTTCCCTGCTTTCTTCTTCCATTTGGGCCCACAGTGGATGGGATGGTGCCTGCCCACATTGAGGGCAGATCTTCCCCACTCAGTCCACCGACTAACACACCAATTTCCTCTAGACACACCTTTACAGACACACCCAGAAATATTGTTTTACCAAGTCTCTAAGTATTACTTAATTCAGTCAAGTTAACACCTAAAGTTAATTAGAACAATTCCAACCCCTATCAAATGGGTACCCATATTCATTCCTCAGACCATGCTTAATCTCCAAGTAAAGACAATAGTAAGGTAAATAGTTTCACCTAACATGATAGAACCACCATATGAGCAGCCCAAAATGCACTAATCCCTTCTCAAGAAGAGGAGGTAAAGAAAGACCTTGGGTAATGTTTATTCTTCTCCTGAGATCGTATAACTTAAATACTATGATATAAGGTTAATAATAATAGTATATCTTATGTTAGATATTGAAGGAATAAGGGAGAAAGAAAAACAAAGATACATGCTACACACATACACACACACCCACACACACACTCAATGTATTCTTAACAAAATAGGGAAGAAATGCTCATGACAATTGCAGTCCTTGTTTCCATAACTGGTTCACCTGGTTGTAATGTAAGGTATTTATAATTACCTTCTTCCACTACTTATTCTGTATTCTCTGTGTCTTCAGCAAGCACCTTAATTAGTTGTGATTATTTACCTAGTGGGGTGACCAAAACCTTTGTTTCTGAAGGGTCTGGGTCATTCGTAGTCCTTCCTGGATTGGGTTGTTACAGTTTCCCATTGACCTTAATCACAGAGTATGGTAAAACAAAAATATGACCTAAGGAATCTCCTGTATTCCAGACACACTCTTCCTTACCTCCATCGCGGAGTAGTAGTTCAATTTCTTCTTGGTAGTCTGAAACAATCACCCCAGCCAACACTGTTACTTCTTTCTTAACTTTTTGACTCAAAGGTACGAGGAACTCAAAGTGGCTGGGTGGCAGTCTTAACTTCCAGTTCCATAAAATTATTGTTATGTCTTCTGGTGGCAGCATTTCTCTCTCTGGAAGTAAGACATCTAATCTATAAAGTCGTGTAAAGTTGCAGGAATAGGATACAAAAACTTTGCTAGTGGGTCACTAGGGATAACGGTGAGTTCTGTCATGCCCATGTCTCCCTTTGATTCCTGGACCATAAATCTTGACTATGCCATACATTTGACACTGATTCAGAGTATATGCAGCCTTTTGGAGAACCTTGCCCCAACCCTGCAAAGTATTATCATTTGGCTGGTGCTGTAACTGCAACTTTAATAGGCCCTTCCACTGTTCTATCAAGCCCACTGCTTCAGACTGATGAGGGACATGGTAAGACCAGTGGATCTCAGGATAAGCATGGGTCCGTTGCCACAAGTGTTTGGCTGTGAAGAGATTTCTTTGGTCATGGCAACACTGTGTGGAATACCATAATGGTAGATAAGGCATGCTGTAAGTTGATGAATGGTAGTTTTGGCAGAAGCATTTTGTGCAGGGAAGGCAAATCCATATCCAGAGTGTCTTTTTTCCAGTAAGGACAAAACACTACCCCATCCATGATGGGAAGTGGTCCAGTGTAATTAATCTGCTACCAGGTAGCTGCTAATCACCCCAGGGAATAATACCTCATGAGGGGCTCAGTGTTGGTCTCGGCTGCTGGCAGATTGGACATTCAGCAGTGCCTATAGCCAGGATGGCCTTGGTGAGTGAAAGTCCATGTTGCTGAGCCCAAGCATAACCTCCATTCCTACCACTATGGTTACTTTGTTCATGAGCCCACTGGGCAATAACAGAGGTGGTTGGGGAAAGAGGCTGACTGGTATTCACAAAACCACTTCCATTTGATGATGGAATGCTGCTGTGCGTTCCCAACTTTATAGCTTGTTGGGTAAGATGACACTAAGTTTATGATAGGCAGCTCAGGTTACATGATGAGTTGGTGGCCCATGATCAAGTGTTCAGTTTTTACTGAGGCCGAGGAGCAGGCCATGAGCTGTCCCTCAAAGGGAGAGTAATTATCTGTGGATAATGGCAGGGCCTTGCTCCAAAGTTCTAAGGGCGTCCCTTGAGATCACCTATGGGGGCCTGCCAAAGCCTCCAAACAGCATCCCTATCTGCTACTGACACCTCAGCTACTATTGTATCTGCTCGATCATATAACCCAAGTGACAGAGCAGCCTGGGCCTGTTGTACATCCTTCTCTTGTTCTGGGCCTCACTCAAAACCAGCAACTTTCTAAGTCACTTGGTATGAGCCAGAGTAACACAGCCACATAAGTAATGTATTGCCTCCAAAATCCAAGTAGGCCTACCAGGCATTATGCCTCCTTCTTGGCTCTAGGTGTGGCCAGATACAGCAATTTATCCTTCACCTTAGAAGGACATGTCCCATACTACTGGATCCCTAGAAACATCACTGAAGGAGAAGGCCCTTGAATTTTTGATTTATTTCTCACCCTCTGCCATGCAAATGTCTTATCAATAAGCCCAAAGTAATTACTACTTCATGCTCACTAGGTCCATTCAGCCTAATATCATCAGTGTAATGGACCAGTGTGATATTTCATGAAAGGAAAAGATGATCAAGATCCCTGTGAATTAAATTATGGCATAGGGCTTGAGAGTTGACATACCCCTTAAGAAGGACACTGAGGGTGTATAGCTGCCCTTGACAGCTGAAAGCAAACTGCTTCTGGTGGGCCTTAGAGACAGAGGTAGAGAAAAAGCCATTGGCCAGATCAACAGCTGCATACCAGGTACCAGAAAATGTGTTAATTTGCTCAAGCAACAGAACCGCATCTGGTAAAACAGGTACAATTAGAGTCAGCACTTGGTTAAGCTTGTGATAAGCCATTGTCGTTCTCTAAGACCTATCTGTCTTTTGCACAGACCAAATAAGAGAGGTTACTGGGAATGTAGTGTGAATTACCACCCCTGAATCTTTCAGTTTCCAACGGTGGCACTAAATCTATGTAATCCCTCCAGAGATGCGGTATTGTTTTTGGTTTACTGTTTTTCTAGGTAGAGAAAGCTGTAATGGCTTCTGTTTGACTTTTCCCACCACTCCATAGGTTAGGGAACTAATGTGAGGATTCCACTAACTGCTTGGCGTGTCCATTCCAATTACGCATTTTAGAATTGGGGAAATGACCACAGGATGGTTTCAGGGAACCACTGGACCCACTTGGAGTTGGGCCCAAGCTGAAACTCCATTGATCACCTGATCTCCATAAGCCCCTAATTTACCTGGAGGACCACAGTGATGTTTCTGATATCTTAAAATCAATGTCAGTTCAGAACCAGTGTCCAGTAGTTTCCTAAAGTTCTGATTATTTCCTTTGTCTCAATGCACAATTATTCTAGTAAAAGGCCATAGGTCCCTTCGGAGAAGGATGGGAGAATCATTAACCATATAAATGTTCAGTAGTGTACAGGGGTCTTTGCTAGAGGGGACCCAGCCTCCTCTTCATTTAAAGGGTTTTGGGTCTGTAAACTGCCCCAAGACTGGAAATTTAGTGAAGGGCCATGATTCTCTGTTTTAGTGATTTGAGTTACACTTTTGTTCATTTGACCTGAAAGTTTTCTGCTTATACAGATTAAGTAAAAATTTAGTAGGTTTACTATCTACTTTACTTCTAGAAACACTGTGAATAACTAGCTAACACCATAGGTTTACACAAGTCAGACTATTCTGATTGTTGCTTTGCCTCTGTTACCCATAAGAGTAACTTCACCCATCTTGCCTTTGATGATTGAGGGCCACCACTTATTCCTGCAGTCCTGAGATCTAATTATTTCCATAGCATCTATGTTTTTCAGTCATGTGACTGTGGCTTCCACTGTGAGGTCCAACCTCCAGAGAAGGACCATCATGGAGCCCTTCAGGAACGCTGGGGCTCCCCTCCCAAATTTATTCTCAAAGTATTGATGAAAAGTATGTCTTCTGGACCCTCCCAGTGTGGGTGAGTAGGTTTTAAGTGACAGATCCACTATAGCATTCCAATCTTCCTAAGCCTTTTAATGTTTTTGAATTCCTTCCTCTACATTAAACCAAGGGAGACCAGGCATCTCCAACTTGCTCATGATGGGACACCTTTTGATTTATGTTTTAGCCAAACAACCAAACTATTAGCACTTTCCCTAACTCCCCAAGCTACCACATGAAATGCAGAATCTCTTCTTAGTGAGCCTATATTAATAAATTGGACCTAATCCAATTTTGTGTTCTTTTCACTATGACCTCACATCCTTAATACCTATTCCCACACATGTTCTTTGGATTTCTGATTGTATAAATTAGAAAACTCAAGTAGATCTTTTTTAAAAAATTTTATTATTATTATACTTAAAGTTTTAGGGTACATGTGCACAATGTGCAAAGTAGTTCTTTTGGAGTGTAGTGCACCTCCTCATGGGCCACCCTTTGTGCCTCACCTTTAGGAGCCTGCTGGGACTTGAGTCTAGTTATATGTCTAGAAGCAAAGAGGAATATTGTTGGTGGGTTCTGAGAAGAATCAGAATTGTCTTTGTAGGCAACTGTCTCACAGGAGCTCATTACCATTTCTTTAGGCAATGCAGGGTTTATCAGGCAGATGTATTAATATAAAGTATGGTACCGTTGTGGGAAGAGATACAGCTGCAGCCACTGGGGGTGAGGGTGGGAGGTCACTTTTTCTGGCAAACAAGACTCATAAGAATTTAGGGGCTTAATGTCACCAGCCTCATCAGGGCCTTTCTACATGTGTTCCCATCCAACTTACAGAATCCCATTTTTTCCCCCAATCAATACTGCCACTTTAACAGTAGACACCCTGCAAGGCTGACTTTAGCTTTCATTGTAATTCAGACAATCATATGATCAGTGCTTGTGTTTGATTTTCAGCAATTTCAGCCCTGTGGATGCAGGAAGAAAGATTCTGACCAGGCACACTTAAAGAAGCCCTTAGGCTATTTATGCTTATTTGAATCCCTGAGCTAATTCTTTTTTTTCATAATTTTGTCCAGTGACATTAGAAGAAACCAACTGAAGTCATTATGTTTCTTTGTTTTCCACAAATGTTCGAAAGTGTCATATACAAAGTCACCAGGTTCCTTTCTTCTTGTATGTGTTTAATTCAAAGTATCAAATATAAATATTCTGGGTATCTATAAAAATCCTATGCCATGGATTCTCAGTGCTCTCTGTACTATTAGAAGTAGAGCCCTGAGCATTTTTAGATCTAATCAGATTACAGAACGAGTTCCAGAAGCTCCAAAATCAGTTAATAAAACTCATCCTTAAAGTCTTCTTTCTCTAGAACCACTCTGGTAGCAAGATCTGTATCAGTCAGGTTTCTCCAGAGACAGAAACAATAGGATGGATGGAAGGATAGATGATAGATAGATAGATGGATTATTTATAGATAGATAGATAGATAGATAGATAGATAGATAGATAGATAGATAATGTGTGAAAAGAGATTTATAAGGGAAATTTGCTCACACGATTATGGAGAGTGGGAAGGCCATGACAAGCTGTCTGTGAGCTGGAGACCCTGGGATACTGGTAGCATGGCTCAGTCCAAGTTCAAAAGCCCCAGAATCAGAGAAGCTGATGGTGTAATTCTCAGTCCAAGGCCAAAGGACTGACAACTGGTGTGCTGCTGTTGCAATTCTTGGAGAGCCTGAAGTTCTGATATTTAAGAGTAGGATAATAAGACTGTCCCCATTTGAGGAGAGAGAGAAGAGAGAGAAAATTGCCTTTTCTCTGCCTTGTTGTTCTACCTGTGTCCTCGGCTGATTGGATGGTGCCTGTCCACGTTAATGTTGGATCTTCCCTACTCAGTCAAACTCATATGCCATTCTCCTCCGGAAACATCCTTACAGACACACCTAGAAATGATGCTTTACCATTTCTCTAGATATTTCTTAATTCAGTTAAGTTGACACCTAAAATTTACCATTACACTTCTCTACTTCATAGCTCTGTGATCTTGGATAAGAGACTCAACCTGTCTGAGTATCTGTTTCCTTGTCTTTAAAATGGGGCTAATAATATCTACAAATTTGTCATAAGCATTGGAAACAATGTACATAAAATACTTGGTACATAGTAGACCTTCACAGTAATTATTATTCATTTTTATTATGAAATAAATAGGCATAAAAAGAATGTAAATTAATCTGTCTATTAATATGCAAATTTGCTTTTATTCATGTGCGACTCTTTCTTTGCTGCTATTTTTTATTATTGCTGGTAATTAATGCCTCAAATGCTAGCAGCTTTTATGCCTTTAACTATCAGAAGCTTAGCAGCTCTACCTTGTTTATATTCAGGTTAACTTATTGCTGCCTATGTGAAATTGTGTGAAGGGATTTCAGAAGTCATGGATAATTTTCATCAATTGCTGAATTCTATCCTGGAGGTTGAAATATTTTCACAAAGGCAATGACCTCCTCTTCCTACCCTGCCCCATTAAAGATAAGGCTTAGATACTACATCTCTCTTGAAAATCTTTCTGCTCTTTCCTTCTCCACATTTGTCACTTTAACATCTCCCATGCATGCCCTCTAGACAAAATTCATCTTTCCTCTCTATGTAGTTTGAACACATTGCTTACATTTACCATAAGTTGTGAAAACTAAAATATTGTTTTTTGTGATACATGGCACCTAGGAGTTTGAGGCTGCAGTGAGCTATGATCATGGCATTGAACTCCAGCCTGGGTGACAGAGTGACACCTAGTCTCAAAAAAAATTACAATGTGAAAAAGTATGAAGTTGGTGAAGATGATGAATTTCAAATTAGGCTGCAAGGTCCAACTTGACAAAACTCTGGGTTCATTGGGCAAAATCTATTTCAGAATGTTTTTCTATGGCTGATTTTGATATCTAGGGTTGGAAGAGAATGGAGAAATCATGAGGACATTTAGAATTATGAGGTTAGTGCCTGCTAAGAATGAAAGGGGGAAATTTATGCAGAGAAGGGAGATGGTCATAAGACAATACAAACACCACCAGTGTCCAACTTTGATGAGTACTTTTCTTATTAAGCACATATTTACCGACTTTATTTTATAACATCATCAAATAATATGATTTTCTATACTCTCACAAATCACTTATTGGGGAACATTTTATGCACTTGAAAATGTGATTTTAGATAGAAGAATCCCAATGCGCTTAAGACTCAAATGCAAGACAGCATGTAATCATGCCAATGAATTCATTTTGTAAATAGATGCTTATAGCAAATTATAAGTAATTATAAAGTAATTATGTAAATTATTAAGTGACAATGAATTAGTATGGCACATATTTATAAGGAGGGAGTTATTGTTGAGCATTTTGCAATGCCAATGTTAATTAACAAAGGCTGTATTAGAGTTTGGGGGGAAAGCTTTACTAACCCAAGCCTGAGGATATCTGAAGTGAATGAGAAATGTTAATCTGCAAGCCATTTGTGTTAGATATATACTATTTTCCTGATGTATTAACATTTTCTAAAAGATAAATTAGATTAGTTCAGCATAGCTTGTTCTTTGTCAGCTCACGCTGGTGCCTTATGATAATTGTTTTTCTTGGCAGAATCTGGCAGGGATTATCAGCTATCATGTTAAACCATCCCCCAACCCCTCAAGTGACCTTTTCCCAACTATGAAAACCAGAACAACAATTACTCATTTTTGGGCCATTGACAGTTCTCATTATTTCATCATTTCTCAAGGTTCATTAATATTTGTGTCATGATCAGTTTTGCATGTTATTTTAATTTCCTGAGATAAAATTATTGTTGGCTTCCACACATATTCTTTTAAAGCAACAAGCTGCTTTCATCCCAGTTAAACTTGCCAAAACTTTCCCTACTAACCCAAAGTCCTTAATCTGACACCAAACTCAGTGCACCAAGTTTGGTATCAGATTAAGATAATTAAATCATTATCTTTAAGAGTGATTCCTAAATCTCAAGGGGTTCCTTCCAAAGGAGATGCATCAGAATCTACTGCACCATTGAGCCTTGTGTGATAAAGCCCTCCACAAGATTTAAGGAATCAGAAGTAAAGGCTTGGGAGGATGGGCATACAATTAGGCCCTGCATAAGGAAAATGCATATAACCAGGAAACCTGTTTTAATTAAGCAGAAGTCTACATGCTAACAAAGAGAAGAAATTAAGGAACTCTAGCCAAAACCAGATTTATCATAATTTTCATACATCCATTTTGTTTTCTCCCTTCTGTATCTGTGATTATGCAAAGCTTGCCTGATAAATGATAATTGGGATATAATCAAGAGATAAATAGGGGTTAGGAGTTAACCATGTAAGAAGTTAGAGAAGGCTGTTCAGGCAGGTAAAATTGCATATATGAATAATGTGAAACCTAGTGTGGGGATGTGATTTTGCCTTGGAGACATTCAAAGGTTGTATTAGTCTGCTTAGGCTGCTATAACAAACTGTAAAAGACTTGATGGCTTAAACAACAGGAATTAATTTTTTTCACAGTTCTGTGGGCTGGAAGGCTGAGATCAGTAAGTCAGCATGATCAGGTCCTGGTAAGGACACTATTCCTGGCTTGCAGATGGCTGTCTTCTTATAATGTCTCTTCACATAAGGGCACTAACCCCATCATGAGGACCCCACCCTCCCGACTTTAACTAATCCTAATTACCTCCCAATGGCCCCATCTCCAAATATCATCCCATTAAGGGTTAAGGCTTCAATGTATGAATTGTGGGAGGGGACAAACATTCACTCCATAACAAAGGTCAAGGAACCTGGAGAGCAAGAGAAGATGAATATGAGATGAAGATGAAGAGCTGACTAAGGAGATATTTTTAGAAGCATGATAATGGCAGGTCATGGGGCTGGAAAGCGAGGATACTTCCAGTAAGTCAGGAGAGTAGTCAAGGAAGTGACGATGTCTTTGGGACACCCCAACTGTGGTGATCTTACAATCAACAAAATAAGCCTCAGCATTCACACTGTAGTTAAGCTCATTCAAGCAAAGCTATCTCCAGTAGGGAATTTCCCCCATGAAGAGCATGAACATTTTGATTTTACCTGTTGTCAAGCTGATCCTCATTATTTGCTCATCTTAATGGTAAAAAACACAGCCTGGGTGGAGATTTAAGCTAATGAGACATGTGATATATGAACAAGCATGCACAACTACTGTACATGTCCACCCAGAGGACCACCCAGAACACGCATACTAGCAACACCTCTTACCATGCCCTTATGAATAACCATGTAAGACTCCCATAAAGGAAGTCTCCCTAGTCTCATTCTTTGCCGTCTCAACCCTACTAGCACCCCGCCCTGAATCCTCTCACTCTCGGGGGTACTGTCTATTCTGCACCTAACTTTCAAAATATTGTTTCTCCTTTGCAATATGTAGTGACATATTTTTATTTAGCAGTTTTGAAACACTCTTTTTGTAGAATCCGCATGTGGATATTTGGACCGCTTTGAGGCCTTCGTTGGAAACGGGAATATCTTCACATAAACAGTAGACAGAAGCTTTCTCAGAAACTTCTTCACTCTGTGATGCATCTCCTTTGCTCTATGCGTCTCGTTTAAATTATTTTAAACTGTGAAGACAAGAACCGAGGTCTCACAACAGCTGTCAACACTCAGTGGTGAAGAGCTGTGTGTTAAATGCCACGGGACTTAGATCATGTGCAAAAGATTTTATAAGCATTAAACTCCCAAGCAGAGTACTCTTATTTCAGAAAAATCACCCTGGGGGTAGCATAAAGACTGGGTAAGAAAGAAAGAATCTGTAGGTGGGAGGACACCTAGGGCGGGGATGTTCATTATAGGACACTTGTAGTAGTCCAGAAGAAAGATGGCAGGAGCCTGAACCATGACAGTGAGTGAGATGAGGGAGCTAAGGGAAGTTCTGGGTATTCAAAGGAAATAGTTGCAGTTCTAAGCCTAAAAAACAGAGGATAGGTCACAGAAATAAATAATAGGGGCATATTGTTTCCCTAAATCTCTTCTGTGAGTTGTGCAATATTTTAATTTTACCACCCAAATTTCTATGTCCATGCATAATGGAATTCACTGAGGCAGTAGTGGCCGTCAATCATTGCTCCAGTGCAGAAGTTCAGCTCGTGCTGGGGTTATTTTCATGACGTTTTTGTTCATTTTCAGTTGCTATAACAGAATACCAGAGACTGGGTAATTTAGAAAGAAAAGAGGCTTATTTGGCTCACATTTCAGCAGGCTGGGAAGTCCAAGACTGAGGGGCTGCACCTGGTGAGGGCCTTCTTGCTGTGTCATGACATAGTGGGAG
Organism: Homo sapiens; assembly: GCF_000001405.40. Taxonomy (NCBI): domain Eukaryota; kingdom Metazoa; phylum Chordata; class Mammalia; order Primates; family Hominidae; genus Homo; species Homo sapiens. The sequence continues at coordinate 114,384,672 of NC_000002.12, forward strand.
GACATCACATGGCAAGAGGCAAGGAGTGTATCAGCTGAAGTCTCTCTTTCACTTCTTATAAAGCCACCAGTTCCACTGTGGGGGCCCAACCCTGATGACCTTATCTAATTCTAATTACCTCCGAAAGGCCCTACCTCCAAATGCCATCAACATATGCATTTGGAAATTAAGTTTTCACCAAGTAAAATTTGGGGGATACATTCAAACCATAGCTCATGGTCATGACAATTTCGCGGATAGTTGTGCCATGTGTCTGGACTGGGACCATTGAATGGTGGTTTTCCATCACTGAAGAAATAATTAAAGTGACCCAAACAAAGTGAGTGAGTGAGCGTAAAAGTGTCCAGGGCTAGGAACTATAAACGGTAGGTCACCTTATTCTCAGTTGGGCTGAATTCTCATGTTGGGCTCTACTTTAGTAGAAGGCAGTTGGGAAGTGCCTTCTTACCAACATCAGAAAGAAGTCAGATAAAATCCTGACTTCTTTCTGACTAATCTGGGACTCCTATGAGAAAAAGAATTGGTACCTTTTAGTTAAAAGAAAGAGATCTCTTCCTGAAGAGACCAGCAATAGGAATATTACACTGCTTCATCTCATATCTAACCCCAAAAGAGCCAAGAAAATGCACACAATATGGAGAGAAGCAAATGGATCAAAACTGAGATTAGAACATAATCCCTCAGCAGCCAGACAGTCCTTAGGAAAGAGAGGCAGTGCTGTGGGATAGGTCCAAAACAGGAAGTCCAAAAACAGAAAAAAACTACTTTTAAAATTTAGATTTATTCCAGAAAGAATTTAAAATATGTCAAGCACATACACTAATTTAGTATGTTTATGATTATCCTTATAGTTTATAATACTATTTTTATAATTTACTATATTTCCCAATGCTGATATTCTGCTTTCTAGCATATGCTATCATTTTACATATACATATGCATACACACGCACACACACACAAACACACACACCCCAGGATGTGTGTGCTAGGATAAAAGGCAGCAAAACCAAAAGATGCACTTGCTTACAGGCACTGCAAGCAGCATAATCAAGGATGTCCACGAAGGAGAGAAGCCTAGAGCTCAGACCTGGAGAGCTGTTTCAGTGCTAAGCACGAGGAGTTGGTAAATAAGGAGCATGCCTGGAAATAGAGTGCAAGATGAGCCAAAGGGAATGATTTAAGATGGAGTCTATGAATGAAGTGAAAGTGTCAGGAGCCCTTTCTTACTGATAATTGCTTTGTGGAGATAGGTTCACCTGCAGCCTAAAGTCACGGAGCACGTTCAGAAAATAATAGCAATTTGCCATGTTTGTTGGGAATAAATAGAAATCTAGGGAAGTGATTCTCAAAGTTTGTTCTCTGAACCATCAGCATCAGCATTATCTGGGAACCTGTTAGAAATGCAAATTATCGGACCTCTCTCCATATCTGCTGAATCAGACACTCTGGGCTGGGATCTAGAAATCTGTTTTAATAATGTTTCCTGATCTAAGGCAGTGTGTGTACATGTTCCTGTGTGTGCACAAGTGCATGAGGGAGGTATTGAAGAGGACAAAGGCAGGGACAGGTTGGGAAGAGCTAAGTATTGTTTTAAGCAAAGTCTTTCTCCTTTTGGTATAGGTGACCTCTTCTTCTCCTGGTCTGACTCTGTAAGGGGTGAAAGAGGATATAGTAGGAATCCCAGTCAAACAATCTTGAGGTTATTAAGGTGGTATGATGGAATGCCTTTCTTAAGAAATTATCAAGATGGACCCTACTTTGTTATTTTGCCCCCACATTCTTTATGCAAACCTTGATTAATTAAATTTTTAAAACTTGCTAGGTTGTTATTGATGGAACTCTGCTCAAACACTGCTGATTAGTATAAACACCTTGGATACAGAGGCCACAGAATTCTAAGGGGAAGAACACCTTTCATGTCTTCTCAGCCAAGGAAACCTAATACCTCTGAACTCTAGCCCCTTAGCCCTTCTGAAGCTCTTTAAATAGCTCATGGGGGTTTAGGAAGATTTTTCAAAGTACTATCTGAATGATATTAACTTGGAATATTTTCTTTTAGCCCCCAAAGGATTCATTTTTTAAAAATGCTGCTTGATCATTAACACAACCAGTGTCCTCATTAATAATCTGAGCTGCCTACAACCATGTCCTGGTTACCTCTGTGCTCTGCTATTTACAAGCTGGTCACAAGGAGCTCTTGCAAGTCATTGAATAATAATCAATTTGCTTTGTTTTCCTTCTAGATTCATTAAATTGTCTTCCAGGATGCCCATTAAACATGCATTTCTCATCAACTAAGTGGTTCAAAATGAGAGCCTTTGAACACTTCTAATTAGCTCTGTAAAGTTTAGAACAAAGTTAACAGAGACCCCAAAAGACTATTGTTTGGAGTTTCAGCCCACGGTTTGCTAGTTGCCAAGTAATGCAAAATCAAGAGTGCAGTTTTTACCCCCTGAAGATCTCTTTGAAAAACCAAGATAAAAGGAAGTACATTATTTACAGTAGTTGTCACATTTGTGGCTAATAATTGTTATTTAGGTTAACTCACATGCATACGAAACGTGTTGCCTCACTTGGAGAGGAATGGCTCGGTTTTCCAAGCCCTGTAGGCCTTTTCAGAGACCTGAGCCAAGGGAGGTCTAACATCTAAGAAAGATTGTTATAGTACTCCAGAGTTTAAAACTCTTTTTTCTTGGATGAAAGCACTGTAAAATTAACTCTTACCTAGCTACAAAGATTGGAGGGCATTAGCAAGACTACCTGCGAGATATTTGAGAGGCATATGGAGAAAATGGATGATCTCTCAGAAATATCCTCTTAGAATAGCCGTTATCAACCTTGCCTATGTATCTGAAACCCATGGAAAGCTTTGAACCAATGTTGATATCTGGGACCCATCTCAGACCAATTACTTAAAAATCTCTGCTGGTGGTATAGCCAAGACAGAGTCATATTTCAAAAGCTGCTCAGATGATTTTAATGAGAAGCCGAAGTTGAGAGCTATTGTCTTAGAATCCATCAGTTATCACTTTCTGGTCCCTGAAGAAGAACTATGGGACCTATATGGGTTAAAGGGATGCTCCTCCCCACTTCCTACTTATAAAGGAATAGCTGCTCTTCTATTTTTGTCAGAGCAGTAGCATAGATTATCCAAAAGCCACTTGTGTTTTTTTTTATTGTTTTAAAAAAATCTTAAAAGAATCATCTAGTTTAACTTTGTATTAATAAATATTAAAATTTGTTTGCACTCAAACTAATCCAATAAGCATACATTGACTAAGCATAGAGATGGATTTTGGGGGATATGAAGGCTACTGACATTGAAATAGTCCCACAAAACACAGAGCAGATACACAGTTAAGAGTGAACTTTAATTAAGCTGTAAATATTTTGAGCTCTATAGATTTTTCTTAGTATCTTCAGGTTCTAGAGAGTTAATGTGGAAGAAGCACACCCATACAGGTAAATTAGAGAGAGACCACAGCATGGCACATGAAGCTTCCAAGTGACTTTCAGTTGTGGCCTCAGATAATATTTATTGTGAAAAACCCATTGAAATCCTTAAACCTTGGTAAACTTAGAGTTTGGTAAATTGTCTTAGAAAGTCAAATCATCCATATTGGTTGGTTCTTTGTATAACATAACTGTAAAAAATTATTTAGTGGCTGGGTGCAGTGGCTCATGCCTGTAATCCCAGCACTTTGGGAGGCCGAGATGGGTGAATCATGAGGTCAGGAGTTCAAAACTAGCCTGGCCAACATGGTGAAACTCCGTCTCTACTAAATATACAAAAAGTAGCCAGGCATGGTGGTGGGTGCCTGTAATCCCAGCTACTCGGGAGGCTGAGGCAGGAGAATCACTGGAACCTGGGAGGCGGAGGTTGCAGTGAGCCGAGATTGCACCACTGTACTCCAGCCCGGGTGACAGAATGAGACTCCTTCTCAAAAACAAACAGAAAAATTATTTAGTTTAGGAGTTGCAAACTGTCAGCTATATTTTGTTTGGCCAACTTTGTGTTTTAAAAGCATAGGTCAGTGGAATTCTTTGTGATTCCACTGTGATATAAACAGAAGGAAAGGAAATACTGGGAAGAAGACGGTAGGGTCCCTGGTGAGGGCTCCACCCTCAAGCCTGGGCCCATCACCCTAAATGAGAACTTCACATTCCTGTTTTCCGGCCTGAATGTTGCTTTTTGGCTCACACTGCCCCCCTATCCTGTACCTATAAAACCCCTAAACTCCACTGGCAGAGTAGCAGAGCGGCATGGCAGAGAAGGAGAGAAGAGAAGAAGCATCTGAATGCCAAAGAGGCAGCTGGATGGTTGGAAAGGAGTTTGGCTGGTGATGGCCAAACTCCAGGGGGAAGATTATCTTTCCACTCCATCCCATTTCCAGCTCCCCATCCCACTGAAAGCCACCTCCATCACTCAATAAAACCTCTGCATTCACCAACCTTCAAGTCCATGCGACGTGATTCTTCCTTGATGCTAGATAAGGACCCGGGTACCAAGAGGGCAGGATGTGGTGTAAAAGGCTGTTATCCTGACTCTTCACTGAGTTGGTTAACACTTAGCCATCTGTGGATGGCAGTTGCTAAAAGAGCATTAATTGTTACACACCCCTAGATGCTACCATGGGGCTGGAGCCCAAAAGCACTTCCCCAGCCCCAGCACCCACTCACCTGCCAAGTTCCCCCTCCCACAAGGGGTTTGAGTGTGGTGGCCGAGTAAGCAAGCCATACCCCCTCTCACAGGTTCCATGAAAGGGTCCAAAGAACTCTCCCATCTCAAGGGTACTGTGAAACAAAAGCCACAGGAGTTGATCTGGTATTATTCTGACTTTTGTTTAAAGTGGTCTTATGGGAACTAGGTCATCCTAACATATTTTTCTCTTAGCAGGGCAAACCAAGCAACATCTTGTACTATGTTTCTCCTCCAGATCTAGCAGATGACTCTCTTAAGATCAGGACAAATGTATCACTAATAAATATTTCAGGGCATGTTTTATTGTCTTATACATTTAAACCTTACTTGTTCCCTCGTGTAGGTTCTAAGTCCTATATAGAGAAGGACCACCTATACTTATTTTGTACTTCCCTCATTACATGAAGTGTAATATTTAGACACATCATGATTATTAAACACATGCAGGGTGATAAGTAGTGTTATTCAAATACATATAGAGTTTTGTGTGTGTGTGAAACACATATGGTAGATATAAATGACATATACAAGTGTGTGTATATATATGCATGTGTGTGTGTATATATATGCATGTGTGTGTGTACATATATATATATATATATATATATATATATATATATATTTGGAATGCCTATTTGTAGAGAGAGGGGGATTTGAGAGGAAGAACTGAAGAGCATTCTTAGCATTTTATGAATATGATCATTGCCCTGCCAACAGAGCATTTCACCAAGTACAGAAACAGAACCATTTAAACAAATAACATAGATAGAAGAGTATGGATGTTCTAACTGAATCAGATGCCCTAACTTTGCAAATTCTGCCAGATGGGAGGTGAGTGCCCTGAACTAACATCTGGTAATGAATATTAAACAAAGAATAAAAATAAAAGTTAGTAAAGGCATTTTTTTTCTTCTTGCTTCAGGCCTTGGTTTAAACTAATTTCATCGGATCCTCTTTTCCTTCTTATGATGTAGAATTTTATTTTCCAGGGAATTGAAGACTCTCTAGAAGAGCATATTAAACAATTATTCTTATCACCGAAGACTGCTTTTTGACAGGTACACTCAGAGACAAAAGAGAAACACCTTTCCCTGGAGGAAATGGGAAATAAGGAGAAAGAATACAAAATGTAATTCTAATGTGGTACAGTCCAGCCACACTAGAAAAAGGTGATGAATAATTCAGGAGAAAATAAAGTACAAATTTGGAACCTTTTGTGAGCATACTAGCAATCTCAGAAAAAGAGATAAGTAGACTTGGAGCAGAATTCAGCTAGATCATTGGATGTTGGCTTAGAATTCACCTTTGTTTTGTCTGAGTAGTTGGTCAGGCTCCAGTTGAAGCTGAGCGTGGCTGAACAGTCAGAGAGGGAAAATGAGGCCATGAAATCAGATATAGTGACGTAAAGCAGTGTAAAGCACATCTCTTCCTTTGCACAATAATAGCAAATCTGATTTTTCTCTCTGTCTTAATCATAGTGCTATTTACCTTGACACTTCTGGCATTCTTGGTAGGACCACATCCTAGACTCCCAGAATTTTCTTAACCTTGGAGATAAATTTAAGGTAGAGAAGATGATAACCATATAACCCCAGCATCAGAGTTCAGCTCTGCTTGTTTCAATAGTGCTTTGGCATTCCAGTTTCTAGTCCCTCCTTGCCATACTAGGCCTGTGAAACTGGCCTTGTTTTAGCTACACACTGTAATAGAAAACCATGCCTATGAGACAGATTCTACTAGTATTCATGAAACTCCTTCTAGTTAGCTTTATTCTAACTCTTATTCTTTCATACTCTCTCCACTATTCCCTCTCTAGCCTTGACAAATCATGACAATATTTCTTTCTTCTCAAACTCAGTGCCCTGTGAGAGTCTCAGACTACTTCCACTCTTCTGAATTCTTTTTTGTCAGTGATGGTTTTGGACTTCCCTGTTGTTTCTTTATCTTCATTTAGACAGACTGGAATTACTATGAGGTTGGCCAGTGACTCAGTGATTCAAAAAGTTGAAGCTGTATGTGATTTGTTGGATGCCTTCTTGAATTCCTGCCTCTATTGGCCAATTAGAAAGGACAGTTCTCATGCATTGTCTAGGATGCCTTCAGAAATCGCTGTCACTCAAATTCATATTGTAGCTACCATAAAATATGCAACTTGGATAGAATTATTCTCCAAGAGCATTTCTTCATGAAATCATGTATCAAAATGGCATGCTATTTGTGCAAATTTAAGGCGACTTATGAATATTTTGAAACTCTTGTGACCCCCTTCTGTATGGAATATGTTCTAAGTTTGAGAGGAGGGGTATATAGACTGTCATTTTATGTTAAATGGCAGTGTGAAAGAGAGAAAAAAACAGTTAAGTGTGAGCCAACAATAAACTTGAAGCCTCCGCCTGACTCAATGGACCCCCTCTTGGCCAAAAGGACCTCAGAGAAATCGGAAAAACCTGAATTCCCAGACTGGACACGCCTCCTTATACTCTCAGCCTTTTGGAGTTTAGGCACAGCTGACAAGCATTAAAGTTAAAACAGATATCATAAGATTGACACAGCAGACTCTTTGTGGCAATAAGATATCAAATTATAAACCAGACCTAAGGCCATGCAAGGCAAGGGTTAAATCACACCCTACAAACCATAACATCTCATGACGTGGATTCTTAAAAATGATCCAGGTACAGCATGGCTCACTTTCCAAACTGATTCTAGTGTAGTATCACATGACAGATAGCAGACCCTCAAGCAAATAAAAACATTTTACTCCAAAATATATTTGGCATATTTTGAAATGGCCCTGCAAAGCTGTCTTTTGTGGAGAAAATTTGCGTCTGCAGAGAATCTCCATTAATGCAGCTAGACCTTCCCTTTCTAGGCCTTTTCTGGCTCTAGAAGAGAAAATTAGTCTGATACCATTAGGTCTCAAAAGAGACATTTACTGCCTGTTCTCTTGGAGCTCTGTTACCTAAGAGGCTTAATCTACATAACAAGGGCCTTGGTCCCCACAACCCCTTTATTTTAACTCAAGCATTCATTTCTACTGACTTTAGGTCCTTAGACAATAGCTTAACTCTCTCAACCAATTGTTAAATAAAGAATCCCTAAAACCCACATGTGACTTACAAGTTCTCACTTCAAGATGTCCTACCTTTCAGGCCGAACCAACATGTACCTTGTACGTATTGATTTATGTCCTTGCCTGTAACTCCCATCTCCCTAAAATGTATAAAACCAAACTGTAACCCAACTGCCTTGGGCACACTTTCTCAGGATCTCTTGACATTGTGTTTTCTGGGTCATGCCACTCATATTGGCTCAGAATAAACCTCTTTAAAATATTTCACAGTTTGGATTTTCTGTTAACAAAAGAGGAAAAATGGAAAATTAAACTATAAAGAACCAGTAAAAATAAATGTAATTGGCTTTATATCTTAGAGGAATATATGTATAAAAATGTATTTTGTTGTTATGTTTTGTTGTTCCATATGTTCTCTTGCTATTGTGATTTTACAGACTCTCTACTTTCTCATTGGTTGTTCTCTGGCAGCTCATTTATAATGTGGATTTTGATGTTTGGTGAATATAACAATGTGTCAATGAAAAGAGCCAAACTATAAAATATTTACAGAGATTTATTCCGAGCCAAATATTAGTGACCATGGCCCGTGACACAGCCTTCAGGAAGTCCTGAGAACATGTGGCAGCCAAGGTGGTACAGCTTGGTTTTATACATTTTAGGGAGACATGAGACTTCAATCAAACACACTTAAAAAATGCATTGGTTCAGTTCAGAAAGATAGGACAACTAGAAGTGGGGGGCTGGGGTGGCTGCCCTGCGGCAGGGGCTTCCAGGGTATAGATGGATTGAAATATTTTTTGGTTGAGAATTGATTGAGTTTATCTAAAGACCTGGGATCAAAAAAAAGAAAATGTCTGGGTTAAGAAAAAGGACTGTTCTTATTTGTAGAGGAAGCCTTAGCCTTGAGAGAGAATAGGTTGAAAAATGTTTCTTATCAGGCTTAAAGTCTGTGTTGGTGTTAATGCTGGACAGGTATAATGAGGCATCTCTGACCCACACTTCCCATCATGGCCTGAACCAGTCTTTCAGGTTAAACTTTAAGAGTGCCCCTGGCCCAATCAGGCAAGAGAAAGAAATATAGCGTATTCAGTTAGGAAAAGAGGAAGTCAAATTGTCCCTGTTTGCAGATGACATGATTGTATATCTAGAAAACCCCATTGTCTCAGCCCAAAATCTCCTTAAGCTGATAAGCAACTTCAGCAAAGTCTCAGGATACAAAATCAATGTGCAAAAATCGCAAGCATTCCTGTACACCAAGAACAGACAAACAGAGAGCCAAATCATGACTGAACTCCCATTCACAATTGCTACAAAGAGAATAAAATACCTAGGAATCTAACTTACAAGGGGTGTGAAGGACCTCTTCAGGGAGAACTACAAACCACTGCTCAACAAAATAAAGGAGGACACAAACAAATGGAAGAACATACCATGCTCATGAATAGAAAGAATCAACATCATGAAAATGGCCATACTGCCCAAGGTAATTTATAGATTCAATGCCATCCCTATCAAGCTACGAAATACTTTCTTCACAGAATTGGAAAAAACTACTCTAAAGTTCATATGGAACCAAAAAAGAGCCCGCATTGCCAAGACAATCCTAAGCAAAAAGAACAAAGCTGGAGGCATCAGGCTACCTGACTTCAAACTATACTACAAGTCTACAGTAACCAAAACAGCATGGTACTGGTACCAAAACAGAGATATAGACCAATGGAACAGAATAGAGGCTTCAGAAATAAAACCACACATCTACAGCCATCTGATCTTTGACAAACCTGACAAAACCAAGCAATGGGGAAAGGATTCCCTATTTAATAAATGGTGCTGGGAAAACTGGCTAGCCATATGTAGAAAGATGAAACTGGATCCCTTCCTTACACCTTATATAAAAATTAATTCAAGGTGGATTAAAGACTTAAATGTTAGACCTAAACCATAAAAACCCGAGAAGAAAACCTAGGCAATACCATTCAGGACATAGGCATCGGCAAGGACTTCGTGACTAAAACACCAAAAGCAATGGCAACCGAAGCCAAAATAGACAAATGGGAGATAATGAAACTAAAGAGCTTCTGCACAGCAAAAGAAACTACCATCAGAGTGAACAGGCAACCTACAGAATGGGAGAAAGTTTTTGTAACCTACCCATCTGACAAAGGGCTAATATCCAGAATCTACAAATAACTTAAACAAATATACAAGGAAAAAACAACCCCATCAAAAAGTGGGCAAAGGATATGAACAGATACTTCTCAAAAGAAGACACTTATGCAGCCAACAGATACATGAAAAAATGCTCATCATCACTGGTCATCAGAGAAATAAATGCAAATCAAAACCACAATGAGATACCATCTCACATCAGTTAGAGTGGCCATCATTAAAAAGTCAGGAAACAACAGGTGCTGGAGAGGATGTGGAGAAATAGGAACACTTTTACACTGTTGGTGGGAGTGTAAACTAGTTCAACCATTGTGGAAGACAGTGTAGTGATTCCTCAAGGATCTAGAACTAGAAATACCATTTGACCCAGCAATCCCATTACTAGGTATATACCCAGAGGATTATAAATCATACTACTATAAAGACATATGCACAGGTATGTTTATTGCAGCACTATTCACAATAGCAAAGACTTGGAACCAACCCAAATGTCCATCAATGATAGACTGGATTAAAACAATGTGGCACATATACACCATGGAATACTATGCAGCCATAAAAAGGATGAGTTCATGTCCTTTCCAGGGACATGGATGAAGTTGGAAACCATCATTCTGAGCAAACCATTGCAAGGACAGAAAACCAGACACTTCATGTTCTCACTCATAGGTGGGAATTGAACAATGAGAACACTTGGACACAGGTTGGGGAACATCACACAGCAGGACCTGTCATGGGGTGGGAGGATGGGGGAGGGATAGCATTAGGAGATATACCTAATGTAAATGACGAGTTAATGGGTGCAGCAAATCAACTTGGCACATGTATACATATGTAACAAACATGCACATTGTGCACATGTACCCTAGAACCTAAAGTATAATAATATATATGTATAAAAATATATATATGTATAAAAATATATATATATACATATATATGTGTGTGTATATATATGTATATATATACTTATATATGTATATACACACATATATATGTATGTGTGTGTGTGTATATATATGTGTGTATATATATATGTGTATATATATATGTGTGTGTATATACACATATATATATATACATATAAAAGAGTGCCCCTGGCCAAGGAGTAAGTCCATTCAGATGGTTGGCTAGCCTTAGAATTTTCTTTTTTGTTTATAGATGTTATACATAACAATGATATCCTTGTCCTATCCACAAGAGCCTATTGAATTCACAAAGTAGCTAAAATATTGCATGTTTGCAACATAGTGAGATCTTAATGTTTATTAAGAAGAGTTATTTTAATTAAAACCAAATTGAGAGGAAATAGATGTAGACTTTTAAACAATTCTGTAAGGACTTATGACTTTGTTTTTTTTATTATTATTCAGGCATTTCTCCACTTCTACTTTCTTTTTTTTTTTTTGTTTGAGACAGAGTCTCGCTCTGTTGCCCAGGCTGGAGTGCAGTGGCCTGATCTCGGCTCACTGCAAGCTCCACCTCCCGGGTTCACGCCGTTCTCCTGCCTCAGCCTCCCGAGTAGCTGGGACTACAGGCGCCCACCACCACGCCCGGCTAATTTTTTGTATTTTTAGTAGAGACGGGGTTTCACCGTTTTAGCCAGGATGGTCTCAATCTCCTGACCTCGTGATCCGCCCGCCTTGGCCTCCCAAAGTGCTGGGATGACAGGCGTGAGCCACCGCGCCCGGCCTCTACTTTCATTTTTATAGGAAACGATTAAGACCGTTTTTTGTTTCTGTTTTGGTTGATAGATATGATGGAAGATGTGGGGATGAGAGAAGGAGACTGAATCGGAAGAGAGATTTTTCGTGGTATCTTTAGTGTTGTTGGAAAAAACAGGATTAAAAAGAAGAATAGGTATGTGAGAAAAGGAATTCTTTTTCTTTTCTCTTTCTTTCTTTCTTCTTTCTTTCTTTCTTTATTTCTTCTTTCTTTCTTCTTTCTTTCTTCTTTCTTTCTTCTTTCTTTCTTTCTTCTTTCTTTCTTTCTTTCTTTCTTTCTTTCTTTCTTTCTTTCTTTCTCTCTCTCTCTCTCTCTCTCCTTCCTTCCTTCCTTTCTTTCTTCTTTCTTTCTTTCTTTCTTTCTTTCTTTCTTTCTTTCTTCTTTCTTTCTTTCTTCCTTCCTTTCTTTCTTCTTTCTTTCTTTCTTTCTTTCTCTCTCTCTCTCTCTCTCTCCTTCCTTCCTTCCTTCCTTCCTTCCTTCCTTCCTTCCTTCCTTCCTTCCTTCCTTTCTTTCTTTCTTTCTTTCTTTCTTTCTTTCTTTCTTTCTTTCTTTCTTTCTTTCTTTCTTTCTCTCTTTCTTTCTTTCTTTCTTTTCTGAAACGAAGCCTCCCTCTGTTTCCCAGGCTGGAGTGCAGCGGCACCATCTCAGCTCACTGCAACCTCTGCGTCCCAGGTTCGAGCCATTCTCCTGCCTCAGCCTCCCGAGTAGCTGGGACCACAGTCGTGCACGCGCCACCACGCCCGGCTCATTTTTTATATTTGTGGTAGAGACGACTTCCCAAACTGCTGGGATTTCAGGTGTGAGCGACTGTGCTCGGCCATAAAAAGGAGTTCTTAAGATGTCTTTATCGAGATGGATAAGAGGAAAACAAAAAGCCAATTTGGCCATACAGGCAGGTCTTACTTGACACAATTCTGATATGCGTGGATTTCAGTTACAAGCACATGGTATTAAGTAACCCTAGTCCCAAAATATGGTTCAAATTTTGATTACCACAGAATATTAACTGTGAATAATTGCATTATATACCAACGTTGCCGAAAGCTCTTCGTGCACAAACCACTAAGTAAATAATAGGCTGCTATCATGGTCAATGGCCAATCGGGTCACTTCTTTCAAGGTCTATGGTGAGTGGTTACTGCACGTCTATTATTCCATTCATGCACAGACAACAAAGCATATAGTTGTGTTATGTCCTTGTCTGCCCCTGATTAATCCACATGCCATTTTACAAAATTAGACAATCAAAACAGAAGTGACCCACAAAGTTCAAAATGGAGTAAAGAAAGAGAATGTGCTAATTCTGGAAAAGAAATTAAAATTAAACATAAATGAAGTTATAGAACAAAGAGCTGACCTTGACATTGCCATCTTTCGAGAATCTCTGCACATGCAGCCAGATACACTGAGTGAAGAAAAACTTATTTATTTTATTTTATTAGGGAAACTTATTGACATAAAGTGGTTGTGATAAAGAGGATGAGGATCACTTTGGAAGGCCGAGGCGGGCGGATCACGAGGTCAGGAGATCGAGACCATCCTGGCTAACAAGGTGAAACCCCGTCTCTACTAAAAAATACAAAAAATTAGCCGGGCGCGGTGGCGGGGGCCTGTGGTCCCAACTACTCGGGAGACTGAGGCAGGAGAATGGCGTGAACCCGGGAGGCGGAGCTTGCAGTGAGCCGAGATCGAGCCACTGCACTCCAGCCTGGGCGACAGAGCGAGACTCCATCTCAAAAAAAAAAAAAAAAGGATGAAGATGTCCTAGAGGAAGTGATGCCAGCAAAAACTTTCAAATTGAAGGAACTTGGAGATATTTCATAATACTGAAAGTGCAAAGGTTAAAAATGTTGGAAGCTAATACAAACTTTGGAAGGAATGTGACCATTTGCCAAGATGTGAAAAGAAGCTTGTTCTATATTGTAAGTTACACAATGAGAAGAAAAGGGAAGCACTGTTCAAAGAGCTTATCAAGAGACAAGTTTTTTTTACAAAGAAATATGACGTTTTAATTCTCACTGCCTCTAATGTTTTAAATTACAGTGTACTAAAAAATAGTTTTACTGTTTTTTCCATCACCCTATACATATATAACTGATAGTAATAGGGTTTTTAATATTTTGACAAAAGATTTAAAGGTCACAGAACAATTTAATTTTCCCTAGTGATTATTAAAGATTACTTTGCACAGTATCAGCTTGCACAGTCATTTTTATGAATACTGCCTGCTGTGCAAAGTGAAGACTGTCTGCATTCCCATGAAAAGAGAAAGAGACATTGATCAGATCTTGCCCTATACACAAATGAGATGTTAAGATTGGTCCACAGCAGATTGATTGGCAGTCTTGAGTAACGTGGGAACCCATGCATACAGGACATATGCAAATTAGAGTCCTGGAATTTGATTTTACTCTGAAACAACAGAAATAACATTCTCTCTTAGACCAAATTCTTAATAGCTTGGAATCATTGACACTTAGATTGGAAAAGGATATTATCTGGTTTAGTTTACAGGTAATGACGTTGAGGCCTGTACAGGTAAATGAAGTGGCTCATCTGAGAGCACATGCCTGGTTAGTGACAGAGGGATTAAAAAGAATTGAGATCTCTTGACTCCTGGTCTACCCCTTCTTCGTGGAAAGAAACCAAAGCACATTCTTTATGAGACCACCATGGAAGATGTTGCAAGGCCTTCGAAGTAGGGGATGATACCTGTTCATCGCATGGCTCCTGTAGACGTAACTAACAGCAGTATTGAAAAAATGCAAGCTCCCAGTGAATCTCTGTTTCCTTTTAATGCTGCAGTTTGTTTTCTGGCAGCCTGTTAGCTTGCCTCAGAAGAACATTTGAAGTAGGGCTAGATTTCCCTTGACATTGTTAAATCCAGATCCTTTCCAAAGTAATTTCTTGAAAGCTATTTAAGTTGTCCCACTAGATGAATACCTGCTGATGACTGTTCTATTCACCAACTAATTCCTGAGCTTTTCATTGCTCGATTGCCTATTTAGTTTGTGTAATTTAACACTTTGTTGTCATATTTGTCTTAACTTTTTCATTTTTATTTTCTTCTTACCAGAGGCAAGCAGAGAGACAAGGGAGAATGATTTATGAACCTTTCTAGCTTGAAATTCTTGGCCCTTTTTGTTTCTCTTTGGAATTTGAATAATTTGAGATGTATAGAGGCATGAATAAGGGGTGGTTATACAGATTTAATTTTGACTTTTTTGAAATTCAGTACCAAATAACATGTTGATATTCTCATGAATTCAATAATACACTTCAGCAAACACATTTCGTGTTACCCTATTTTGTTATTTATTGTGTGATGACTTTCTGAAATTGTTATTATAATAGCTATTTACTTGCAACTTTTGTTTTTTATTTACTAATAGCTAAGCTACAGTTAAAAGGACCTGAGATGAAGCTGGGAAATAAAAATAACAGTACAAATTAGCATATTGTAAATATCAAATAGTCTTATATATACACATCTTTGCCCACTGTATTCCCTTGGTTTGACTGCTCTTATTTCTCTGTCTGATTTACCCTATTTTTCTACAAGATGCAATGGGGCCCTTTCCTCCTTTGAGAAGCCTTCTCTCACCTCCTAGACTGGCTAAATGACCCATCTCTCTGCTTTTAGAGAGCCTTGTTCCTCTCTTCTTACCACAGAACCCCTTGTGCTTTACGCCAGTAGGTGTTCTCCTGCACACCCAGTTTGGCCTTGGAGATGTCTTCCTGGGAAGAGTTACTTCAGTGCCTCAGGTATTTGGGTTCTTATCATTGCTAAAGGGTACATTACCAGCATTTTAGGAGGGAGTTTTTTTCCTCTTCAAATTCCCTGAAATAATGATGTGTCTTAGACCTGTTTTCTTCCATCTACTAGGTGTCAATCCTTCTAGGTCACGGATACATTTTTGATAGATGTCATAATGTCATTGTACCACCAACCCCCTTCTACCTGCCACACTTTAGCATCTGTACTTTGGACCATTTATTTGAAAACAATTCCTTGAAGAGTCTCCAGTGGGACATTTTTCCTTGTGTGTATGTGTGTGCATGTGCATACAAGTGTGGTTGGCTTGGTGCCATCTCATATATATGGCATTTACATTCTGCAACATTGCCCTTTAATGAAAACCCCAGTTCACGGGAAAACAGTTTTTCCTTGTCAGTCTGCTCATAGTTCTCTAACCAGGCCTTTTACATTATTTCTTCTGCACTTCTTCTCTTCCTGGCCTCCTTCTTTAGATAATCTACATCCTTGTTCTGTTCTTAAAACAATAATATTCATCCTTCAAGGCCCAAATCAAGCCTCATGCCCTCCAGAATGCTTTCCTCCTAATAACATGCATTCTGGACAGCATCTTCCTCAAAATTCCTGCAGCCTACTTCAGGGTGCCTACTATGAGAGAGCCAGTGTAAGAATTGGAAGCAGCGAGATTAGATCCACTATCTATTGGATAGATATGTAAGTAACCAGATGTTATAGACAGAATAATTCTCTCCCTCACCCCACCAAAGATGCCCATGTCCTAACCCCTAGAATTTAAGAATATGTCATTATGTGGCAAGAGAGAATTGTTGAGGATGGATGTGGAGTCAGGATTGCTAATTAGCTGACCTAAAAATAAGCAGATTATGTTGGATTATCTGGGTGGACCCAGTGTAATCACAAGTGTCCTTGAAAGTGGAGGAAAACCGCAGAAGAGGAAGTCAGACTCAGAATGGGTTTTGAAGATGCCACACTGGTGGATTTGAAGAAGGTTTGAAAGCAGCATTTAGAAACTGAAAATGCCAAGGAAACGGAGTTTCCCCCTAGAGCCACCAAAGAATGCAGCCGTACTGACACCTTAATTTTAGTTGTGTGAAAGTTATTTTGGACTTTATTCTATAGAACTGTAAGATAATAAATTTGTGTTGTGGTAAGCCACTAAATTTGTGGTAGTTCGTTAGAATAGCAATAGGAAACTAACATATCCAGCTTAATGCCCGACACCATTTAACTCAATTATTTTCTAAAATAAGAAGAGATAATATATATTGTGTAACTTATCATAAGACATTTTAATTTATGTTATATGTAAATGTTACTAAACATTCTCAGCCAATGAGAACTAGGGAGACAGAGTAAACTGCACAATTCTAGACCAATGAACATTAGCAAACTACACTGTCTCTGCTCTCAGCCAATGAGAGTTCTACTTTGCTATTTTCAGTGAGTGTACTTCGCAGCGTGGTTCACTCCACCAAGAAATTTACGTTTGCCATTTAGTTTATGCAATATAGAACAATTTTGACTCGTAATGGCTGGCAAAAGTTTATAGCACTTCTCCTTGCTTCTATACTCATTCATTTCTTAGTAATCACAGTGATCTTTCTATGCCGTAAATGAGATTATGTCATACCTCATCTTAATAGCATTCAATGGCTCCCATCTGCCTTCAGAATAAAGTCTAAATTCTTTAGCAGTGCCTCCTGTAAATAGCTACCTCCTTAGCCTCGTCTCTTATTATTCCCCAGTGTCAACTGTCTACTTGCAAGTTCCACTGACTGTTTAATACCATCATTCTCCCAGCAAATACCCACTTGGAATCTGCTTTGTAACTTTGCCTGGGATGCTATATTTGAATAAAATTCACTCATCAACTAAATACCCCCTACTCAATTCCTTTGCCTGTGATCTCCAATGCTATAGAAAACCTATGTCTTTCTTCTTGGCCTGGTAGAAACCACCTTGGCCAGGGCATGGCATAGCCAGTATATAACTGATTCAATGAAAATAACATATTCAGAGCATTACCTCTAGGGGCAACCATGAAAGGGAGAACTGGCATCAGTGAAGCAGATGGTTTTTGCATTTGCACCTGGGTCAGTCTTAGCTTCTGCATTGATACTCCAGGTTATATTCTCAAGATCTGGATTTCTGAACACCTTCCCTTTCCTCAGTCTTCTTTCATAAGCCTGGCAGCTTCGATTAATACTTTTGGAAACTCAAAACAGAGTATCTGATTTTGCTTTAATTTCTGAAAAATGAGAATAATTTCCCTCATTCCTAAGAGTACCTGGTCATTTTAAATTTCTCTATG
This sequence comes from Homo sapiens, assembly GCF_000001405.40. Classification (NCBI taxonomy): domain Eukaryota; kingdom Metazoa; phylum Chordata; class Mammalia; order Primates; family Hominidae; genus Homo; species Homo sapiens. Next base: position 114,402,435 of record NC_000002.12, read on the forward strand.
CTCTCCTCTGGCATAGAATTTTATCTGGAGTCTAGATTTAAATATGATTGCCTACCTAGGTGTGATTTCCTTGAGACTTCCAAGTGGTATTCTAGCACTGCCCTTCCCTGAAGAGAAGGAACTAGGCAATATTCTACTTAACTTGGCTGATCTGAGCTACATAAGCCACCCACAGAAAGGGGTATAGAGAGGTTGCTGCAGTTTGAGCTCAGCAGGACACATTGGCTTGGTCTGCTACATTTTTTCTGATGGCTTGTATTGGCTTCCATTCTTCAAGATGGCATCTCCTTGGAATTTTTATAATCTTTCTTTGCCTACTCACTAGTCTAATGTCTCTAGACTTAGCAGCCCTTCAGTAGGTATGAGTCCCCCTGTATCATCTGGAAATTGTCATATGTGAAAGCAAGTGTTATGTTTAGGAAGATTTTCTTCCCCATTAGGCAGGTGCTGATGAACTGACAGGCTGGGGTTTCTCCATTAAGTGTGTGTTTCTTTAAGAGTAACTAGGGTCCTTTCCATTTCCCAGCTTCTCTAGGTATAAGTGGGGGAGTGCAATCTTCTCTCAGCCAAATGCAAAGGGAATCACTTGAGCGCCTCTGGTCAGACTTCCTTGAGGGTGGGTGGCTGGCGTGGGCAGGATGAGAGCTATCTACATGTAGGAGTAAAAATAGTTCCTCCTTGTGTCCTGAGGTATCTGTTGTAGTTGTGTAACTTTCTGCCTGTATGTGTTTCCCTTCTTGTATTGATAAGCTTATGAATTAATTCTTCGGTACAATTTTGATACAAGTAGTACAAGCATGCTGAACTCACCACCCAACCTAAACACTCTCTATACTGTTGAAGAGCATGACTTTGACGCTGAACACCATTCTGCCTCATGGACAGATACTGATTGGATGTTTATTTCACTGGATAGATTCCACCAATCACAATCTGTTGCTGAACCCTAGCACAAGGGTCTAGAGTTTCTTACGTACTACCTGCTTTGTGGTTTACTTGCTCTAACTGGGGCAGAATGAAACCTGCAGTTGTTAGAAGCCAGCTTGGAATGGCAGGAGATACCAACATTGCTAAAAACAGCCATCACTTAAATGGTCAGCCAGATTAATGCAGTATATATAGCCACAGCTTATAAAGACTGTCTTTGGTTATGAATTATTTAAATCATTTCCTAGAATATTGAGGTAGATTTTTGACTCAAGCCATTGCAATACAACTTTTATGAGCCTTCTTCCACATGCAAAAAAATGGTTGATGTTCTCAAAAGCCTATAGGCTGGTAAGGCAAAGACTACTTTCTTACTGAATGTAGCTAAGTTTCTTATCTATGGCCTACCATATGGAGAGCATTAGACAACTTTTGCATAAATCTCCTTTTTTCTTAATGGAAGTTGAATATTGGCCTTGGGGGATCCCTGACAAATCAGGCATCATCTGTTTATACCATTCTTCTGAATGGAACTCTTGGACTTGAGCTGTTTGGTTCCACAATGAGTTGCAGGTGCTGAGAGGGATTGATGACGCTCTACTTAATTGCTTGTCACACAGATAATCTGATGAGGGGGCATCAGTGCCAGCAGCTGGCAGCTTTCTCACCCATGACCTGAGGCAGATTCTTGGGTTAAGAAGGTTGTGAGATAAAACAGTAAGAATTCCTCCCTTATAAATGTTTCTAAGGACATTAGTTGGGGCGGGCGGTGTTTCTGGCTTAATTTTGAGAATACAATGAGAACAAAATATGTATTTCAAAGATCATAGGTTTTGGTATAGGAGAGTCCTAGGTGAGCATCCTAGTTTATTTTCATTCATTGTGTGCCCTCAGGCAAGCTATTAAACTTTTCTGAGTCTTGGTTTCCTCATTAATAAAATGAGAATAAAAATATCTAATGTTACAGGATTGTTAGAACTCGTGTGAACCTAAGGGTAACACTAAGTGTGGTGGGGGCCAGTGCTTCTCAAAAGGTGAGGCTGGACCAGCAACATCAGCATTGCCAGGGAGTTTGCTAGAAAACACACATTTTTGACTCTCTCCCACTCCTCCTCAGACCTGCTGAAAGAGAAACCCTGAGGCCCAGCAGTCTGGTTTAACAAGCTCTCCAGGTAATTGAACTAAAGTTGGAAAATCCTGATGTAGGCTTTCAAAAAGTGATTGTTAAGGTGAACAGAAGGGAGCCAATATTCAAAATGCTAAGTGATCACAAGAAGTCAGAAGCCAAGGTCTAGCCCCAGAAAGGGTGAGAAGAGCTGATGAGCAGGAAAGACTGGGGAAAACCCATCCTGTAAGGAGCACAGTGGGATTCTGAGGACACAGTTGAGTGTTCCAGACAGGACAGCCTCTGGAGCTCCAACAGGGTTGCAGGCCAGCCTGTGAACCCTTGTTCCCTTTCTTGCTCCTCAGTGAAGCCTAAGTTTACCTTCCTTCATGTCTGACTGCTTGCAAATCTATCGAATCTTGTGGAAACTGTTTTTTTCCCCCAAATAAATAATATTTAGACTTAAAGTATTTAGAATCTAAACATAAACTTTTACAATGAATTAAGTGTATAAGATCCTATTGAAAATAATGGAAAATATTTTCTATTCACATAGGTTATCCGTGAAAAAGAGTAATTGCTATGTTATAATTACGAGCAGTATAAATAGACCTGCTTTTATGCTTTTAATGAGGGTTTTGAATATATTTGACCAAGGTATTAGGAATTATAATACAGCAACCTTTTCAATATCAGTAACAATATCTAAATCTTATATTGCTTTTTACAGATTCCAATGTTTTCATGTTTATTCACTCAATCTGATTTCTACACACAGCAGATCAAAAAAAGTTGTGAGTTCAGCTTTCTCCACTGTTTGGAGGATACAGCTTTAGAGAGGTGTGAAGCTGAGACCATTGGCATTTGGACATCAGTGGACACTGTGAGGTGCTGCATCATTTTAAGACTGGAGTCCACAGCACTTGTGAGGAGGAGGATGACAAACATCATCTGTCTAGGCTCAGTCTGGAAGAATTTCTTCAACACTCAGCTGGGGCGCCATCCACAATCTCCTGGAAACGCTCCAACCCTGTAATTATATTCTGCCTCTCAAAATCAGACTTCGTTTTCTAATTCAATAATGCTCCATTTTATCATGCTCATTTTAGATACTTTCGTCTCTCATTTCAAGAGTTTAAATAACAGACAACTATCACGACTTTGGGAGGAGGTAGGTGAGACAGAGCAGTGCTCCAGAATTAGGTCCCACCCCCGAGGCCTCTCTCAGCAATCAGGCTAAGACACCCCACAGGCTGTCTCTTTCTGCCTCCCCTTTCCCACAACACAATCACCAGCTTCTCCAATGCATCACCTGGCCTGAATGCATCGCCTGGAGCATTGCCTGGAGCATTGCCTGGCCCGAAGGGCAGCACCACCCCATGGGACCATCCTGGATGATTAGGAAAGAAGAAACTATTTCTGCCAGACTTTCTTTGTAGTTTCGTTTCAGAAACCTCATTTAGTTCTTCAGCTGTTTTAAGCAATGTTTCTGAAAGAAAAAACTATCATTTAGGAGAATCGTTTGTTGATGCTCATATGTTGCCTTTGAGTGTTACCCCTTCACAGTTGCTATGGGGAGATACAAGCAAAACAAAACAAAACAAAACAATACAAAACAAAACCCAGTAGATTTAGTTCCTCTTATTACTCATTCCATTAATAACCCTTGAGTACTTATTATATACAAGGCAATGTAGAATATGAATCCATGAATCACATCTAGAATTTGTCTATAAGAAACATGGGCTATAAAAATAGGCTGTGTTTACTAGGCTGATAACAAATCCTTTCTAAAACTTATCCTACATGAGGTAAAATCAATGCAGAGGTCAAGAATCTCAAGCGGTATACAGTCTAGGTGAGGCCATAAAGATGAATCTCAGGACAGACCTGCTTCAACTGAACTAGACATGTTACTATTAGAATAGTTCCACTGGAGAACTGGTTGTTTAAAGACAGTTCAGACACAAATCTTTTGCTATACAAAGAAAAGAAGACCCCAGATTTAGAGTTACGTCTATTGTTAAGTGCAGAACAGCTGCATGCTATGTAAGGGTTGTTCACTTTCAATCCCCAGGGCACCATTTACATAGACTGGGACATGGCCTGCAACGTGCAGTCTATGCAATTGCATGCAATAGCTCTATATGAATGTTTCTGGAAAAAAATAGACTTTATCTGAAAGGATGACTTACACCTCCTAATTTAACTATTCACATTTTGGGATTTGCTTGGAGCCAAACCAGATTTCTGGCTTTTTGCTGCCAAACCAGATTTTAGGAAAATCCTGCAAATATGGGTTTGACCAAAGTTTTGTACTCTTAACCTCCTGCTAAAATGGTCTAGTCCCCACTTTTAGTAACAATCTCACCCCCGCCATCACTCTAAATATCCTAACTGGGAAAGCTACCTATGGACTTTTCTCTCTGGTCAATGATTATGATCTTTTCCCTTTTTTCTTTGCAAAACCTTTCTGTTTTCTGTTCTCTGCTTGAAAACTGAAAATATAGTTTATATTCTGGGTTGAAGATGTTAATGTGCTTTATAATTACTTCAGATAATATACATGCCTTGGACAAATGACTGTTTAACTCCCTGTCCTCAGGTTGTGGTTTTTGGCAAGAGCAATTTTTTTTTCATAACCTTTGTCTTCTGACCCTCCATTAATCCACAGTTTACACCTTCCCTTCCTTACCCTTAGGTCTTTTCTTTCTTTTTTTTTTTTTTAATTATACTTTAAGTTCTAGGGTACATGTGCATAATGTGCAGGTTTGTTACATATGTATACATGTGCCATGTTGTTGTGCTGCACCCATTAACTCGTCATTTACATTAGGTATATCTCCTATTGCTATCCCTCCCCCCTCCCCCCACCCCACAACAGGCCCCGGTGTGTGATGTTCCCCTTCCTGTGTCCATGTGTTCTCATCGTTCAATTCCCACCTATGAGTGAGAACATGCGGTGTTTGGTTTTTTGTCCTTGTGATAGTTTGCTGAGAATGATGGTTTCCAGCTTCATCCATGTCCCTACAAAGGACATGAACTCATCCTTTTTCATGGCTGCATAGTATTCCATGGTGTACAGGTGCCACATTTTCTTAATCCAGTCCATCATTGATGGACATTTGGATTGGTTCCGTCTTTGCTATTGTGAATAGTGACACAATGAACAGCGTGCATGTGTCTTTATAGCAGCATGATTTATAATACCCTTACATCTTTTCTCACTCTAACTTCCCCAGGACTTCCTCTCAGTACACATCTGTAAGTTTAAGTCATTCCTACTTCATAGCCCTTCATAATCCTTCATCCACAGGTTGGATGAAAGTATAGATTGGTAAAAGGAGACAGGAGACTCCGTGATGGCCTTTGGAACTCCAGGTCCTGTGGAGTAGAGGGAGAGGAGTAGAGATGAAGCTGAGGTCTTCAAGTGCAGATGGGGTGGAGGTAATACTTCAAGTGCTGTGATGCATTCTCATGAAAGTAAGATGTAGAAACTCTCTTGATGACTTCAACTTTGAAATGCAACTTTTCTATCAGATGTGTATATATACTCTTTATGCACGTAAATACTCATTTCCCAAAGGAGACGTTAATCTTTGTCTAAGCCCTAAAGATGGAGATACTTTTCTTATTTATTTACTTATTTATTTTTTAATTTACTTCAAGTTCTGGATACATGTGCAGAACGTGCAGGTTTGTTATATAGGTATACATGTGCCATGGTGGTTTGCAGCACCTATTAATCCATCATCTAGGTTTTAAGCCCCACATGCATTAGGTATTTGTCCTAATACTCTCCCTCCCCATACCCCACGACCCCCGACAGACCCCAGTGTGTGATGTTCCCCACCCTGTGTCCATGTGTTCTCATTGTTCAACTCCCACTTATGAGTATTTTATTCTCTTTGTAGTAATTGTGAATGGGAGTTAACTCATGATTTGGCTCTCTGTTTTTCTATCATTGGTGTATAGGAATGCTTGTGATTTTTGCACATTGATTTTGTATCCTGAGACTTTGCTGAAGTTGCTTTTCAGCTTAAGGAGATTTTGGGCTGCAGTTTTTGGTTTTGTGTCCTTGTGATAGTTTGCTTAGACTGATGGTTTCCAGCTTCATCCATGTCCCTGCAAAGGACATGAACTCATCCTTTTTTTATGGCTGCATAGTATTCCATGGTGTATATGTGCCACATTTTCTCGATCCAGTCTATCATTGATGGATATATGGGCTGGTTCCAACTCTTTGCTATTGTGAATAGTGCTGCAATAAACATACGTGTGCATGTGTCTTTATTGTAGAATAATTTATAGTCCTTTGGGTATATGCCCAGTAATGGGATTGCTGGGGCAAATGGTATTTCTAGTTCTAGATCCTTGAGGAATTGCCATACCATCTTAATAAATTTGTTATTTGTAGATTCTGGATATTAGCCCTTTGTCAGATGGGTAGATTGCAAAAAATTTCTCCCATTCTGTAGGTTGCCTGTGCACTCTGATGATAGTTCCTTTTACTCTACAGAAGATCTTTAGTTTAATTAAATCCCATTTGTATATTTTGGCTTTTCTTGCCATTGCTTTTGGTGTTTTAGTCATGAGGTCTTTGCCCATGCCTATGTCCTGAATGGTATTGCCTAGGTTTTTTTCTAGGGTTTTTATGGTGTTAGGTCTTACATTTAAGTCTTGAATCCATCTTGAGTTAATTTTTGTATATGAGGTAAGGAAGGGATCCAGTTTCAGCTTTCTGCATATGGCTAGCCAGTTTTCCCAGCACCATTTATTAAATAGGGAATCCTCTCCCCATTGCTTGTTTTTGTCAGGTTTGTCAAAGATCAGATGGTTGTAGGTGTGTGGTGTTATTTCTGAGGCCTCTGTTCTGTTTCATTGGTCTATACCTCTGTTTTGGTACCAGTACCATGCTGTTTTGGTTACTATAGCCTTGTAGTATAGTTTGAAGTCAGTTAGCATGATGCCTCCAGCTTTGTTCTTTTTGCTTAGGATTGTCTTGGTTATTCGGGCTCTTTCTTGGTTCCATATGAACTTTAAAGTAGTTTTTTCCAATTCTGTGAAGAAAGTCTTTCGTAGCTTAATGGGGATAGCATTGAATCTCTAAATTACCTTGGGCAGTATGGCCATTTTCACGATATTAATTCTTCCTATTCATGAGCATGGAATGTTCTTCCATTTGTTTGTGTCCTCTTTTATTTCATTGAGCAGTGGTTTATAGTTCTCCTTGAAGAGATCCTTCACATCCCTTATAAGCTGGATTCCTAGGTATTTTATTCTCTTTGTAGTAATTGTGAAAGGGAGTTCACTCATGATTTGGCTCTCTGTTTGTCTATTATTGGTGTATAGGAATGCTTGTGATTTTTGCACATTGATTTTGTATCCTGAGACTTTGCTGAAGTTGCTTATCAGCTTAAGGAGATTTTGGGCTGAGATGATGGCGTTTTCCAAATAAACAATCATGTCATCTGCAAATAGGGACAATTTGACTTCCTCTTTTCCTAATTGAATACCCTTTATTTCCTTCTCCTGCCTGATTGCCCTGGCCAGAACTTCCAACACTATGTTGAATAGGAGTGGTGAGAGAGGGCATCCCTGTCTTGTGCCGGTTTTCAAAGAGAATGCTTCCAGTTTTTGCCTGTTCAGTATGATATTGGCTGAGGGTTTGTCATAAATAGCTCTTATTATTTGGAGATATGTTCCGTCAATACCTAGTTTATTGAGAGTTTTTAGCATGAAGCGCTGTTGAATTTTGTTGAAGGCCTTTTCAGCGTCTATTGAGATAATCAATTGGTTCTGTTTATATGCTGGATTACGTTTATTGATTTGTGTATGTTGAACCAGGCTTGCATCCCAGGGATGAAGCCCACTTGATCATGGTGGATAAGTTTTTTGATGTGCTGCTGGATTTGGTTTGCCAGTATTTTACTGTGGATTTTTGCATCGATGTTCATCGGGGATATTGGCCTAAAATTCTCTTTTTTTGTTGTGTTTCTACCAAGCTTTGTTATCAGGATGATGCTAGCCTCATAAAATGAGTTAGGGAGGAATCCCTCTTCTTCTATTGATTGAAATAGTTTCAGAAGAAATGGTACCAGCTCCTGTTTGTACCTCTGGTGGAATTCAGCTGTGAATCCATCTGGTCCTGGACTTTTTTTAGTTGGTAGACTATTAATTGTTGCCTGAATTTCAGAACCTGTTATTGGTCTATTCAGAGATTCAACTTCTTCCTGGTTTAGTCTTGGGAGGGTGTATGTGTCCAGGAATTTATCCATTTCTTCTAGATTTTCTAGTTTATTTGTGTAGAGGTCTTTATAGTATTCTCTGATGGTAGTTTGTATTTCTGTGGGATCGGTGGTGATATCCCCTTTATCATTTTTTATTGTGTTTATTTGAATCTTCTCTCTTTTCTTCTTTGTTAGTCTTGCTAGCGGTCTGTCTATTTTGTTGATCTTTTCAAAAAACCAGCTCCTGGATTCATTGATTTTTTGAAGGGATTTTTGTGTCTCTATCTCCTTCAGTTCTGCTCTTAGTTATTTCTTGCCTTCTGCTAGCTTTCGAATTTGTTTGCTCTTCCTTTTCTAGTTCTTTTAATTGTGATGTTAGGGTGTCAATTTTAGATCTTTCCTGCTTTCTCTTGTGGGCATTCAGTCCTATAAATTTCCCTCTACACACTGCTTTGAATGTGTCCCAGAGATTCTGGCACATTGTGTCTCTGTTCTCATTGGTTTCAAAGAACATCTTTATTTCTGCCTTCTTTTCCTTATTTACCCAGTAGTCACTCAGGAGTAGGTTGTTCAGTTTCCATGTAGTTGTGTGGTTTTGAGTGAGTTTCTTAATCCTGAGTTCTAATTTGATTGCACTGTGGTCTGAGAGATAGTTTGTTGTGATTTCTGTTCTTTTACATTTGCTGAGGAGTGTTTTACTACCAATCATGTGGTCAATTTTAGAATAAGTGCGATGTGGTGTGAGAAGAGTGTATATTCTATTGATTTGGGGTGTAGATTTCTGTAGATGTCTATTAGGTCCACTTGGTGCAGAGCTGAGTTCGAGTCCTGGATATCCTTGTTAGCCTTCTGTCTCGTTGATCTGTCTAATGTTGACAGTGGGGTATTAAAGTCTCCCATTATTATTATATGGGAGTCTAAGTCTCTTTGTAGGTCTCTAAGGACTTGCTTTATGAATCTGGGTGCTCCTGTATTGGGTGCATATATATTTAGGATAGTTAGCTCTTGTTGAATCGATCCCTTTACCATTATATAGTGGTCTTCTTTGTCTCTTTTGATCTTTGTTGTTTTGAAGTCTATTTTATCAGTGAGTAGGATTCCAACCCCTGCTTTTTTTCTTTTTGCTTTCCATTTTCTTGGTAGATCTTCCACCATCCCTTTATTTTGAAACTATGTGCATCTGTGGACATGAGATGGGCCTCCTGAATACAGCATACTGATGGGTCTTGAGTCTCTATCCAATTTGCCATTCTGTGTCTTTTAACTGGGGCATTTAGCCCATTTACATTTAAGGTTAATATTGTTATATTTGATCCTGTCATTATGATATTAGCTGGTTATTTTGCCCGTTAATTGATGCAGTTTCTTCATAGAGTCAATGGTCTTTACCATTTGGCATGTTTTTGCAGTGTCTGGTACCAGTTGTTCCTTTCCATGTTTAGTGATTCCTTCAGGAGCTCTTGCAAGGCAGGTCTGGTGGTGACAAAATCTCTGAGCATTTGCTTATCTGTAAAGGATTTTATTTCTCCTTCATTTATGAAGCTTAGTTTGGCTGGATATGAGATTCTGGGTTGAAAATTCTTTTCTTTAAGAATGTTGAATATCGGCCCCCACTCTCTTCTGGCTTGTAGGGTTTCTGCTGAGAGATCCACTGTTAGTCTGATGGGCTTCCCTTTGTGGATAACCTGACCTTTCTCTCTGGCTGCCCTTAACATTTTTTCCTTCATTTTAACCTTGGTGAATCTGACAATTATGTGTCTTGAGGTTGCTCTTCTCAAGGAGTGTCTTTGTGGCATTCTCTGTATTTCGTGAATTTGAATGTTGGCCTGCCTTGCTAGGTTAGGGAAGTTCTCCTGGATAATATCCTGAAGAGTGTTGTCTAACTTGGTTCCATTCTCCGTGTCGCTTTCCAGTACACCAATCAAACTTATATTTGGTCTTTTCAAATAGTCCCATATTTCTTGGAGGCTTTGTTCATTTCTTTTCACCCTTTTTTCTCTAATCTTGTCTTCTCACTTTATTTCATTAATTTGGTCTTCAATCACTGATATCCTTTCTTCCACTTGATTGAATCAGCTATTGAAGGTTGTACATTTGTCATGAAGTTCTCATGCCTTGGTTTTCAGCTCCATTAGGTCATCTAAGGTCTTCTCTACACTATTTATTCTAGTTAGCCATTCATCTAACAGTTTTTCAAGGTTTTTAGCTTCCTTGTGATGGATTAGAACATGCTCCTTTAGCTTGGAGAACTTTGTTATTACCGACCTTCTGAAGCCTACTTCTGTCAACTCGTGAAACTCATTCTCCATCTAGTCTTGTTCCCTTGTTGGCGAGGAGCTGTGATCCTTTAGAGGAGAAGAGGTGCTCTGTTTTTGGGAATTTTCAGCTTTTCTGCTCTGGTTTCTCCCCATCTTTGTGGTTTTATCTACCTTTGGTCTTCGATGTTGGTGACCTACAGATGGGGTTTTGGTGTGGATGTCCTTCTTGTTGATGTTGATGCTATTCCTTTCTGTTTGTTAGTTTTCCTTCTAACAGTCAGATCCCTTAGCTACAGGTCTGTTGGGGTTTGCTGGAGGTCCACTCCTGACCCTGTTTGCCTGGGTATCACCAGGGGAGGCTGCAGAACAGCAAATCAGGCTGCAGAACAGCCTGATCCTTCCTCTGGAAACTTCGTACCAGAAGGGCATCTGCCTGTTTGAGTGTCTGTTGGCACCTACTGGGAGGTGTTTCCCAGTGAAGCTACACGGGGGTCAGGGACCTGCTTGAGGAGGCAGTCTGTCCTTTCTCGGAACTCAAACGCCATGCTGAAAGAACCATTGCTCTCTTCAGAGCTGTCAGACAGGGACATTTAAGTCTGCAGAAGCTGTCTGCTGCCTTTTGTTCTACTATGCCCTGCCCCCAGAGGTGGAATCTATAGAGGCATTAGGCTTTGCTGAGCTGCAGTGGGCTCTGCCCAGTTCCTGCTTCCCAGCCTCTTTGTTTATACTGTTGAGCTACTCAAGCCTCAGCAATGGTGGACAACCCCCGCCATCCAGCTGCAGCATCGCAGGTCGATCTCAGACTGCTGCGCTAGCAGTGAGCAAGGCTCCATGGTCGTGGGACTGGCTGAGCCAGGCACGGGAGGGTATCTCCTGGTCGGCCGGTTGCTAATACCGTGGGAATAGCGCAGTATTTGGTCAGGAGTGAACTGTTTCTGCAGATACAGTCTGTCATGGCTTCCCTTGGCTAGGAAAGGAAAATCCCCCAACCCCTTGAGCTTCCTGGGTGAGGCGACGCCCCTCCCTGCTTTGGCTTACCCTCCATGGGCTGCATCCACTGTCCAACCAGTCCCAATGAGATGAACCCAGTACCTCAGCTGGAAATGCAGAAATCACCCACCTTCTGCATCAATCTCACTGGGAGCTGCAGACCGGAGCTGTTCCTATTCAGCCATCTTGGAAGTGACTACCATGGTCTTCTTTATTGACTGTGGAACTTACCCTTAGAACAGTTTCTCAAATCATCTTTTGATTGATTGCATTTGTGCATCTGTTTGTAATTTTTATTTTTATTTATTTTTTATTTTTTTGAGATGGAGTCTCACTCAGGCCCTGTTGCCCAGGCTGGACTGCAGTGGCGCGATCTTGGCTTACTGCAAACTCTGCCTCCCAGATTCAAGCAAGTCTCCTACCTCAACCACCTAAGTAGCTGGGATTACAGGTGTGCACCACCATGCCCGGCTAACTTTTGTATTTTTAGTAGAGACAAGGTTTCACCACGTTGGCCAGGCTGGTCTCAAACTCCTGACCTCAAGTGATCCACCCACCTCGACCTCCAAAAATACTGGGATTACAGGCATGAGCCACTGCTCCCAGCTTGTTTGTGAATTTTTTTTAAAAGAGGGACTCTCAACCACTTTTAACTGAACTATTTTGTATTTGAGAATGCCAAACTGTTGCCTTTAAATTTGAGAAACATTGGTGACTATTTTTCCCCCAAAACTCAGAGCCTTTGCCTTCAAGTAAAAGATGGTTTCATTTTTCCTGTTACAGTGATTATATATATATATTTATTGATTTCCGGATGTTTTATGATTATTATCTCCTTAATTATATTCTCACAATAATTCTGCATGGACTATACTGTCTTTCCTATTTCATTGGTCAAGAAGTTGAAGGTAAGAGAGGTTAATAATTCATAAGGTCATACACATATAAGTAGTGAAGTCTTGATGTGTGCATAGGACCCCTTGTTTCCAGTGTCTTCCCTTTCTCTTCTCTGCCATATGTCTTCTCCTGGATGTAGAGAATCTGGGAATGAGGTAAAAATAAGGCTATGTGAGTTGTGGTCAGTTTGGGGGATCAGAAAGAAAAAGCTGATTTTTGCCTTCTAAATTCTATTACCAGACATGTAAGAAAATACTATTTCCAAGAATCCTGAAATCAAAAGTAAATAATGCCATTGAAATTAGAGAATATTTCTTAGCCCTATGCTCTACGGGAAGATTTCTTTTGAGGTTGACAGTTTCTTGGAATTCTGATGGCTGGGCATAATGCACTTTGCTCTGTCATGTTACTGTAAAAAATGTGTTCTGTTTAGGAAAATTAAAGGCATTACATCAAGATCCATAGTCTTATGTCAGCTCCATTATCTTGAATCATATTTAATAGCAACATGATATTTCTGGTTATGAACTCTCCTTTGGTTTGGTGTTTAAAGTGTGTCTTAAGCCTAATCAATTCTTGTGACTGTATGTTCTACAAAGTCAGGTTTCTTGAGTCAAATGGTGAAGCATTGAGCATCTAAGAGCAGAGTCTAGAATAGCTAGAATAATGATCACACACACACATGTGTGTGTGTATATATATATATATATATATAATCTGATAAGAATTAATGATTCATAGATCACAAATGGAATACATAACCCTGGTGATCATTTCATTACTTGTGGTCTCCAGAAAATGCAGAGAAGGGATGTTAAATTATATGATGTATGAAAACCAAAAGGATCTCTTTTGCACGGAAAACTCAAGTTGCAGGTTCTGCCTCTGAACTCTACACGTTCAGAAAGGGTGGCCTGGGTCTTCAGAGTGAGTTTGAAGGCAGCCTGACATGCCATGTCCCTACGGGACCTTCCACAGCACGCATCCTCTCTATTACTTCTTGGCACCTCATAAATTGGTGACATTAATTATTTAATTGATTAACTTCTTACTTATTAATCTCTACGAATAGAATTTTGCTTTAAAAGGGACCGGTATACCCTATATATTGTATAGTTCTTGGCACATATAGGCATTCAAAAATATTTGTAAAACATTATGTTTTCTGTAAGTCTTGTCTTCTGAACTAAGTTATAAACTACCAAAGAACAGAGTTTATAGTTGATACTCTGAATGGCCCATTGGACACAATAGTGCTGAGCTGAGAGCAGGATCTCAAGGGCAATTTGTTATACTGAGTTGAATTATACCATATGGAACTACCCACATGAAGGTCTGCCTTCCTGGCTTCTGGCTCTGTGCTTCCATAGTTCTTTGTACATGCTTCTTTTATAGCCTCTAATCAACCCTTTTTTAATTTTTTGTTCCTACATCTGACTGCCTCTCAATATTTTGTGCTAAGAGCATTTATATCTCCTTTCTTCGTTGATAATTTTGCACATTGCAAATGATGAATAAGAAAATGGAACTAACATTATATTAATTGGCTGCTATGTCAGGCATGCGGCTATACTATGGACTTTACAGATGTCAATTCAATTAATCCTCAAAATCCTATGAAGTTGGTAGTTTAATCTTCATTTAATAGTTAAAAAAACTGAAACTCAGGAGTTGCTTGCCCAACATCACGTATCTGGCAAGGATCAAAGCAGAGATGGGAGCCCAGTTTTTTTCAATTCTGAAGACTTTACTGACTCTTCTACTGCGCTAATCCGTTTTTGCATTAATTAATGAGTTAACAAATAGCAACAGCAGTGGTAGGTAGCAACTAAAGCTCTTGTGTTCATTAACAATGGAGCTGGAATACCCAATATGTTCTTACAAGGGAATCGTTTTCATTTCAAACTGATATCTCTAAGCAATACCCTTGGAATCATTTGTGTTGCCTCCCTTAGAATAGTCATGTTGCCTTTGAATAACAGGAGGTCCTTCTCCCATCTTGTTGAGGGAAGCTACATCTCAACAAGGTGGGAGAAGGACCTCCTGGAGTCACTGATGATAACGTTCTTTGGGAGGTTTAGTGAGAAGCTTCATTGCTGAGGGACAGGGGGTGTCATTAATTCTTGGGTTTTAGGAGTTTAAAGGAGGTATTATTCCAGAGAGGGATGGGGAAGAGTCAGACGTGAGGCTGTCCAGTGATGGGTGCTTTACAACAGCAGTCTTTAGACTTGGTCAGAGTTACTTGTGGACATACTTTTTAAAAAATCAGGTCCAGAACCTTAATTTTCATATTTCGTATTTACCTGAAATTTATCTCCCTGATAACTTGCTTGCATTTAAAACAGAGCTTTTTCTACTTTAAAAAAGAAAGATGTTTCTTCATCCATCTCAAATCTTACAAAAGTGCACATCCTCCCAGACATCTAAGGGGAAGGTTTCTTTCATAAGTAAGTTGCCATATATCCTCAGGGCTTTTAGTCTTTCATGCATTAAAAATGTGTTAAGGTTGATGTACTTGTCAGAAAGAGAGTATTTGGGTGCTGTATTGGGATTTCTGATTTCATATCTATGGTAGAGTAAGAGAGTGGACTAATGACAATATTCACTTAGTCATGTATCCTCTTTCACCCATCACCTATTGTCAAGTAATGCATTTCTGTTAAGGTAGTGTATTAGGCCTTTCTTGTATTCCCATAAAGAAATTCTTGAGAGTGGGTAATTTATAAAGAAAAGACATTTAATTGGCTCATGGTTCTGCTGGTTTTACAGGAAGCATGATGCTGGTATCTGCTTGGCTTCCAGTGAAGCCTCAGAGAGCTTTCAGTCATGCAGAGCTGAAGCAGGAGTAGGCACTTCACATGGCAAAAGCAGGAGCAAGCAAGAGAGAGTGGGAGAGATGTGCCCCCCCCGCCACCCAACTTTTAAATGACCAGATCTCATGAGAATTCACTATCACAAGGACGGTACCAAGCTGTGAAGTATTCACTCCCATGATCTAAATACCTCCCACCAGGCCCCACCCCCAGCATTGAAGATACAATTCAACATGAGATTTGGACAAATATCTAAACTACATCAGGCAGAGTCCTGTAAGAGTGAAGAAAAAGACTCAGTAAGAAACACTGAATATGAAAACTGGCTTTTTCCCCATTTTTTTCCCAGCTCTGGTTAATACTTATTTTTATGACCTCCATTGTGCTAAAAAGAAAAATATTTTCAAACAGCCAAAGAATTAGAGGTTCTTTTAAGGAATTTGGAAAGTGTTCTAGAATTATCAAAAAAAAAAGGTAGGTGATATTCAATTAAATCAACCAATTTAAAAAATTACATATGTTTTCATGTTGGTGTAATGTAAAAGCTCTGAAGCTTATTTTTGAAATCAAATTACAACATTTTCTTCCAATTGCAGGTAATCCTAATTTGGTTTAAATTTTCTACCTGCTATTGACAAGAGGTAAATTTATGTGCCAGGTGCCAGACCTATCAGTTTTTAGTAGTATATATCTTTCTTTATCATAAAGTATGCCTCAGACTAATCTATCTTTCATAATGTGATCTGCAATTTACTCAGTTTTTACAATATTCCTCTGAATACATATTAACATATTTTTGAGTTAAAAATTATAGTTGGTTTGTGGATTGGTTTGAAAATGAGGGCTGGCTTAGCCAACAAGGTTATATGTTAGTTTATCCAATATAGTTAGGATATATTAATTTATGCCCATGAAGTGACTGAGCCAAATCATCAGTGCCAAGGTTTATACAAAATATACTTAAAGCATTTGAAAAGATAAAATATTGCACCGAAGATATTGTTTGCAAGATATGTTGCAAATGGAATTTGCAACGTTTTAATATTCTCAAAACTTTCTAAGATTAGAAAGTTATTCAGGCACCTCTAAGTGAAAGAATAAAAGGCAAAAACAGCAAGTCTTGCTAAAATGAGGTAATCAAGAAAATGGCAGAGAAGCAAATCCTTTTGGTTCATCAGGTCATTTTTCATTTATTTCAGCAACAAGCAAGTAGGATACTGACATGTCCTCTTATAAGACAGTTAGATTAATTAGGAAAAGAAAAGAGAATTGGCTGTGTTTGCACTCTGAGTTAGCAGAGTACCAGGTATTCAGTTACAGAAACAGAGAGTTGAATTATCAGTGAATCCACTGGCTTCATGGAACAAATGGTTTCTAAATATTCAAATGTTTTGGTACCTGACAAATGCTTAAGCTAGTTTTTAAAAATCAACTTCAATCATTAATTTAAAAAATACCTTAAATGCTGCCTATACAGAGGTGTACCCGGCTCTGGCGAGGGGCATTGCACAAGTCAGACACAACCTCAGTCCTCAGCCACTTATCATTCAGTGGACAGTGTTCAACAATACACAGAAGAGTAAATAAATAAGCTGATATAAGACTGTGATATTCATCGTGAACACAATAATCCAAAGGAATGTGGTCAGCATTATCTGGTAAGGACAGCAGGATTGCCTTAGCATAGGCAGCCAGGGAAGTTAAAAACTGGGCTGAAGTGACCCAGTTTTTACTTCTGTTTCGTCTCTGTGACCTGAAGTGGCAGCCCCGTGAGAATCCCCAGGTGAAGGTAAGATGCAGAACGCCATGAGGTGAGGATGAACCTGGACTCTTAATTAGCCCTGCATCTCAGATTATAAGAATAATCTTCCATTTTAATGGGTCTTTACAACTGACATGGGCTTTATAGATGCTGAGATTTCTGAGTTCCATAGTTTGTCTTACGTGTTCATTCTGCAAGAAGTAGTATTTCTAGAATCTCTACTGTGCATAGACTCTCCAACTACAAGTTTTCCTTCCCTGTGGTCTGCTCTCAAAATTAGAGATAAAAAATACAACTTTTATTTTTGTGTAATCATCAGGTAATAGATGTCTATTGTGAACATGCTGGTGGAAAAATAAATACCAAAAAGGAAATAATTAAAGCTTATAAGAAAATAATACTGAAATATGCCAAATAATAACAAAATATAATAAAAAATATAAAAAGAAAAAGAAACACCAGATGGATTTCCCATTCTTGAAATGAACCACTATTAACAGTTGTGTGATTTTCTTTGTTTCTAATCTTCAAAACAAACATATACACCCATACAATTACACATATACATATAATGAACAGTGCATTTTTTCCCTTCAATTTCAGTTTAACATATAAATCTACTATCTCTCTATCTATCTATCTATCTATCTATCTATCTATCTATCTATCTGTGTATCAATCATCATTTATCTATTTATCTAACATCACATCACTTCTCAACCTTTTGGCTAAGAACAAGTGTAGTATCTGTTCTTATCAGTTTAATATCTATCTACCTACCTACCTACCTACCTATCATCAGATATAAAAGCGGAGAAGGTAATGGCTTACTTGGTGCCATTATAGGAACAACAGATGTCTTGGACTGCTTCTTTGATTAGGCCTAATATATTGACAATGTTACTTCTTTGTTTAGGTTAAGGCATTAAAAATTTATTCATAAAATAAATCAATCTATTCATAAATAGAAATAGTCTTTTTAGAAGGCATCACTTTAATGCATTATAAGTCACCCTGTCCTCACCTAGAATGATCTTTTTATATCAGTCAGCCGGCACAACCCTGTCAACATACTTCTGAGCATGTGACACAGACATTGGACACGAATATTATGGGACTAGAACAACTTAGGAAGTGTGTGAGCTATAAAGCCTTTATTTTTTTTCTTTCACCTCCCCTTCCTATTTCCCTAGAAAGATCTACCATTTCTTCCTTTTTGTCTCCACATATGTTTCTTTGATGGCACATATGTCTTATTATATTTATTTGAGTGGCAGAAGTAAGTTTCCTACGTAAGAGGCGGTATAGAAAACACCGAATTTCTTAATTTTTAAAATCAATCTAGATCAACCCTTGCTTGAGAGAGTATAGAACTAAATCAGTCTCCTTTCTCCTTTCTGCTTCTCCCTGTCCCTGTGATAACAGAAGCACCTACTGCTTACCTGAGAAAGGTGGAAGGACGTCTATCATGCCAGCCACTCATTGACGTGCCCGTTTCCTGAACCCTTTTGGGCTTCTCCAGGGCATATGGCGATTTCCAAGCAGGCGACTCCATTTTCTTAGTGTCTACTATGAACCTAGAACTCTTTCACCAGTGGGTTGTGGTCTCATCATTTCCCACCAAAGCTTTTCCTCCTCTGGTGAGAAAGACATTGGGTATTATTCACAGAAACCCCCAAACCTAAAACCATTGTTCTTTCCCATGGTCTTCAGGTATCTTTCCTCTTTTAAAACTCCAGCTTCGGTTTTTCTCAATGGTTCTAGACTCCTAAAGAAAACTGTGGGTTAAAAAAGATGAACAATTGCCCTGCAACTTCTGCTTTTGTCCCAGATACCAAGTTTTTGACAATTTTCCAAGACTATGAAAGTAGCAATATGAAGAAAATTATTTCAACTTAATTTCCAGTTGAGATGTGAGAAAACAGCAAGAAGTTAGCATCACAATAAATAATCTAGCACATTTGTTTACATGTCTATGCCACTCTACAGCACTGCAACCCCACTAGCTCTGGGTCCCTCAAAAGAACATAGACCTTAGCAAATAGCAATGTGTCCCTACAAATGTTCATTGAATAAATAAACACATTCATTATTACTTACAGCTTAAAACCACAATAAAACACATTTTGAAATTTCCTTGTCTCTCAGTGACCTACAATTTGAGGATGAAAGCCCTATATCTGGCCAAGTCAGTTTTTCCCACTTTCTAGTGAAAGTGGAGAGTAAACCAAACCTTTGTACATCAATATTTTGACTGTGTAGGTTCTGGGAAGAATAATAATTTGAGAGCCTGAAACAGTACGGAATATCTGGGTAGCTGATTATTTTCCTTGAGAAAGACCTTATAAGCAGGCATAATTTATATCAACTTTATCAAAGCTTCTCACATTGAAGAATTAGTTGATGCGAGCTATGGCTGAGACCTCAAGGAGAGCTGAGACATCGTGGTGGGCTGGTGAGGAGGAAGCAGAGGCATCTGGAGTGGGAGGAATTTTCAGTGCTTTGTGCTGACCCCTTGCATAGGGAAGGCAATGGGTAGTTAGCAATCAAATAGGTGTTGAAATGTCTGAGAAAACTCAGGGTGGCTCTGGGCTTACCTCAGTCGGTTTCCTAGGTAAGCTGATCCTGGGGGTGGGGACTGGGGCAGGAATTTCTAGTGGTGACAAGGATCTTCTGAGTTATTTTGAATGTTGCAGGAAGGTGATTTTACAGTTAGGGCATTTATCAAGTAAATTTTAATTCAGTATTCAAACTACTAATGTTATAAAGTTCAAAACCTAGATTTAAAAAGCCTTTAAGTCTGCATGTAATTTCTTAACTTCTTTAAATAGATAATTAATTTGAGTGGTATGTTTCCTTTTTGTTTTAGAATTTCAGTGGGAGCCTTAAAATGGGGGAATGATAGAAAAGTGCTGGAGTCGTCTATATGGGAGTTAATAGAAAATATCAAAACTGGCCCTGGGACCCTCATCCCCACTTCTTCATCAGTCCATGTAAAAGAGGAAAATAAAGGCCGGGCGCGGTGGCTCACGCCTGTCATCCCAGCACTTTGGGAGGCCGAGGCAGGTGGATCACGAGGTCAGGAGATGGAGACCATCCTGGCTAACACGGTGAAACTCCATCTCTACTAAAAATACAAAAAAAAAAAAAAAATTAGCCAGGCGTGGTGGCAGGTGCCTGTGGTCCCAGCTGCTCGGGAGGCTGAGGCAGGAGAATGGAGTGAACCCGGGAGGCGGAGTTTGCAGTGAGCAGAGATTGTGCCAGTGCACTCCAGCCTGGGCATCACAGCGAGACTCTGAAAAAAAAAAAAAAGAAAAAGAAAAAGAGGAAAATAAAGTATGGGAAGACAGAATGAAGGGAATTAATAGTGGTCCAGAGCCCTTAGAATTTTTTCCTTCCTCTACTTGCCCTATCTAACTGAAGAGGGCTCAAAGAATTCAGTCGTAGAGACTGAAGATGCCTGTAAGGGGGTGGGGCATTGATATCTTACCCTCTGGCTGAAGGTTTGCTGAGATGCAGATAGAGCCCACTGCATGGTGAGAGAGCGCTCTCGGGAGAACCAGACATATGTACCTAGTGGGTTGGAAGAATTCTGAAGCATGGAGGTGAGTTGTAGGGACCCATGATGCCGGAGCAAGGAGAGATGACAGAAGTCGGAAAAAGCCTATACTTCCACAGTTTGACAAGGCAGGAATGCATGCAATTCCCTATGCAAAAGGAATGTTTAAGGCACACACTTGGCTGAAGCTAAGTTGAAAGACTTTCTGCACAAGAAGTCGGCCTGCACAGCAGTGCCAGAATCCTGTGCTTAAGCTGAGGTTGAAACTAATTTACTTCACCACTTCATTTTATTTAGGTACTCTTTATTGACTGTGTTCTACAATTCCCCCTAAAATAACTATACAATTCTCTAGTCATCTTCCTAACAAGAATCACAAAGGAGACTGTAGTATAGTTTCAAATACCCTTCAGTTTGAAGCAGAATCTTAATCCTGCAGCAATTAGAGAGGGATTAACCCACACAGGGAGGAACTGAGAAGAACTAGGTCATGTATTCTGGTGAACCTCAGGGAAGAAGGCTGGGATTCAGGGTAGTAGAAGAGTATATCTGAGGCTCTGGGATAAAGTGATACAAGACATTTCTGGTTGGGCGTGGTGGCTGACACCTGTAATCCCAGCACTTTGGGAGGCCAAGGCGGGTCGATCACGAGGTCAAGAGATTGAGACCATCCTCGCCAACATGGTGAAACCCTGTCTGTACTGAAAATACAAAAATTAGCTGAGCATGGTGGTGCGTGCCTGTAGTCCCAGCTACTCGTGAGGCTGAGGCAGGAGAATCGCTTGAACCCAGGAGGTGGAGGTTGCGGTAAGCCGAGATCATGCCACTGCACTCCAGCCTGGTGACAGAGCAAGACTCCATCTCAAAAAAATAAAAAATAATAAAGAAATTTCTTACATAGGAAGGTTGTGGTCTTCAAGCCTTATCTTTCTCCTCTTCCTCCTCCTCCTCCTCTTTCTCCTCCTCCTCCTCTTCCTCCTCCTCCTTCTTCTTCTTCTCCTCCTCTTCCTCTTCCTCCTTCTCCTCCTCCTCCTCTTCCTCCCCCTTTTTTTGTTGCCCAGCCTGATTCTGATTCCAACATTTTACTCTTAAAATAATCTTGTCTAATTGAAGATTTTTTTTGGAGAGATTGGTATAACAATGATTTTATTAGCTTTTCTTTGTCAGCAGATTTACATTGCTTCTAAAGAGCTGTATCAACTATTCCTTAGTTTAATGATGAAAATATGATTGCTGGAATCAGTCAACACCTCCGTGGGTGTAACCTGAACATAATCAAAACATTGCTGGGTTCTGACTGAATGAAAGCAAGGTGTGGTCCAATTGCTCTGAATATCATATCAGTGTTGAAAATCACAGGTGTGGCCTGATATGACAACTCGTGACATAAAATGATTTTACCTAATAGCACATAAATTTTAAAGATCTGATAATAGTCACCTCAACAGGAAAAAGCTAAAAATATGTGTGTGTATGTATGTGTATTAGAAATATATTAGATAAAAATATGTGTGTGTATGTATGTGTATTAGATAACTTATGCAAACCACAATTATATGAATAAAATATGGATAGTTTCAAATCAATAGAGTGTTCTGCGGTCTTATGTAGAATTTGGGAGTAGGGAAAGGGAATGTTGTTCAAAGTCTATCATGACCCTATGCAATGGTCCTTTAAAGTAGACCTGTTTGTAAGACACTAAGCATGTTTACACTCAGGGGCTCTGGGTTGTCAAAAAGTTGGTAGAAATAAGGTTGAGGAATAAGGTTACTTACTGTTGATAGGTACATAGGAACACTTTATAGACTTAAGGAAACAAGACCAGTTCCACACTCTATAAAATGGCTAGGCTTGGTCTTTTTACATATTGCCAAGCAAAGCTTGGATTGCGTTAGTGTCTGGCTACAGCTGGACCATGCCACGGAATTCCTCTGTGATGGCAGCCAACCACAACTGGGAAAAGAGAGGAACTATTAGACATAAAAAAAGAACTGGAACTAGCACATAGAATTAGTGAGAGAGCAAGTGACATAGCAGATAGAGTTATAAAAGCAATAGAATTATGTGACTCTAGTTTGAATTCACTGTTTCCTTTATCACTGTAAGAGGATTGGTGCCCTTTCCCAAGATAAAAGAGGCAAGTGAAAAGTTACTCAACTGGAGACAATAACTAGGATTTTGTACACTTGAAAGGCTTTTAAGATTTTCTTGGATACATATTTATGGCAGAAAATATTTGTTTTGCTCAAAGTTTTCTAAGCTTTTGCAAACCTGAAGTCATTGTATTAATCAAGAATGTTCAACTGCAAAATATGGAGCACATGGTTTGTCCTAGATTAAAAACCTAAAGCTGCATATGCCACCCACACATAAGAAGAAGGCTGGCAGTAACAGTCCAGGGCAGTGGGTTTAGCAATGACTCCAGGGACCCACGTTCCTCCCATGTTTCTATGCCTCATTCTTAGTGTCTTGGCATTTATGCTTATGTATGCTGCTCTATGGGCACTGGAAGTTGCCACATCTCTAGGCTTTGTGACTGCATTCCAGACAGAACAGGTTGCTTCAGCAGATTTCTGCTTATATCCCAGACCTATGTTATATGCCCACACCTAGCTGAAAAGGGAACTAAATAAACCTGTTTCCAGCTTTTAAGTCCTTGAGAACAGTCAGGAAAGGAGAAGCGTATTGAAAGTGCAAATTGAGGCTGGGCGCGGTGGCTCAGCCTGTAATCCCAGCACTTTGGGAGGCCGAAGCAGGCGGATCACGAGGTCAGGAGATCGAGACCATCCTGGCTAACACGATGAAACCCCGTCTCTACTAAAAACAGATACAAAAATTAGCTGGGCGTGGTGGCAGGCATCTGTAGTCCCAGCTACTCCAGAGGCTGAAGCAGGAGAATGGCGTGAACCTGGGAGGCGGAGCTTGCAGTGAGCCGAGATAGTGCCATTGCACGCCAGCCTGGGAGACAGAGCGAGACTCCATCTCAAAAAAAAAAAAAAAAAGAAAAAGAAAAAAAAAGAAAGTGCAAGTTACATCACCCAGCCTGTAGTGTTGGCCCACAGCCATTCCAAGGATGAATATTATATAAGCAATTATTAGATCACACAATATGTACTGAATTATTAACATTTCTCATCTCCTAAATATAGTAATATGAGAGCTGGTGGTTTTAAATCTTTCTTGCTTTTAGCCTAATTTATCTTAGCTTCAGCCCAGTTTCCCCTAGACCTGGGTCTGTGGTTCTGTAAAGAAATGGCAAGCTGAGTTATACTCAGGCATAGCAATTAAATTCTATTGTGCATGCCAGCTCCAGTCACTGGAAAGGGCTGGCCAGGCTGCCACGTAGAAATGAATTCTGAAGTTGCCTAGAGGCCTGGCAGGAAAGTGGGGCCTTGATGTTTTGCCATGAGAGAAAATGGAGACAATGTTTTCCTGTCGGCTGAGTGTGTGTTCTCCCTTTTCATACAAAATTCAGTTATACTGTAGACATTTCCCTGGAAAGTGTACTAGTTTTCCTCTTTCCTCCTGTAATTCTTTTAACACCAATATTTTTGAAGAAAGGGAAATGGATGCTTTTGCTTAGTAAACTGAGTTCAACTGGGAAGCCCTTACGTTGTAGAAAGGAAGGCCAGGTTGACAGTCAGCTACACTTGTTTCTTTGAGTTTAAGAAATTTACCTGGCGGTATCACCATAAATTCTATCTTCTAAGTGATGTTCAAAGAAGTGACTGTAGCCACATTAATTTTGTTGCAGTTTGTGCTATGATTCTTATCACCAATTATCAGTTGGAGCAAAGCTTTATGCCCAAATTAGCAACCTTAAATTTATCTACCCAAAGCTATTTTTGTTCAAAATTACTTACTCATATAAATGAAGTCATATTCCTTGTATTAGTCTGCTCGGCTGTCGTAACAAGATACCACAGACTGTGTGGCTAAAACAACAGAGATTTGTTTTCTCACAGTTCTGAAAGCTGGAAAGTCCAAGGTCAAGGTGCCAGCAAGATAGTTTTCATTCTGAGGCTGCTTCTCCTGGCTTGTAGGTAGCCGCCATCTTGCTGGGTGCTCACATGACCTCTTCTTTGTGTGTGGTGAAAGAGAGAAAAAGCTCTCCATTGTCTCTTGTTAGAAGTCTCTTCTTCCTATTGTATCAAGACCCCACTTTTATGACCTCATCTAACCTTGATTACCTCGTTATAGGACCTATGTCCAAATACAGATTAGGACTTCAATATATAAATTTGGGGAAACATACATCAGTTCATAGCATCTCTATAAAATAAAATTATAGGGAAGTTATAATTCTAAAACAGAAGATATATTTTTTCATTTTAGATTCAATAAAATATCTTTTATTCTAACCTGTATCGTAAGTCATGATATCCTCTGTCCACAGAAAGTTCAAGGTCTTTAGAAAGATTTGTGAGGAAGCACGAAAAGCAATCCAAATCCGTTTATTTTATCAGAGTCTTATTTTCAGCCAGAATTATTTAGCTTGA
Organism: Homo sapiens; assembly: GCF_000001405.40. NCBI lineage: Eukaryota > Metazoa > Chordata > Mammalia > Primates > Hominidae > Homo > Homo sapiens. The sequence continues at coordinate 114,427,475 of NC_000002.12, forward strand.
GAGGTCACCAAGAATAATAAATACAAGTAGTCCAAAGGTTAAGTTATTTTCTTCCACACAAACTTTAATCAGTTTTATGATTTTTAATTCTTGTTTTAATTAGAAATCAGAGGATATTGAAAATCCCCTCTAATGAGCTTTTATTTTATTTTTTTATTTTATGGGAGATGATTTAAGTAATAAGGCTTGCCAAGTGAGTATCAGTTTTTGATCAAGGAAATAGTTCTGAGCTATTCAAAAGAGTATTTAAAACTGAGGACGGAAACAAGCCTCAAATTGGTATATTTATTGTTGTGATTTAGATAAAATAATTGGACTAGAAGTTTAGAAAAAAACAACAAAAAAACAGTTTCACTTCTGATTGTCTCTCTTCTCCTCGAATAAGTCCCAAGAGAAGAATGCCTCATACAAAACTGACCAGTACCTAGGACTGGAGGGAAGAATATCTGGGTTTGACTATACCACCAATACTCGCCAGGTGTGTGACTTCGGACAGAAGATTTAACTCTTTTGAGCCTCAACTTTCTTATTCATAAAGTGGGACTATGAATTTCTGTCTAAAACATACGAGTATATATATATTTAGAATTGTGCCAGTCATATTACTGGTATGCAGTAAATTTGATAAGAAGTCCTTTGTGGATAGATATGTATAAAACTCATAGTTGTTTAACTCCAACACACTTTTAATTTTTGGTTAAATATACAGGCACTCAAAGAATATTTGCTGAGTCAATGAGACAATCTATTATAAACAAGTGACTTATCATGTCATTTCCTTTACTCCAATATTCAGAGTTTGCCCCAATGGATCTTCCAGCCTTGGTAGTTTATGACATTTTGATACAGAATAGAATTGAAATCTACAATTTTTAGGACTGGCATCAAGGAGCAGCAAATAAAAATCTCATGTTAGTCAAGGCAAAGTTTGTGTGAATGAATAAGCCATTAACACTCCAGAAGTGTGAGCAACAGTTTTCTCTTTTTGGATTTCTTTTGTCCAAATTACAAAAGTAGTGCATATTTGTTGGAGTAAAATTTAAACAAATTAAATCCTCTATAGAATTCTAAAAAATAGAGGAAAGCCTGGCTTTCTTTCATTCTTATACTCCTTCTTATCCTACTTCCTAGGATTAAATGATGATAAAAGTTTGATACATATTTTTATCACAGCTCTTTCTCTCCGTGTCTCTCTCTCATATATTCATGCAAAGAAATTGACAGGTAGGGTTTTTCTTTTAATGAATTATATTGGACAGTAAGTAGATTTATAATTTATAAAGAAGGGAACACAGAGAGGCCTCCCAAAGAACGACTCCACATTGTTTAATTTGCTGTAGTGTGAAACCTGAAGGGTGTCTGGGACTGGGCCAGATGAATCAGTTTTTGCCCAGAATGGCTCTTCCTGGTTCACCGCAATTATATCACACAAATGACCACCTTCTCCACATCTATCCTGGCTGGCTTGATATTAATCAGTCTAGTTGAGGTCTGTTCCTTTTTACTAAACCCAAATCTGACATTAAATATTGAAACTGTTCAATACATCAATAGGACAATCGGAGAGGGCTGTTCTTTTTACTTTGCAGTTCCCAGTGACACAGAACAGCTGAAAATCTGATCACAACATGCCGTTTTGAGTTCACTTAATGTTCCCTATCTCCTAGGCTCCATAAATAAAGAATCAGTGTTTGGAGAGTGATTTCAGGGTCTCGTCCATCTTCAGTGTCTTTAAGGATGGAAAACCTGAATTGCAGGGTCGGCAACATTCCGCAGTCTCCGGCCTGAGAGCCAAAAAGAGTGAAGAGATTCTCCCTAAATCTCAGGCCTCTCTCTGGCTGGGTATTGGGCACAGATTTTAATCACTGGGTGTCGTCGACCCTTGAGTGCCATAACCTCTGTGCGGATGAAGACATTACTTTTGGAGGGGTAACAGCATATATCTGCCCACAGTCTTAGGTCTATTTTTTGGTGACTCTTGTATTTGAGAAGCTCCTGCTATGTCAGAATCATAATAATTTTTCAAGGACATTTTATGTTTTCTAAGGTTTGAGTCCTCATCAACCAGGATTAGAAGAGACACGTCAACTTTCACTCCCTTGCTGTTTTCCAGCACATTTAACATAATGCTTTAGAAAGAGTTTTCACAAACAGTAAACATCTGTGTATAATGGGGTCGACATTATTCCTGACTTTTCAACAATAGCCTAGTCAAAATCCTTTATCATCCTATGTTGTTCAAATTACTAGCACCAATTTCTTCTTTCACTCCTCCATGTTTTTCCTTTTTGGGTTTCCATTGATTTGATGACTTTTCTTAGCTTTTTGTTAGTTGCTTGCTCCAGTCTTTTTAACCTCTTCTAGAGACTGCTCTAGAATTTATCCAGAAAACCCTCTTTGCTCTTCTTTAGTATAAACACCACTCTTACCTTCAGCTTTTACAATTACAACAGAATAGCTGGACATCACTACAGAATTTTTTATTTTTTTTTGGTAGATTTTCTCATCTGGAGTCCTATTTGAAAACGTACTTTTTGTATGGTCCTTACTTTAGATCCATTGCTTAAGAAGTTTTGGATAAGTGATTTCCAAGATGATTGTAACATTTAGAGAGAGTTGGCCACAAGTGTGCCGTGCTTTTATTTCTTAATTTAACAATTATTTATGAAGACTTTACAATGTGTTATCAAGCCCTGTCTGAATCCAGTTTTTTTCAGTGAAATTGCCAACTACATGTTTGGTCCAAATTAGAGACCTCTGATGTGATCTCTCAGGTTGCCAGCTGAAGGCATGTGTACAGGCTTTCTCTGCCGCCATGCTCTGTGCCTTGGCAACTGCTCTCATCGGGCAAATGCCAGGGCTTTATGTTCTGCCTTTTATACTTTCACCATCCACTCTGTAGCTGTACTTCATCATTATTGGAGTAGGAATTATATACATTTGCACATTTTTCCTGAAACATGGTCACTAGGTTGCAAAGAATAAAAACCCATTCAAATAAATAAAGCAAAAATTGACGAATCAATGGGAATCTTCTGAAGCTAGGCCTCACAGGGCCTGTAACCAGGAACTGGAGGACTGGGGCCAGTCCCACCCCTCAGTGTTTCTCTGCTGATCTTCTTGTCTCTCCTTCAGCTGCAATTCACATTGTCTTGACTTTGGCAAATGTCGGGCCCAGTTGTGATTGTTTTAAACCCTACCCAGCTACTCAGTTTTACCAATTTTAAGTTTTCAGTAGAGACTGACTAGTTTTCCTTTTTTCCAAATATAACTTTCAGAAAGAGAAGTTTGTTTTGTTTGTATCTCTATAACTAATTCCATTAGCGGAAACTGGGGGTACTGGGCTCATGAGGTCTGTTGATTTCTTAATAGAGGCTGTTGGAACAAGTTTTCTGAGAAGGAGTTAAGAAAGTTGGAAGGACAAGATTGCTGCCTCTAGTACAATTCTATACACACGCACACACCCCACATATGTACATATATATTATCTGTTCATAAAAAAGATATGCAGATTACAAAATGGAGGTTGAGAAGCCAGCATAATACAGAAGAAAAAGCCTTGGAGTGGGAGGAAAGAGTCATGAACGCTTGAACTAGCTTTGTGAGTAATTGCTGGTGTCACTTTCTCATTTCTGAATTTCATTGTCCTAATTAATAAGTGAGGAATGTACTAGTAGTTGGTTATGCACCTTAACACCCTTTTAAATAAACGATTTTTAAAAAAATGGCTCTTATACTACATTTCTTCTTTTTTCCTATGTTAGTGGTTCTCAGACTTTTTGGTCTCAGGGACTCATATCCTTAAAAAAACAAATAAAAGATTGAGGAAATCCAAGAGCTTTTATTTATATGGGTCATGTTTATTAATGTTGACTGTATTAAAAATTAACACTAACGTTTAGAAAAAAGTGTTTATTAATTAATTTGAAAATCACAATAATATGCTAATTGTGTTTTAACGTAAGTAACATTTTTATGAAAAGTAACTTATTTCCAAAACAAAACACAGTCTCTTCAATGTCTGCATTGAAAGAAAAACAGATGGATTTTCATAACTATTTCTGCATTCAATCTTTTACAGCTTGTTGTTTTCACTGAAGTGCTTGAAGAAAATGGACCTTATGCAGAATTGTAGTTGGAAAAGGCAGAAATATTTTGTGGCCTTTTTAGATAATTGTGGTTCTTTTTCTTTGGTAGCACACCACAACTCTATTAAAGGTAGTTTCTTAAAGGTTAGTGGCAATATAGGATCTGAAACCATATCTATTAACTTTTTACTATGAAAAGTTTATTAATCTATTTTGTACTCTTTTACCCATGCACATTTCTTTAATGTCATCCATTGGTCATTTGGAAGATGCTGACTTACCTACTAATTTAGATCTTCCAAATATCAACAATTTTCACTATACAACGTTGAGAAATCATGCTTGTTAATACAGTTAATACAACCACACATGTCATCAGAAAAGTCTAAGTATTGGAAAGAAGTTAAGCTCCCATGACAGTTAGAAATTTCCTGAATTCTAATTTTGGCTTGAAAGTTCCTATTTTAACACTGGCCACAGCTATTGTCAGTTGTTTTCCTTAAAGTGTTAGGCTCACTTTGTTCATTTTAGAGAATGTATCAGGCAAATATTCAAGTGTGAATAATCACAGTGTGCCTGTCAGTTGTTCTTTCACATAAAAGTGTCATTTCATTAAAAAGCAGCTCATCAACTTACAACTTCACTGTACAACCATTGTACTTTGATTAGTAGTAGAAGTGTTTTATGCATTGTTTCACCAAGAAAAGGCTTTTGACGAGTTCGTCTACAGAGGCATTATGAGAAAGGCTATGTGGGAGGTGAATATTTTGTGATTTGCATGTCTGAAGTTAATTTTATTCTATCTTCTTATTTGATTGATAGTTTTGCTAGTTACAGAATTCTGTTAGAAATCATTTTCCCTTAGTGTGTTGTTCCATCCAGCCTGCTAGTTTCCAGAATTGCTATTGAGAAACCCATGGCTCCTCTGATTTCTTATTGTTCATACATAACACTTTTATTTTTCCTCCATGAAAGTTCTTAGCATCTTTGTCCCCAGTGCTCTAAAATTTCAGAATGGTGTTCCTCATTCAGGGTCTAGTTTTACTTTTTGTGTTGGACATTCAGTGGGCATTTTCAATCTAAAAACTCTGGCCCTTCTATTTCTAGAAAATTTAAGTCATTATTTGGTTGATGATTTCTTCCCTCCTGTTCTTTGTTTCCCTTTCTTTCTAGTACTAATATTTAGGTATCAGACCACTGCAAACAAGTCTTCTAATTTTGTTATCTTTTCCATCTCTTTAAAGACGCTCTTTTTATATGGGTTTCCTCAACTTTACGTTATACTGATCCAAAAAATTCTGATATCACATTTTTAATTACTAGTGTTTTATTTGAATTCTCTTTTATTTTTTAAAACAACATTCTAGCCTTGTTTCATGGATATAATAGCCACTGTTACTACTCTTAATAATAGTTTCTTTCATTTTTTTCTCCCTTCATAGTCCTTGCTTCCTCCAAGGACTTTTTTCTATTTATTTGACTTGGTCTCTATATTAGAGACCTTCCTCCAAGGACCTTTTTCTATTTGTTTTACTTGGTCTCTATATTAAAGATATAGAATTTCCTCGTGTCTAATAACCCTCAGTTTTCTGCCCATGATTTAGAATAGAAATGTAAAATGTAATCGAAACCTCTGCGCACATGAATAGGGTTTGCAGACTTTGGTCTCCTTGGCAGGGTGATGAGGGTGAGTTGTTAGAGTTCTTTGATGTTAATGTCTTTGGGCTTTTCCTTGGAGCAGACTCTTCCAATCTTTTGTATTGAAAATACAGGTCTGCCTACCAGAGTTTTGGAAATAAAAAACAGGAAAGGGGTAGGTTGGTCAGCATTCCATAGTCACTTGGCCACATCATCTCACTGTTCTTAAAAGACTGTCTAGGTTTTCACATGAGTCTGGAGTCCTTTTGTGCTGATACCCTCTATTTAGAGTCTCCAGAATTGAACCTTCCAGAAATCTTTTGAGAAGTCTCCAGCATTTTGCCAGAGTGGAGGATGGGCAGTTGTCTATGGGCATAGAGTGGGGAGGGGTTCCAGGGATCTATTTTTTTTCTCAAATAATGTTAAACCAATTATCATCGTTCTCTTCATCTAAATTACGCTTTGCTCCCAGTTCCAGAGATATCTGGTGCTGTCACTTCCTGTACCTTTTGATGATTCTGCAGTGCAAATATGGTTGTTTCTCAATTTTCTATAGTACCAGCTTAAGCTTGGACTGATTAATTATTTAATTAAGTCTGCTGAATTATTCAATACTCATCTTTCAGTCTTCCAAAAATTTGTTGCTGTTAAATCTTCTCTTTTTATTTCCATCCTTATAAGTTTATGTCTTCCAAAAAATATTTACTTATCTAGTGGGTGTTTTTAGGTACTGCCAAATTAGATGCATGTATCCAATTGGCTATCTTTTCCTGGTTTTGACCTTTCTTACATTTAAAAGGAGAACTAAAATGACTTAAGCACCTAAGTGTTGGACATTTCAGGTCACCAGCAAGAGCAGGACAAAAACTTGAAACTTTGGCGATCTTTAACCATGGAATTCAGGATGCTGGTTCTCTACCAAGTGGGCTTTATACTCTTCTCAAACAATTATTTAACTCCACTTCTGTGACCTTCTTTAGCTAGATCCTTATTTCTCTAGAAAATCGTTTCATTTCTCTTTGGTTCATTTGTGCTCAATTCTTCTCAGTAACAGTTTTAATCTTCCACTACTCTCTTCTAGCCCAATCCCATGTCTCATTCGTTCTCAGAAAATTATGCAAACTCTTACTTAATATGGAATCTGTTCATGTACCTCTAGTTCTCACCTGGATATCTAGACAGATCTGCAGCTTGTAGCTGGCCTCACATGAACTTCCTTATTTCCAGTCTCAGAGGAAATAAAAAGCTTCTTCCTCATAGAGACTGATCTTACCACCAGAAGTCTGAACCCCATCTCCTCAGATTTCTCCTGAAAATTACTGCATTATTATTTCCACCTTATTCCTATTTCCACTTTTCTACCTCAAAAACTCCCATGTCTCACTTTTGATGACCCAGCTCATGCTTCATGTCCTTTCTGAAGCTTCTTTGACCGTGTACACTCAGAGGTGGTTGCTTCATACATGGCACCACCATTTGACCTCATTGCCCCCATACTTGAATGTGAACTCAGTGAAGAAAAAGATCGTTATTGCTCACTTTTGTACTGCTAATGCCTAACATGTTTCTTAAAACATAGTAGGCATGCACATTTTTCTCTCAATCAACAAATGAATGCTTTAACTCTGGTGCTAAGAGCTGGAAACTTTTTGAGTTCAAGCAGTATTTTAATCAATATTCTTTAGTGAGAAAACATTATTAGAATATTCTAATTCTAAATCATTGTTTAACTTAGGAGCTCAAAAAGAAAAAATACTAATGGTGAGCTATCTTGCCACCTAAATACAATGACCTTTTATATTGTAAAAGTGAGAATACCGTTTTCCGCAAGTATAATTTTTGCAAAATTCAGAATAAAATGCAGCTTTTTGGTGTTGTTTCCCCCCTGTTGCTGTTACTCCGGACAGTATGTATTTTGCTTAAATTTTCTAATCAGGTCAGTAGTACATCTGCTGTTTCATTCCCATGCTGACTCATATCTGATAGATTTGTTTAGGGGAAGAATACAGAAAAATTTAGTAATATTTTTAGAGGAAAAAAATAGTATTTTCTATAGAATTTATGATTTTATAGTATCATAACTTTTATTTATCTGGGGTTATTACCTTTCCCAAGCATAAATTTGCCTCCTCACAGCCAAGTTTCTTAACAGTGGTTTATATTCCATGTGCCATTTTTTGCCTTTTATTTAGCTTTTGATCCATTGAAATCTAGTATTTCTTTTACCTTTCCACAAAACTGCTCTTAGCAAGGCTAAATGTGACCTAGTTACTGCTAAACTCAATGAATAGATTTTGGGTTTAATTAATGAGTTAAGTAATATAACCTGCAGTTTGTTGTTAATCTATATGCATGTGCTGAAGTGTTTCATGTTATATAAAGAATTTTGAACCGTAATCTTATCCCTCAGAGAACTTATGGACAAGTTAATACACGTAAGAACAATACAGAACTAAGTTACTAAAATCAGAATGTGATTAGTACCGTAAAAGAGGCAAAGATAAAATGTGAAAAAATCAGGAAGAAAATCTGAGGAAAGAGGCAACATTTAGATGGGCATTGAATAATATGTAGTAATTGGGGATGGCAGGAAGGGAATAAAATGAGCACTTTCCTAACCTTATTTTGTTTTCCAGGAGGTCAAAGTCAATTCTTTTAGCTTTGATTTTAAAGCCTTCTTTGAATGAGGCAATGAAGAGGCTGGAAGAGATATTTTGAATTTGGGTACTTTACTTGCCTTTTCCAAAGACTACAAACATTTAATTTGCTTTAAGACTGCTCCTTGAATTTTTATTCCAGAAGACTTGCCTTATGACCATAATTTTGTAAGATAGAACAAAATTTCCAAACCAGCACTTTGTTCTCTTATATAATGTACAAAATGCTGAAGTTACAAACCACACCTGCCATGGCACCTCCTTAATGCTGCCAAGGTAGCAGTCAGCCTCTGAGTTGGGCACTATCTGCAGTTGAAGACTGTTTACCACAGGGAAAGGAAGGGAACTGAGTCCTGGCAAACACTGGTTCTGCATTCCACTGCTTTGGAGATGTGGGATGCACAGTAGAATCCAGGACTGAATGACTGCCAAAGCTCCCTAAAAATTATAATGATTGTTTTATTGGGCTCATCAATTATCTACCTTACATGTGAACTCCTTTTCAGGTCATAAATGTTGCGACAACACTCAGAACAGGAAGAAATGAAAGCAGGAGAAATGGGCAATCAGGGAGCAATGGTCAAAATTCCTAATAGGCAGATCTTGGGACCTTAGAATAGTATAGGCTGGCTTGGGGGACTGCTGTCACTAATAGCTGAACTAGATGAAGTAGTCTGTCCCTGATGTCTGGGGAACTATAGTGCAATGGATTTTATGTGTGCATTCTGTCTTCACAGTGATTTATGACTTTGGCCATAGAGAAAATTTATTGAAGGCATTTGTCAGGGATTGTGGAGCAGATTGTTATGCTTACATAAAGAGTTACCTCCAGTGTTTATTTCTGTGTGTTCATGAAAGCATCTGTATCTAGAACTGAACATTTCTAAGGCACTTTTGGGGGTCTTGTTTGCTGAGTTATTTGCAACTGGAGAACTGAGGGTGAGGAAAGCTCCAAAAATCCCTTATGAGGAAATCATGGCTATCTATTTTAGTGTTTTATAAATTTAGGATTTGGATCACATTTTCAGCTGGAAGTTTTTGCAGAAGAGAATTATTCCAGAAAACATAAATGTCACCATTAGAACTGTGTAAGACAATGACAGTAGCAGAGATAATGTTTTGCTTTTTTATGGATGTGGAACTCCACTTGGGGCAACTGATAATTTTTGAGATGTTTGTGTTTGGTTCTGGTTAGCAAGCAGCAGGGAGTGGAACCTGTCAGGAATGTCAGTCAACTGGATCTGTGACAGTCGGTCACCCTGAGGTTGGTCTGCATCATACAGACTATATATCCAGTGTACTTGGAAGCAGGCAGCCTCCAGGATAAGAGCAAATTATAGTCAAGGATCAGCTAAGAGGACAGTTTGAAAAGTTTGTGGTGATGATCAAGAGATGAATAGTGGAAAAATCAGGAAGCCAAATCCAGTAACGGGAGATGCAAAGAGGGGCAATTCACACTTGTCAATGAGTGTAGGTCAGTTCTTATTGGATACGGGAATGGCAGCCAGCTCTAAAGCTGGACTGGCATAGGCTAGTCAATAACTTCACTTATTTGTTGATTCTAATCCCTGCTCTCACGTTCTATGTGGTTTTAGGCAATACCTCATGAGAGAAAGAGTACAATAAACTACTTCATTAATTAATTTGGACGATAAATTGAAAATGTAGAGCGAGCACTTCCCACTTTCTATGTGTTTGTGTGTTTGGTTGGAATATTATGGGACATAAGTCTGGAGAGGTGGCTTTCAGACAGTGAATCACACAGTAGTTGATCATCTAATGTAAAAGCGAGTTTAGAAATTTGTGTTCTTTTTCTCATTAAACTTACATTTTATTGCTACTTGAGAATTCATAATACTATATTTGCTTTTTTTTCAGAAAGTCCTTCAAGTGATTACTACTGAAAGAATAAGAAAATGTGAGTTTTACTTTTTGTTGTATTAGTACAGTTACAACGGTTAGTAGGATAAAATAACTTTTTTTATTCGTATAGCAGAATAGTTAAAAGTATGCACTCTTATGTAGTCAGGCCTGCCTGCTCTGCCTCCTACCAATGGCTCTGGCCTTTGCAGAGCTATATGTGCCCAGCAGGGGAAATCCTCATAGCTCACATTCAACTCTGGTATTTCCCCATATGCAAGTGTTATTATGGGTCTGTATCCTACTCCTGAATAACTCAGGAAAAGATATTAGGAAAGCCCTGTTGATAACAAGACACATAGGATAAAGAAGTTCTGTCTTATATTTACCTGAAGTAGCTTTGAAATTAACTTGTCACAGTCTATGGACCATTAAATATAAGCATGTTGGCATCTTAAGGTTGGATGGCAGAGATAGGCATATATCTCTGCATATGAAAAATAAGCAGCAGTAGGGTTATGGCTATCATTAGGGTTACTCAGAATGCTATTCTGATTTTACTGCTACTTGGGTGCATGCTGCACGTCACTTTCTTGTTACCTAAACTTGAATGTAGCCATGAGAGTGGCTTTAGCCAATGGAATGTAAGTAGAAGTGTTTTGTGTCTTTGCTGGGCATAAGCCTTTAAATAAGAGCATGATTTTTCATGTTTCTTTCCTTCTGCCTTGTTGATTGTGAAAGCTTGTATTAAGATGGGGCCTTTATCAGCCTGGATCCCTAAGATTGAAAGAGCCTCACGTGCTCTTCCTCCCGTGCCAACCAGGTATTGGCATGCTGTATAATGAGAAAGAAACCTTCATTATTTTAAACCACTGGGATTTAGAGATTACTTATAAATGTATTTATTTATTTATTTTTATTTTTTGAGATAGAGTCTCCCTCTGTCATTCAGGCTGTAGTGCAGTGGCACAATCTCAGCTCACTGCAACCTCCGCCTCTGGGGTTCAAGCAACTCTCATGCCTCAGCCTCCCGAATAGCTGGGATTACAGGTGTGCACCACCATGCCAGGCTAATTTTTGTATTTTTTTGTAGAGATGGGGTTTGCCATGTTGCCCAGGCTGTTCTCAGACTCCTGGCCTCAAGTGACCCACTTGTCTCAGCCTCTCAAAATGCTGGGATTATCAGTGTAGGCCACTGCACCCGACCTTGGAGGTTATTTGTTATTGAACCATAACTTTGCCTATCCTGACTCTGCAAGTGGTTTCCAGAAAAGATCAATTCTTGAAGACCATGAAGCCACAATTAGACCAGAGACTTCCACTTGAGTGAATCCCGGGAACAATCTGAAGCATAGAAGGTGTTACAAGCAGGGGTCAATCATGAAGAAAGATGTGGCAGGCAGGAGTTAGGTGAGGGTCAAGTCAAAAAAGCCAACCATTAGAAACCATATTCCAGTTCTAGTAGGAAATGCAAATGACTCAGTGGATGGGTCATGAGAAGACCAGAACACAGATGATAGGTGTTAAGATGAGGAGATGATCCCTCAATGGTCATGGAGGGATTTGAATTTTCTACAGTAGATTTCAAAAAAATCAGGGAAACAGCCCAATATCCTTTCAGATACCATTCTTATTGACTAGAGGCCTGGGCTTGCCTAACTTTGCAATCTGTAGGTCATCACTGTGACCAGCTAGTTAGGGCTTGGGCAGATGGGACTTGAAACAAAGAGACGGAAATTGGTAGTAGAATCCATCTGACACTTTGACTTTTTTTTTTTTCTAATGGGATATTTTCATTAACCCCATCCTAAATTTCTATTTCCCGGATCAAATGATAGCTGGTCAAGGAACATCGTGGGTTATATTTTCTGAAAGCGTTAGCCATCTTAATTTTTTTTGTGGGAAAGGTGGAAGGGACTCACTCCTAACTTTTCCCAAACTGTTTGACAACAACATATTTTTATACGGTTATCATAAGTGTTGATTACATTTGAAATTGGTCCTTTGGACTAAATTGTCTAAATTTTCTAGTTCAGTATGATTTACTGTATAGTGTTTCTTCAGCAGATCTAAACCTTAAAAAAAACTACTTCCATGTGACAAACCGTGATGCAATTTTGCAGCTGTTTTCATTCTAAACATATTGAGCCCAATATATCCCAATTAGAAGAAATGTATATGAATTATCCTTATTAAGCGGTATTTGTAATTCTCTAGCACTTGTCTAAATTTCTTTGGTCTCTATTTTCTTCTAGTTGTACATTCCAATTGGCTACATTAAGATACAGCAGATTTTACAAAATAATGAACAATTTATACATGTTTTAAATAGAAATGTTTAAAAATTACTATGGTTTTCATTTCCTTGATTCATGAAATGATAATATAACAGAAAGGGAAAACAAAATCCAAAATGAGATTTGGGTCATATGTTTTGCTCTGAACACTTGATTTTTCTTTGGAACTTGGAGTTTGATATAATGTGGAGCCTGGAAAGGGAGCATATGGTGTATACGAGGCACTCTTTTCTCTTACTGTGATTTTTCTCTATTTTCAAAATGCAACTTTGGGAAAAGATTTTAGGTGGATTCTGGCCACCTACCTATAAATGGTAGTGTCAATATCTTTCTTGGATCCTGCTGCCATCCAGGTGGGGGTAGAACCTTTTTGAAAAATTGTAGAAAAGGGGTGAAGTCTCATGTGATTATAGTTGTAGAAATCCAGCAACTCATACCCTCTTTGTGGTAGGCATATAAATGCTGTCTCTATCAATGTGCCTGGAGAGGGTTCCTTGAAGTACTAGTGGCTCCTTCCATCCTGTACAGTTCTTTGATGGGGATGGGATACTCTGAACTCTTGGACTGCTCTCCCTCCCTGGGCTCCCCAGATAATTTAGTTTGGAAGTTTCTTAGATACCTAGTACAAAGTGCTATCTAAGAAAGGAATTAAGCCAATTCTACTGGTATAGAACATTCATTTATTCAGAGATTATCAAACTGTAAACCACCTGATGAAATGTTCATAGGTTTTTTCATTGAGTATTTTGTATGTTTTTTACTTCATTACTTTCTTCTCTTCTCTTTATTGTTTCCCCCCTATAATTTATTTGAGTTTATTTTGCCATTCTTTTTCCAACTCTTTGATATGAATAATTAGCTTATTAATTATTAATTTTATGCTTTTCTGCATTTCTGGTATAGGTACTTAATTATATACATTTTCCTTTAAATATTGATTTAGCTGCATACTGCAAATTTTCTGTGTTGTTTTCATTATTGTTGAATACAAAATGTTTAAACATTTTTAATATACTCTTTTTGTGATTTATGAATTATTCAAAGCAATGCTATTCAAGCAAAATACAAGATAAGCCACAAATTCCAGTCACATTTGTGATTTAGAATTGTAAACTTCAAATCATGAGATTTGTTGGCCCTATGGCTGCCTCTGGTTGTGCTCAATATGATGCCTGGATATTGCTACACCAGATTCTTGCACACAGCCTTTTGCCTGGTTCTTATTGGCTCCATCTCTTTTCCCATGATTCTCCTGATTTCTCCAATACTCTTGCCATTAACTTTTGTGGCTGCAAACAGTCTGATCTTACTTCTGTCACATCCTTACCTCCACTTTGCTACTCAGAACTATAACCTTCTGAAACTTAGCCATCCTCAAACATGTGCAGACTACTTTGTCAGAATGTTTAGATCCCTTTTCTGTTTTACAAGAGAAAATATGTGTTTATAATTATGTATAAATTAATTTCACCAAACATTAATTTATTTCATTTCACATTAAAGTTTATCTGTAATATTTTAGGCTGTTCATAAAAGCCTCCTGAATGTAGTTCGTTAGTTCAATCTTATAAACCTAGCATTTCATTAGTAGGATACATTTCTGATGAATAAATACTGTTGGTTTTCAACATCAAACACTTTGCAACAAAAGTTGGAAAAGAGTGTCCTGCATTTACTCAAGACTACTGGATCTTATTTCCAACCAGGATATATTTATTCTAGTTAGTGTTGATGTGACAATGGGGACTGGTGACTCGGAAAACTTAATTTACAAATATTTATAATTTATTTTGCCTAAAATGACATTAGGGACAGAGAGGTGACCATTTGGGGAGTTAGACTGGCATGAGCTAACTACCAGTTTGTCCCAGGCATTCAAAAAATACGGCTTCAAGGAAAGCAATGGTCAAAAATAAAGGTTGAAAATAAAAACATTGTCTAGCTTTGGTGCGATATCCAAAAACTACAATAACTATTGTATTTGAAAACTTTTTAAATATACCTTAAGCTTTCTGCCACCTTACAGAAAGGACAGTCTCTTGGCTGGCTGTTATGGCTAAATTTTAAAAATATCCATAGGGAATATCAGTCCTTCAACCTATAGATATAAAACCCCCAAATTCTGAAACTGCCAACAGTCTTTTTTTTTTTTTTTCCACAGCATTTACTTGTGTTTTGATTGCAAGAAGTACCCAGGAAGGAATAAAATTTAGTAACAGAATGAGGATGTTATGATTTTTTTTTAAACTGGGTTAGGGGTGGGGAGAGGGAGAGAGAGAGAGAGAAATATTTTGCACTGGAAAAACTATAATCTGGAGAGACAGAGGAGTTGAGAGTGCCCCTTTAAACTGCAGGACTGCAATTGATCTCTGTATGTTTTCTGGTTTTCGTCCCTTTGAAAGGGGAATGAGAGCCAGGATCATTGGCTGTACTGTGGAGCTGTCACATCTCCATACTGAAAAGGTACACTGCAAGTGAATTTAAACCGTTTTTGGCTTTCTATTGCATATTGCCAAGAGCTTTGAGACTGATGAACCAAGTAAATGCTCTATTTAGGGCTAAGTGAGATACAGATTCCTCCAATCTGATAGCGTTTCAGCCTCCGGAGTGAGGAAGCAGCAGAAACAGAAGCAGCAGAAGCAACAGCAGTAGCAGCGGCAGCAGCAACAGCAGCAGCCCCTACTGAAGTCCAATAGAGGAGACTTGATCTCTAGTTCATTCTGGAACTCCGCCTGGGATTGTGCACTGTCCAGGGTCCTGAAACATGAACCAAACTGCCAGCGTGTCCCATCACATCAAGTGTCAACCCTCAAAAACAATCAAGGTAGGATCTGGTTTTTCCCTCTGCTTCTGCACATGTGTCTTCATTCATCTACCTAACACATGGGCATTGATATATCGGGGTACTGACAGTGGACATACCTACTTGATTTGAGTTTGAATTGAAGGTTGAGTCACAATAAAGCATTTGGCTCTGCATGTGTGTGTAGACTGGAAAGAATAGTTTCCACTGAACACTTCTTTCATCTTCATGACTTTTTTTTTTTTTACTGAGAATCTATCAGAGGTATATTTCCAGAAGAAAGTTTTGTGAGTGTCTAGAAGAGTTTCCAGTCCATGCCAATTTTCTTGATAGAACTGGGGAAGAATTTGCAAACTGCTAGAAATAAATAGCATCAAATTGACTACAAATCTGATAACAGGATTTCATTGTCATATGAATTTTGGATCTCTTATCCTTTTTTAAAAAAAGCTCATCCTTCATTGTGAGCATTGAACTGGTGGTTATACTAAAGTGATTATAGTGAGAGAGGATGAAAGACTAGAGAGAGAGTATAAAATCACATGTCTTTATTTATATCACCATGTAACTCAAAACCAGTGAGATGATTGGAGACACTCTTCAATGCAGGTGTTGTTTAAAATTTGAGGCTTTTCTGACAGCACATGGTTAAAGGTAAAGAACAAACTCACAATTTCACTCTTCTGTTTTAGTTTCAAGTCATGCTTATACCATTCTCTTTGTTTTTATTCGGGATGCTCTTATTTCCAAGAAGGCTTATAAACGACCAGACTTCCAATCAAAGTTTACTATATTTTGCCATTTACTTGAATTGTATTATTATCTATGTGGATATTTTGCATCTTGAGGGAAAGTGATGGATTCGTCTGAAACTCTTTTATGAAAAAAAAAAAAAAACTAAAACAAAAAACGTGATATCCTGACAGGGCATCTTTAGTTACTGCAATCTCTCATTAACATACAAGTGCATACCTTTTGCTACTATTCCTGATAAGCCTGACTTTTTATGATTTATATTATGTTTTGGTTTATGTCTCAGGCCTTTAATAATATTGCATAGACTGTAATTACAAAAGGAATATAATTTTCAACAATGTCTCTTCTTCATGAATTTACCTACCGTTTGCCAGAGTGTTTCAGTGATAGATAAACCATAAACTAAACATGTTCCTCTATTTATTAGCAGTGACTTTTAAAAGCAATGGGGTTTCCAGGGTATATTAAATGATGCATAATTAGATTCCCATCATACATAAACATAGGGAGTTAACTGAAATCATGCAGAACTCATATTCAGATAATTTACACCACCTCTAATAACAGATATGAGAATCTTTTTCAGCATTAGATTTTCTGTGCTGTATCTAAGTTTAGAAATAAAAAATGTTGAGCTTTTGGTATAGTTTTCCTCTGTGTATCAGTTTCCCACATACATCAATTATCTAAGCATATCACTGAACAAAGCCAAAATAGTAAATACATGACACTCTACATTGGGATATATAAGCTCTAGTGGGAAATATGTATTGAAGCCTAAAGTGGGATAGAGTTACAAACTGGCTGCCTACTGCTAAGTATGTCTAGAATGCTATAACAAAACCAGTGGCTTTCTGTTTAAGAGTCTGAGGTCACAGGAATCAAGCATTTATTTTCCCTTTTCTTTATTGAGTAAGCATAAATGACTACTACTTTCAGAGACTTCAAATCACTTCCTTTATTAGTGCTCTGGCATTGGCTGCCCACAAACAAACTGTGGAACAGAAAAAAAAATGTTTCTAGTGTAGAGGTTTTACATCATCTTGCTGATCTTGCAGATGCTGTTTTTTCCTTCTAACTGCAGCCATTGAGTTGAAATGAAAAGTATCATAAAAATTGGACAACCCACCACTTAACAATGTATTATATTAATGGCTTAATGAAGGAATCTTGAATCAAAGCTCTGGGTAATTTGGTTAATTGTACAAGTTAAATTCTTTTGTGCACCCCATTCCCAATATTGCTCTGGGGAGCAAAAAAATGCTTGTGATGTTCATAAAATATATATAGTCGCAAGCACTGAACTATTAAGGGAGTAATTACTTGAGTATTTTGCAATTTGCAATAGTGAAAAGGGATGAGTGGAAAATCTCTCTTAGTTCAAATTATGTGCTCAATTATGAAACATTTATGGCTTTTTGAATTTATACTAAAAATGGCTATCTATATTTAGGTAATGCATTAGCCTATGAACAAAATGCAATAACAATCTAAAGAAAAACTCTAAGATGAGAGGGTTTTGGGAAGCTGTGGGACATTGGAGCTCAAAATACTCTTTGAACTATTAGAATTTTAGTTTCAAGCATGGTTGTTTAAAGTTAATTTTATTCCTCACTCTTAAATTTACTATCAATTTACTATCAGATAATTTTAAGTAACCCTCCCTCATGGAATCTGGTTGGCCTGCAGGTAATGATAACCCACTTTGAGGATCTGGAAATAAATAACTTGCATATTGCTCCATTTTAGAAATTCAAAAACCTCTAGAGACTTTTCTCCCAAAGCTCAGTGTAATAACCTCTAGAGAACTTTTCCCCCATCAGTATAGTAAATGCTGACTGTTTCTTCTCTCAACAGTTAAACTACGGCTAAAAAGAATGCAATGGGAATGAACAAAAGTGAAATGCATTGCTAAAATAGCTGTAAAGGCCAAAAGTGTGCAGGAGGAGGAAAAACAGCTCTGTGTGTGTGTGTGTGTGTGTGTGTGTGTGTGTGTGTGTGTGTGTGTTCTCCTCCACTTGAAGTTCAAGAAGTGATGAAGTCTATAGTGGGTAAAATTCAGCAATTGTTGCCAGTGAAGGCTGTTTGTGGCCATGATGTGTCAGAGTTGGAAAAGAGGAAATTGGGAGAAGTTATAATGGAACAAGATGATCAAGAGTATTCAGGTTGCTTGACACTTGCTTTGGTCGTTCTGGCCATTCTTTAGCTCAGACAGTTACTGACACACTTTTCCTGGCATACTTTGGCAGGTATGTTCCTATCGTCAAAACCAGTAAGGGAGAGAAAAGGGAGTCAAATAGGGGTGCCAAGTGTGTTCTCAGATCACTTTGGGTGAAATGCTGAATGCAATTCACTCTGAAAACTTTCCTCCATTTCAGAGCTTGTAAGGGAAGAAAGCTTTTCCTGATGTGATTACAAATCTTCCTGTGAAGGTAGCAACATTCTTTTAAAAAAAATCTTTTACTCTGAGATGTTTAATGGAAAGTTTTAGGAAGTATCTGGGAATGCTAAATAGAGATCAGATCTTTGCGTTATTATAAACGTGATTTCTGAAGAATGTCCCCCACCATGGGTAGCAAACTTGAGTTTTTCCTTCACCATTATGGCTTCTCTTGGCTGCACTGAAAGTAAATTAAACCTTTCAGCTAAATCTCTGATCTTGGTTTACTTCTTTTGCTAGTGGAATTGCAAACTTAGAATTTTGCCTCTAAAATGTGCAGATTTTTTTCTTATTTCTTTCACATTTGAATATCAGTCTAGTATCCTCGTGTGTCTAAAATGAGTAGAGAAAATCCTTCATCCTTTTTGAAGTTATAAATTGTGAGTAACTTATCTGGGGTGGTGATTCCTGGATCAAGAATTATATGTATTATACTTTATATGGTAACTCTGAAATACAGTACACAATATTTCTTTACCCTTCCCATGTAGTGACCGGTCTTCCTCTTTCTCTTTCCTTTTTACAAGACCTGCCTGATTTATTTTAATACTGCCTTCACACCCAGGTTTTCACTTCCATTTAGAAAAGAGTCTCAAGGTCTAAAAGTTCTAGTTACTTCCTACATAGCCCTGCTGCAAGTTTTTACAAACTATACTTAAACGAATCTTTAAGATTTTCATTGTCTTCGGAGTACATCTTGAGCTGGCAAACTTTTTCATGGTGATTTTTACTGCCTTTTATATTGTAATATTGATGAGTCATTGTGCTAATAAAGACTTTTCCCCCTTGCTACTTCTAATCCATAGCCTCAGCCAAATGAGGCATAGGAAACAGAAGACAAGGGGTTAAAAGAGGATGAAAATCTTATCACAAGTATGTATTGTTAAATACGTAGGCTTGGAACATGGTGGTTAGGAAATAATTTCGTTAGCAAATTGGTATTTTGGAGTGTGACATTGCCATGAATTGGCATGATGAGATGGCTTGGAACTACAGCATTGCAATCTCACTGGTTGTTAAATTTTTTTTTTTTTTTTTTGAGACGGAGTCTCAGCTCACTGCAACCTCCGCCTCCCAGTTTCAAGTGATTCTCCTGCCTCAGCCTCCCGAGTAGCTGGGACTACAGGCACCTGCCACCACGCCTGGCTAATTTTTGTATTTTTAGTAGAGACGGGGTTTCACCACATTGGCCAGCATGGTCTCGATCTCTTGACCTCATTATCCACCCCTCTCAGCCTCCCAAAGTGCTGGGATTACAGGCATGAGCCACCGCGCCCGGCCCACTTGTTGTTAATTCTATACCCCTAACCTAAATGCTGGACACTGACAAACCTGCGTTTCACATAGTACTTGAACTTGAATTGTAAGTTATTCTTAAAGGGTATTTCATAATTAAATATATAAATTATATCCACAAAAATTTAGAAATGCAAGGAATGTTTAATAACAAAAAATCTACCTCTGTGTGTCATTGCAATATGCAAAATGGAAGATTCTCCAATGTCATTATTACAGTATATGAAATTCTAAGTGGAAAGATTGTTACATACTTCTACATTGTACCTTATCTTAGAGAGTCTTCCTATTCCTAATCCTAAGAACTTTACTCATAAGAATACATAAAAAGAAACTTTATAAAATTATCGACTCAACATAGATTCATACACACTAAAGAAAGAGTTACCACTGGTAACTCTACAGCAACTGATTTCACCAGTGAGTTCTACACTTCCATTTAGCAAGGTACAGATTTTTCTTCAGCATTAGGATGAGTCATTCTAAGCGGTGATAGCTAAGGAAATCAAAAGAAAAAACTTACAAAAATTAGAAATAAGGATATTTTATGTGTGTGAGAGAAAACTTTTTTCTCTTAGCAATGGTCTACATATTTTTAATTACTCTGACACAGCTTCCTTATATGCTTAAGGCAAAATCACAGCCTGTGATAAACAAGAATAGGACCATCTGCTAATGACAAATTTATCACCACTTACAATTTCCATTTATGGCCAAGTATTTAAATCTTAAATAATTATAGCACAATTTATTTCAAATTACTATAAATTCAGCTGTTTTTAAAATGAAGCATTATAGTTTTTTTTCTTTTTAATAAAGAGTGACTATAATAATTGGCCAGCTTTACATTTTATAGCTTAGATCTTCATAAAATCAAAAGTTTCTTTTTCCTTTGACATTTATAGTGTTTGAATGTCAACTTTTACTTTGAAGAAGTATTCTTGTATAATATAATTTCAAGGTAAATTTAAACAGTTTTATGAAGTATTTAGTATTTATTTTATTCTTGAGAAAGTAATGTGTTAATACTTTTCTAGAAATTCATGTTTTGGTCAGTTAGTGAAGACATTCTTGATGGTAAATTTGTGATGACAAATTACTAACTCTCACTGAAAAGACATTATGGGTCTACAAATGAAGCATGGACGTAGTAAGCTAAGATAGTGGTTATCAAAGTGCTGTCCCTAGACCAGCAGTATCAGCATCTCCTGTGAACTCATTAAAAATGCAAATTCTTGGACTCTACTTAGACCTACTAAGTCAGAAACTCTTGGGGTAGGGCCCAGCAATCTTTGGTGGGTGATTCTGATCCATATTGATGTTTTGGAACCACTGAGCTAAAGAATTACAAAATAAGACACATCTGTGCTATTGTCAGCCTGTAAGAATTGTCTGAGTACCACAGAAGAGGTCTAAACAGCTTCAGAATGATACTTAGGGTTATTAAGTAACATGAATTCTGTGACAGCCAAAATCTCATCATTAGGTTTATCTCTTTTATTCCTCACAGGGATTACTTGATACTATGCCTTTCACCCAGTAGACATTAAATATATATTTGTTGGTTATTAATGACTGTTAAGGTCATTTAGTAGAGATAATGCTCTAAGAGGACCTAAATGATATTGTAAGGTGTTACTCAACATGTAAGCAGGTTAGAGGCCTTGCTTTTTGTTTTAAATTCATAGAAAATTTCTCAAAGAAGTATACTGACATTTTGGCTTTTGATGGTTTTGTTCTCTGATCTTGGTTTGGGGCCATCTGGTAATCAACACATTTTGGTAACTAGGGGGATTTAGAATCATACTAATTTTTTGTCCAGAAATTGTGCTGGAGAAATGTCTCCCTTCTTGCCAGCTGTATCTGAAAATTGGCAAACAATGGTAGGGAGGAATATCATCACATTAGCCTTTCTCCTTGCCTTTATGAATGTTCTTTGGCCCGTAGATATGTGCCAGGTTGGTAGGGCATAACTGGAAGTAGCACACAACTGGAACAACATGAATAATTGTGAACAAAGCTGGCCTTCCACGGACAGACACAGCATAATATTACATTAGCAGAACAAGATTTAAGCTGGGGGATAAGCTGTGAAATAAGGAAATTACCTCCAAACAGGCTTATTTCTTGGAAATTCTTCATAGCACTCTGATGTTTTTCTTTTTTTTTTTTTTTATAGTTACCACTGGGAAGAAAAGTAAAATGCATACAGCCTGCCCTACTACCTGCAAACGGATATAAGGCAGATCGGATGGCTTTTTCTTTAGAGGGGCATCCTTAAGTGGAGTTCTCACTCTCCCTTTACCACATGAACCATGTGGTCTTGCGGAAGGCAATTAACCCTGTTAAGGATTTCTCCCCCACTAACAGAAGGGCAATAAACTTAAATTATCTGCCCAAACAAAAATGCTATGTAAGTGCTTTGTATTATGATTTGTTCTAGTAGCAATTTTTAAGGATACGACATTTTCATAAGGAGTTGTATAGTGAGAATCAATTTTTATGACATAAAAGCTGAGAATTTTATTTGCAATTATTATTAACTATAATGATGATAAAAATTCATTTTGAAGTCACCCGGGGGATGAAAATTATCTTCTAATATTGTAGTAACATCTGCAAGATTTCATCATGAACCTTTACCAGGGAGGTAGGGGAAGAAGATTGGATTCAAATGTCATTGAAAGAACTGATTAATTCAGTAAAAAAATGCAGTTAGTCATCCCAGTGCTGTGCTACCAAAATGGAAAATACCTGGGTAGCTGCATTGATGGTACATATGGTTGCATTGAGGAGGAATTGTATCATGGAATAAATATAGGCTTCATATGATCTCTGTGCTTCTAGACTTGATACTTCCTTTGCCTCACATACCTTCCCCATCCCCCAAACCCCAAAAATGGTTCTTTTAGCAAACTCCTATTCTTACTTTAAATCTTATGCAGAATTTTCTCAGTGAGAATTTTCTCACAATCTCCTAGTCAGACTGTTATGTTCTTACCTAATCGCCGATGTTCTCATATAGTCTTCTGTACCTCTTTAATAACAATTAATCTTTTGAGTTATAATTATTTGTTTCCATGTGAGTCTCTCTACGAGCTATTAAAGTGCTCTGATTTTTTTTTTTACTTTTGTTAATCTCAGTACCTATCCTAATATCTGCCACATAGCAGGAGCTCAATTAATATTGTTTAAATAAAAGAACAAAAAGAACAAAGAAAGCTATAAATTCATTTGCCTTCCCAAGAAATGTAGTTTGACTTTTGAGTTCAGAAATATATTGGTCTTTGTTGAGCTAAGCAGAACTAAACCTGTTACTTTGAAATATGCAAACAACATTTGAAGGAAATAACAAGGTTCCTCAGGGATTGTGAGAACAATGTGCTATTTCTCTTGAGGATAAGTGGCTTCTGTAAGTAAAAAAAAAAAAAAAGGTTTTGCATTATGAGCGTTTTTCTACATTAAGGAAGTCCTGTGACCAAACAGAGACAACCCCTGTTGTTCTTCTTTGGAGCTTGCATTAGTATAGCAGACACAGGTTACTGCTGATTTCAATAGGTAGGGCTTTTCAGGGGGACTGTTTGTTCTGGCACTCTAGTGAGGCTTTTTATAATCAGAAACCTTAATTTCCAAGATGAATCATTGCTGACGGACTGAAAAACACCACTTCTCCCAACTCTGGTTTCCAGAATTTTGCCCTAAGAAAAATGAGTTCCACTTCATTTTAATGGAAAGTAAATAGCATAAAATTACTTATTGTATTTAAAGATCGGCCCTTTATTTGATTTTTTTTTTTGATTCAGTGAAAGAATTAGGACAGAGAGACAATGCAAGGCAGGCATTTTTGATCAAGGATGGACAGCTATGGCAAATTTTTTCCTTTAGGTGTATCCTCTGAAGGAAATAAAATAGAATGAAAGAACAAACTCAGAACAGTTGTTGGATGACCAGTGAGCACAGCATGGTGTGAGGAATAGAGCACTGGACTCGTTCTCTCATTGTTACAGTCATTCAATATTTCATGAAAGAGAATTCAAATGTTTGGAGGGTGATAGCTTTTGTTTTTGAAGAGCATGGCTATGATATAAATTAATATGATTACAATGTAAAGTGATGAGTATTAAGAGGGATAAATACTTAGGTTTGTCGTTGGTGGGAAGGGAGGCATTCACAAAACCCAAGCCAGAACTCTACATAGGAGTTAGATTGATAAAGAAAGGGAAAGAAAATAGTTCAGAAACAGAGAAAATGTGCAAAGATGAAGAAAAAAGGCAATGCAACTGTCATGAAAGTATTTAATAGTTGAGACCAACTAGATTACAGAGGGCAAATGATTAGGAGGGGTGAGAAACAAGGCTGCAAATGCATACATGGAGCTGGACTTTGTGTTGTTTTTCAGGATTTGGCTGTACTCTGACGGCAAAGCTTAAATGCAATACAGCAGGGACAAGATCTTGGGATCTAAATTCAGGACACAGTTCTATGACCCTGGGAATCATTCCTGAGGTTTGTGTCTTCAAGTAAAATATAAAGATGGTAACACGTTCCTGGTCTGTCTTTCAGGATAATCCAAATATAAGATGTTAGTATTAGCCAGACAGGTTTTACAGAAGGTAAATCTTAACAAGAACAAAAGGTTTGTTCATTAGCTTCATTTAGAAAGGTACCAGCTACTTTCTTGAAGGTTATTAATAACTTATTAATATATGGTCTTTAAATACTAATTTAGTGGTAGCCTTATAATCTAAAAGTATCTTTTTTGACTAATGCCAATCATTTAGCTGTACCAAAATTTTCCTCTTTAATATTTGAAAATAATATACTGACCATCATTCTCTTGCATATTTATTGCTGATTCATTATTTCAACAATGCCTAGTAATACATGAATGGCTTCTGTTAATAGCATTGTGTATAATCTCGAAGAATACCTGGAAATTTCAGGTGTAGAGATGTGACAATTATTTTCTTCCTCATTCTCTGATTACATATCCTATATGTTGTCTTTAATAAAGATACCTTGTGTTTTTTGAAAGATCAGTTCCAAGTGGTCGGGGGTGATCTCTCTTGATGGCTCACACCATTTTCCAGAAGATACAGGAAAAATTAAAGTGCATTTGATGTGCTGTGTTTCTATAATCATAAAACTTTAAATATTTCTTAGAGATTTCCTAGTCTAGACTCTCATTTTGCAGACAAGAAAGCCAAGGATTAGAAAGGAAAAATAGGCAAACGTGAGCATTGTCCATTCGCTCCTTTAAACAGGAACCACACTTATGATCATGGTCTTTTGAGATCTGGGGTAAGTTAAAGAACATGTAAATTTTATTAATTGAGATGCTTTTCATTGAAAGCATCAGAAAATAACAGAAAAATTTAAATAAATTGGCTAAAAGATTAAGAAATTATAATTTCCCAAACTGAAAAAGTCCCTTAGTAGAACACCTCCAGGGTCAGTTAAATTGATGCCCAAATATCATGGCCTAGAACCCAGCCTCTTTGTGTCTTTCTGCTTTGTTTTTCTCAAACTAACTTCTGCCATGGTGATTACATGGTTTCTTCAGTTCCATAATTGGCCTGCAGACATGACAACTGACAATGTCCAGTAGACAGAGTGGTTTCTTTCTTTGAGTTTCTTTTTAAGAAAAAGTACCCCACAACTCTTGTTGGTTAGAACTAAATCTTGCACCAATTCCTTATCTAATTGCTTGATGATACACAGGGTTGAGTGGAGAAAATAGAAAAGTAGGTGACACAAGTAAATATTGGATCCTGTTGAAAACCATCAGGGAGATTGGATGGTTTGAAGGTAGAAAACCAAAAATACATACCACAGAGATCAGCAAAATAGATTTTAGAATCTGACAGACATATAAGTTGCACCACACTGTGAAAAATAGGCAATGCCATGATCCAAGCACATTTTCAACAAACGTGTATTAATTTAAAATATAACATTGTCCCCGATTGCTTCCTTTATAGCAGAGGCTTCTTTGATCACGTTTGAGCAAAAGGGCAGGTAGAAAGAAGTCTCGTCTCCTTTCATATTAAATGACTCAGTTTCCAATCAATTTTCATTGTGTTTTCTTTCCTTCATTTCTTTTTTCTTTGTTAACATGTCATTGGACTTTCTTCTATTTGGGGAGCATGAAACAAAATAATGGTGATATCCCTCATCAAATAATTAGGGTTCTCAGGGTCTATCACAATTATGTCTTCTCTGCTACATCTAGGGATTTGAAGTTCTTATACCTTCAGGAGCGTTGTTCTCAAACCTTCATTGTAACACCTGAATGCCCTCATGGTTAACAGGAGTAACATGAGGATTGTGGTTAGATATGCAACAGTTGACACTGTGATGACTGGGATGAGCAAGCACTCACCTAAAGACATACCAGAGCAAAACCCATTCCCCCTCCAAAGAAATACCTTGATCTTTGACTTTTGTTTGCTATATTCACAATCAAAAACTGTATACTAAATGGCTTCATTTTATAAAAGAGCCTTTTAAATTGTGTGTTCTGATATTTTGTCTATCCATATGTTAATTCAACAAATGTTAGTTGGATATACAATAGATATTAAGTTGCACACATGAGGAGACCAAATGGGATAGCACACAGAGCCTGTCTTTAAAAAGCTTACAGTCCGACATCTTTTCTCTTCTCTCCTTGCTTGGGATGAAGGAGAAAAGCAAGGAAAAGTAAGTCATTGATGACCATAGCGTATGAAAAGTGTCATGACAATGGCAAGAAAAATGTGCTCTGAGACAGCATAGAAGGGGCTCCTCACCCCAACTCGCAGATGAGTTTGGATCTTTGAACTGAAACTTGATGGGCAAGCAATAGCAGCTTGGTGAAGAATCGGGAGAGAAAAGAATACTCCAAATGGTGCTATATGTGAAAGTACTCAGATAAGGGAGGGTACCACCACTACCATCCTTGCTGTCATCATCATTATTATTTCATCACTACCATTGTTAAGTGCCCAAACCATGATGCTTTTCTAGGTACTTTTATGAGATATCTCTAGTTCCTACAGTGACTTAGTAGTAATTATTGTTCTTATTTTATAGATGAAAACATTAACTTGCCCAATGTCACCCAGACTGTAAGAGGTGGAGATCATACATGAGTTCAGATAAGCTTACTACAAAACTGAGCTGACTGCTCATGCTTTCTGCCTCCTATTTGAGTGTCTCCTAACTCTCAGGTTTCCGCCAGCTCTAAGGAACTAGTTTTTGTTACCCAAGGTCCCCTGCTATTTTAAGCCTCTCAATTGAAGTTTCCTGTTTTCTCTCATGAGAATGCTTCCTGTTCCTTATTATCTGGCTGGTAGTTACTGCTCCTCATTCGGGCTGAATTCACAGGGAATTTGTCTCATCTTGGAAGATTTCTCAACCCTTTTTTTTTCCAGCCTCAGGAAGACGACTTGCTTTGTCCTTCCCTCCCCCTGCAAACAACATCACATTTATGTCTATGTATCTTTGTTATCCTATCCCTTCACCCTCTTTCCTACCCTGTCTACCTTCCACTATATATTGAATCCACCGCTAGACTGCAAGCTCCTGGAAGCCAAGGCAGCCTCTCATTTGTCATTGTGACTTCAGTGTCTAGCATTATTCTTGACACGGAATGAAGGCTCAAAAAGAACTTGCTAAATAAATGAGTGAGTGAAGGCCATCCAATGTGGGGAATGCTATGTTACTGCTCCAGAATATTCTTTCATAGTATTAATGTTTCATTTTATTTGATATATAATCACATGGCTTTTATTCCAGAAGACGATATCACTATGAGAAAGGAAGCTAAATACTTTGTTGGTTTTTTCAAGGGATTTTCTTTCTATTGTGTGTGTGTGTGTGTGTGTGTGTGTGTGTTTGGGGGTGGTGGCATATGTATTTAAGACAATAAGTTAGAAGAGATAAGAGGTGGGTTTTAAAAACGTAAATACAGGCCAGGTCCAATGGCTCACGCCTGTAATCCCAGCACTTAGGGAGGCCAAGGTGGACGGGTTACCTGATGTCAGGAGTTCCAGACCCACCTGGCCAACATAGTGAAACCCTGTCTCTACTAAAAATACAAAAATTAGCCAGGCGTGGTGTCTCACGCCTGTAGTCCCAGCTACATGGGAGGCTGAGGCAGGAGAATCGCCTGAACCTGGGATGCGGAGGTGGCAGTGAGCAGAGATCATGCCACTGCACACCAGCCTGGGTGACAGTTCAAGACTCTGTCTCAAAAAAAAAAAAAAATGTAAATACAGCTGTAGTTGGCTTATTGCTAACTTATTTCATTGGAGTTTGGCTGAAAAGGTTTAAAGTGATTTCAAGTTTGGAGAAGTTACTTTTTTCCATAATAAGAAGAAAATATCTTCTAGGCACCTACTCTGTGCCAGAAAGTCTCATACCCACAAATTCATTTGTTTTTTTTTTTTTTTACCATTTTCATGCTCAGTAAAGTAGTAAAAATCAACAGCTAACCAGCTGACCTTCATCTAGCCCTCTGTATTCAGTATTTCTTCTAATATTTCCAGATAGGCATTATTCTCATTTTACCAAAAAATTTTAAGGGCTTAATTTTTTGAATGCAAAAGAGGTAGAACTGGGCCTACTACTCAGTCGTGCTTTGACTCCTTATGTCATGGAGGCAAGCCCGTTGCATCACACCACATGGCAATACTGCTTATGAAAATATCTAACTTAAGGGTACTTCCTTCTAAAATATACAGGCACTTGACTATCCCATCATTATATGCTGACAGGTGGGTCTTTTCAAAGTCTCACGTTTTCATGGTCATCACCCCGCTCAAGTCCTTATCATGTATTACTAATGGAGACTGTAAGGGGAGGCCCACCTGGAAACATCAGAACTGGGAACTCAGACCTCAGTGAGGCAGGAGAAACAATAGAGAATCCAGAAAGCGCATCTAATGGGAATACTAAGCAGGACATAACACCATAAACTAATTTCAAAGGATAGCTTAGGGTCTGGGAGAGATGGACTATTGAGGAGTAAGGACAAGTTTGCACAAATCTGGATGACCAGTGATTTTAAGTCCATTTGGACTAGTGACTTCTTAACATTAGAGGCCCAGGCAGAGGCATCTGTAGCAATCTTGGTCTAGCCAGGATCAGGGTAAGAATATTAACAATAGCAACCATGTCAGAAATATATATGGGATTCAAGTATTTGCAAAACATTTTAGATTTTTTTTGTGTTGAATGTCAACCACAGTCCTATAAGACACACATACTTATTATCAACAGGATATGATAACATGAAGAAGGAAATGTATGTTGTTGAATAAAAATAGCAGTATATAATGAAGTATATATACACTGTATAGTTTTATAAATTGCAACACATTTTGGAAAGGCAACTGCTTAAGAGAGTGGTTGTGATTACACGTACAAAATATTTCAGGCATTTAAAGTACTGGGCTGAATTTTTCCCAGTAATTAAAATAGGGCATAAGAGGCAGCATATGTTCTAGAGATCACTAGAGTACAATAAGCCAAGGGCAGATATGAAGCCAGCATAAAGTGGGGAAATATAGGAACAAATATCCTATTACAGTGTGTGTGGTCTATTCCTGGACACTGTGGTTATAGAGTCCAAGTTCTGCTGCCAATGCCACAATAAGAAAGCCATGGACAAATGTAGAAAACAGTTAATAAAAGTGATGCTATCTATGCCTGATCTAACTCCATCTAGTGAGAAGTTTCGAGAAAGAGTTTGAGTTGAGTTTGTGGAATAGATTAAGAGTAAGATCAAGGAGGATAGACTTGGATATATAAATAAAAACTGAGTTCATTCTTAATGTTCAGGAGAGAACAGATCCTGCGTCTGTTGTATCTTACGCAGACTCTGTTGGTCAATACAAATAAACTATATCCATTTGGTTTCACTTGCTCTAACTTGGGATTTCTCAACCTCAGTGCTATTGACATGTTGGGCCAGACCACTCTTTGCTGTGGGTCTGTCACTGGCATCGTAGGATGTCTGGCAGCATCCCTGGCCTCTACCAGTCAGTAGCCCCTTCCCCAGCTGTGACAATGAAAGGCCTCC
Organism: Homo sapiens; assembly: GCF_000001405.40. NCBI lineage: Eukaryota > Metazoa > Chordata > Mammalia > Primates > Hominidae > Homo > Homo sapiens. Next base: position 114,457,376 of record NC_000002.12, read on the forward strand.
AGACATTGCTAGTGTCCTCTCGGGAGCAGAATTAACCACTGGCTTACATGGTAGCTGTTGTTGCAGGTGAGGAAACTCCGGGACTAGGAGTAGGTCTGGGTCATTCTGGTCTCATGGCTTCTGTGAATTGGGAGCCACTGTAGCAGTCTATTTTTGGGCCTTTCTGAAACTGAGGATGGTTGAGCCACCCAAAGAACACTCAGAGGATGCAGCATTTGTCAATCAGGATTTACAGATGGAGGAATCTGGGCGGAGAGTTAGTAGTCTGCCCCCAAATCACATGGAAGAACTGATATTTATACCCCTGGGATAACATTCTATACCCTGTCTCTTTTCTCTATAACAAGTGATTTTTATTTTATGCTTTGCAAAGCCCCAACACTTAGGTATTGAGTGAGAGGCAAAGCAGGAAGGACGCTCCTGCATTTCTGCTCCTATCCCTGCTCCTGTCTTGGCCAAAGTAGCACAGCTATCACCATTCCATGCTGAGGATGGTTAGTGTTCCTTTTAAAATAGTAACAAATAATGTTCTCTGAATTATTCCTCTATGCCTGCTTGGAACAGAAGACAGACCAGTGTTAACCCAGAAAGCAACACAACAATATTCCTTATGTGCTGTCGGAACTCTCTTTTCAAGGGTAAGGCAGGCTGAGGCTGCAGGGTAAATCTGAAAATCAACAAGGTAGAAAGATACAGAGACTGACTCAAAAAGACCATTTCATCATCCATTCCTGGTCTCTTTCCAGAACAGTCATCTTCTTGCCTCCATATTTCAGTCTTCCAGGCTATCCTGTGCTATTCTGCCAGAGTTTCTTTCCTGGCAAAGCCTTAACAAATAGTACCCCGTTCTTGAGAATCTGAATTCTCATCCTGATAGCATCTTGCTTGGCAATCTTCAAATTCTATATTAATCTAGGAACTTCTCACTCTACCCTTTTTCATAAAATAGGAAATCATCTCAGGGTGGGAGAATCACAACTTGACCACTCATCTCTCCCCTATTTGCCTGTCATGAAATCTAAGATTCTGCATTTTGAGACTGATTTTTTTTTAAATAAAGAGGTTGACTGCTCTAGTTATTTTCTTAAAAGCAGATGAACTTGAAAATTTTGACATATGTATATTTTGTCAGCCAAAGGCATACCATCTATTTCAGGAGGCAATATTATATCCTTGCTAACAATGTGCGCTTTGGAATCGAACTGCCTCAATTCATATTCCAGCTTGCCGCTTTTAGCAATATTATCTGAGGCAAGTTTTCAAAATCATCTGAACCTTCTTTTCTCATCTGTTAGATAGGATAATAATGTTCTCTATGTTACAGTTATAGCAATTAAATGACATGATACATGCAAAGTATTTTTAAAAATAATAAATAATAGCCATCTTCATTATTATTACTACTTTTTTTGAGGAGTCATTGATAAAAGCAAATGCACTATTGAAGAGATCATTAATAAAAGTCAATACAATGTTGAAGGTCATCTTGTCCAGTTTCACAATCATCTCTGAGTTATTGGGAAATGTGTTATAATGAATAGATCAACAAAAATATAACTACAGTAAGGCAAAATAATATGAAATGAATTACAAAGACTAAATCACTCTGATAAGATTGATTGTCTTCTGACTGATATTTTACTATATTCCTAACATGGGTCTGAGAAAGAGGAGAATAATATAGGCAAATTGCTACAATCATCAATTAAGTAAATTTCTAAAAATGTTAAGGAATGTATAACACAAAACGAGCTAAAGAATTGTTTGCAGAATGAGTGTTGAAGATATTGGGTTTGTCATGGTTGCCGTTCCCTATATCATGCTGTTCTTACCGTTGCTGTGACCTTCTTCTCTTGTTCAGCAGGACATTGACATGCAGCATGTAACATGTACTACTAGAAGATGTAACCAGTGATCTGGCTCTTATGCCAGGACAGAT